>NC_000013.11:94434797-94737827 GCF_000001405.40 Homo sapiens | reverse complement strand
TGCCCCCACTCCAAGCTCCACTCTGAGAAACACAAGATGAGAAAACCAAAGAGGGCATGAAGAAACAGTATCTCAAGTTGCTACCATAAGTTATCTAAAATATGCTATTTTCAAAATTATAAGACATAGAAACAGGAAACTATAACCCATACACAGGGGAAAGCAGACAACAGAAACTGCCTGTGAGAGGGCCCAGATGTCAGACTTGGCAAACTTTAAAGCAGCTTTTATAAATACGTTCAAAGAATCTGCTGAAAGGAGCAAAACAGACTATGATGACAATTACTCATTATTGAGAGGAAAATTAATAATAAATAGAAATTATTATTATTATTATTATTATTTTGAGATGGAGTCTCGCACTGTCACCCAGGCTAGAGTGCAGTGGCGTGATCTTGGCTCACTGCAAGCCCGCCTCCCTGGTTCATGCCATTCACCTGCCTCAGCCTCTCAAGTAGCTGGGACTACAGGCGCCCGCCACCACGCCCGGCTAATTTTTTGTATTTTTAGTAGAGACAGCATTTCACCGTGTTAGCCAGGATGGTCTCAGTCTCCTGACTCGTGATCCGCCCACCTCAGCCTACCAAAGTGCTGGGATTACAGGCGTGAGCCACTGCGCCTGGCCCAGAAATTATTTTTTAAAAATAAAAATTCTGGAGTTCGGAAGTACAATAACTAAAAACTTATTAGAGGGTCTCAACAATAGATTTGGTCACTCTGAGAGAATCAGAGAACTTTAACAGCTTGATAGAGATTATGCAATCTGAAGAACAGGGCAAAGTGAATAAGGAAAAATAAACAGAGCCTTAGAGAAATGTGGGACACTATTAAGCTCACCAATATATGAGTAATGAATGTAACAGCAGAGAAGAGAGAGAAAAGAACACAAAAATAGTTGTGCTATAATTAATTAAAAGATTATAAGAAATAATTGCTGTAAACCTTCTAAATTTGATTTAAAGCACCAGTTTACACACACAAGAAGCTTGATGAACTTACTCAAGGTAACAATAAAGATATCCACACCCAGACACATCATAATAAAAATGTTGAAAAACAAAGAAAATTTTGAAAGTGCAAGAGGAAAATCACTTCTGATATATAAAGAAACCCAATAAGATTAATAGTCAACTTCTCATTGGAAACAATGGAGGCTGATGGCAGTGGAATGACATATTGAAAGTGCTGAAAGGAAAAAAACTTGTCAACCAAGAATCTTACCTTGAGCAAAAATATCTTTCAAAAATGAGGATTAAATAAGGCATTCTCAGGTAAATAAAAACTGAGAGAATTTGCTGCAAGCAGATCAATCTTACAAAAGCTATAAAGGGATTTATTTGGGATAAGAGCAATTGAGCCCAGGGAGGAGTTCGAATCCACATAAAGAAACAAAGAGCACCAGTGACGGTAATAATGCAAATATAAAGATGGTATCAATGTATATTTCTTTTCCTTTCTCCTCCTAATTTAATTAAAAAGTTATTGTATAAAACAATATGTACATAATTTTATTTTTAGGCCTATGACATAGAGAAATGTAATATATTTGACAATAGTGGCACAAAGGAGGCAAGTGGAGCAAAGCTGGATTGCACTAAGGCGATTACATCAGATGGTAACTCAAATCCACATGGACAAAGGAACAAGAAATGATAAATAAGAAGGTTAAAACAATAAATTCAAAAAATATATACTTGTTCCCCTTTTTTCTTTTAGCTTCTTTACAGTTATACAAATGCAACAATACATTGTTATAGTAATAATGATACATTGTTATAATTATAACAATGTATTCTTTGGTTTGTCACACATATAGGTATAATATGTACAACAACAATAGCATGACAAAGGGAAAGAGAAAATAGAGTTATAGAGAAGTAATGCTTTTATATCTCACTGAAATTAAATTGATATAACCTGAAGTCGATTCTGATACATTAAGATGTATATGGTATGCTCTAGCACTATCACTAAAAAAATTTTAAATATAATGAAAAATGTATTAAGAAATTAAAATGCTACATTAGAAAATACTAATTTAATGCCAAAGAAAGTAGCTAAGGAGGAATACAGAAAGAGAAAAGATATGAGACATATAGAAAATAAAAAGTAAATTGGCTGGCATAAATACAAGTATATTAATAGTATTAATAGTATTTGTTTGAGCCCAGGAGTTCAAAGCTGCAGTGAACTATGATTAAACCACTGCACTCTAGCCAGTGTGACAGAGCCAGATGCTGTCTCTAAATAAGTAAACAAATAAATAATAAAAAGAATAAAGGCTAAAATTCTCTGTCTTCCCATTTATTAAAAAAAATTCCTTTTCTCATGGTACAACAAAGCAAAACAAAACATAGTATTAATGTGAATGAGTTAAATGATCCAATAAAAATGCAGATTATTAGATTGAATTTTTTAATGATCCAACTATATGCTGTATATAAGGAGACATACTTTACACCTAAAGATTCACATACGTAGAAAGTAAAGGGATTGAAAAAGATACATCATGCAAAGAACAACAATAAGAAAGCTAGAGTGACTATATCAATATCAGACAAAATAGACTTCAAAGCAAAAAAAAAAAAGTCACTAGCATTAAAGACAGACATTTTATAATGATGAAAGAGTCAATCCATCAGGAAGATATAACTATTATAAATATACATGTTCCTAATAACAGATCCCCCAAAATATAAGCAAAAACTGACAGTATTGAAAGGCAAGATAGACAATTCAACAATCGTATTTGGATACTTCAATATACCACTTTCAGTAATGGGTAGAACAACTAGAAGATCGATAAATAAGTAGAAAATATGAACAACACTATAAACTAACCAGACCTAACAGGTATGTATAGAACATTCCACTCATAACAACAGAATACACATTCATCTCAAGTGCATATGGAACATCCTTCAGGGTAAATCATATATTAGGTCATAAAACAAGCCACAATAAATTTTAAAAGTTACAATCATACAAACTGTGTTTCATCCAAAGTCTGTTCTCAGACCATAATAAGTGAAATTTGAAATAATAATAGAAGGAAATTTGGGAAATTCACAAATATGTGGAACTTAAACACACTTCTAAATATAAATTTGAAAAGGAAATTAGAGTATACTCTATGATGCATAAAAATTAAAACAGGACACTCCAAAATATTGCTTGCAGTTAAAACAGTGCTTAGAGGGAAATTTATAGCTATAATTGCCTATATTGAGAAAAAAACGAAGATCTCAAACAAATAATGTAACTTTCCACCTTAAGACTCCAGAAAAAGGAAAGCAACCTGATACTAAAGCAATAATAAGAAAAAAATGAATATTTGAGTAGAAATTAGTGAAATAGAGACTAGAACGCAATAGAGAATACCAATAAAACCAGAAGTTGGCTCTTTACAAAGATCAACATAGCTCAAATTTTTATCAAAACTGACCAAGGGGACAAAAAGAAGACAAGGGAGCATGTATTCAGAGCTACTTGAATTTATATCTCCTAAGTTAGGAAAAAAAGGAGAGAAGACTAAAATTACTAAAATCAGGAATAGAAGGGAGGCATAACTACCAACCTAATGAGAGTAATGGATTATTAAAGGATTTTATAATCCATTTTATTGGCATACCATTATTTATAGTATTTCCTTAAAACAATTATAAGGAAATACTATAAACAAGTGTATGCTAACAAAATTGATAACTTACAGGAAATGGAAAAAGTCCTATAAAGTGCAAACTACTGAAACAAGTTTAAGAAAAAAAAATTGGAGTAAACCTGTAACAAATGAAGACAGTGAATTTGTGTGTTAGGGTTCTCCAGAGAAACAGAACTAACAGGATGTGTGTGTATACATATATATATATATAAAGATGTGAGTGTACACACAGCCAGATAGATATGTAGATAGATGATTGATGATAGATAGATAGATAGATAGATAGATAGATAGATAGAGAGATAGACAGAGATTTACTAAAAGGAATTGGTTCACACGATTATGAAAGCTGGCAAGTGTGGCCATATTTCACTCAAAATCTGCAGTGTGGCCTGTCAGATTGGAGACCCAGAAAAGCCAATGGAGAAGATGAAGTCCAAGGACAGTCTGCTGAAGAATTTTCCTCTTGCACAGAAAGGCTAATCTTTTTGTTCTATCCCGGCTTTCAACTGATTGAATGAGGCCCACCCACATGACGAAGGGCAATCTGCTTTCCCCAGAGTTCAACAATTTCAATATTAATCCCATTCAAAGCACTATCCAAGCTGACACAGAAAATTAACCAACAGAATAATCAATCTACACAATTAATAACTGATCTACTGTCCAAATTGAGCTACAGAGTCTACACAATACATATCAAAATCTCAGCTGACTGTTTATAGATATGAACAAGCTGATCATAAAGCGATATGGAAGTACAAGTGATCCCAAATAGCCAAAACAATCTCAAATAAGAACAAATTTGGGAAATTCACACTTACCTATTTCAAATAACTCTTACAACTTAATAAAAAGACAAATAGCCCAATTAAAAATGAACAAAAAATCTGAATAGGCATTTCCCCAAAGGTATACAAATGATCAAAAACACATGATAAAGCTTAACATCATTAGTTATCCCTGTCTTGTGCCAGTTTTCAAAGGCCTTTTCTGCAACTATTGAGATAATCATGTGGTTTTTGTCTTTGGTTCTGTTTATATGCTGGATTACGTTTATTGATTTGTGTATGTTGAACCAGCCTTGCATCCCAGGGATGAAGCCCACTTGATCATGGTGGATAAGCTTTTTGATGTGCTGCTGGATTCAGTTTGCCAGTATTTTATTGAGGATTTTTGCATCAATGTTCATCCAGGATATTGGCCTAAAATTCTCTTTTTTGTTGTGTCTCTGCCAGGCTTTGGTATCAGGATGATACTGGCCTCATAAAATGAGTTAGGGAGGATTCCCTCTTTTTCTATTGATTGGAATAGTTTCAGAAGGAATGGTACCAGCTCCTCCTTGTACCTCTGGTAGAATTCAGCTGTGAATCCGTCTGGTCCTGGACTTTTTTTGATTGGTAGGCTATTAATTATTGCCTCAATTTCAGAGCCTGTTATTGGTCTATTCAGGGATTCAAGTTCTTTCTGGTTTAGTCATGGGAGGGTGTATGTGTCCAGGAATTTATCCATTTCTTCTAGATTTTCTAGTTTATTTGCGTAGAGGTGTTCATAGTATTCTCTGATGGTAGTTTGTATTTCTGCGGGATCAGTGGTGATATCCCCTTTAATGCAAATCAAAACCACAGTGAGATACCATCTCACACCAGTTAGAATGGCGATCATTACAAAGTCAGGAAACAACAGGTGCTGCAGAGGATGTGGAGAAGTAGGAACACTTTTACACTGTTGGTGGGAGTGTAAACTAGTTCAACCATTGTGGAAGACAGTGTGGCGACTCCTCAAGGATGTAGAACTAGAAATACCATTTGACCCAGTCATCCCATTACTGGGTATATACCCAAAGGATTATATATCATGCTGCTATAAAGTCACATGCACATGTATGTTTATTGCGGCACTATTCACAATAGCAAAAACTTGGAACCAACCCAAATGTCCATCAATTATATACTGGATTAAGAAAATGTGGCACATATACACCATGGAATACTATGCAGCCATAAAAAAGGATGAGTTCATGTCCTTTGCAGGGACATGGATGAAGCTGGAAACCATCATTCTCAGCAAACTATCGCAAGAACAAAAAACCAAACACCGCATGTTCTCATTCATAGGTGGGAATTGAACAATGAGAACACTTGGACACAGGAAGGGGAACATCACACACTGGGGCCTGTTGTGGGGTGGGGGAAGTGGGGAGGGAAAGCATTAGGAGATATACCTAATGTAAATGACGAGTTAATGGGTGCAGCACACCAACATGGCACATGTATACATATGTAACAAACCTGCACGTTGTGCACATGTACCCTAGAACTTAAAGTATAATAATAAAAAAAAATCATTAGCTATCATGTAAACGCAAATAAAAAGTCACAATGAGATACCATTTTACACCAACTAGGATGATCATAATAACGAAGATACATAATAACAAATATTAGTGAGTGCGATGATTAACTTTATGCATCAACTTGACAGGGCTAAGGGATGGCCAGATAGCTGGTAACGCATCATTTCTGGGTGTGTCTGTGAGGGTATCTGTGGAAGAGATTAGCATTTGAATCAGTAGACTGAGTAAGGAAGATGACCCCCACCAGTGAGGACAGGCATCATCCAATCTGTTGAGGGCCCAAATATCATATTATAATAGAACGTTCTATTATAATACTATATTATAATACTACTATATTTTTATAATAATATTCTATTACAATAGAACATTCTATTATTATACTACATTATAATAGAACAAAATGGCAGTGAAAAGGGGGCAAATTAATTCTCTGTTTGAGCTGGGACATCCATCTTCTCCTGCCTATGAACATGCGCGCTCCTGGTTCTCAGGCCTTTGAACTTGGAGTGGGGCTTATATTATCACCTCCCAACCCCCTTCTCAGGCCTTTGGACTCAGATCAAGACTTACATCATCATTGGCTGCCCTGGTTCTCAGGCCTTGAGACTCAGGCTGAATTATACCAGTGGCTTTCCTGGTTCTCCAGCTTGCTGATGACAGGTTGTGAGGCTTCTCAGCCTTCATAATCATGTAAACCAATTCCCATAATAAATATGTGTTTGTGTGTGTGTGTGTCTGTGTGTATGTGTGGTGTGTGGCGTGTGTGCATGTGTATCCTATTGGTTCTGTTTCTCAGGAGTACTCTAATACAGTGAATGTGTGGAAAAATTGGAATCTTCATACACTACTGATAGAAATTTACATTGACACAGTCCCTACAGAAAAACAACTAAGCAGTTAGCTAAGACAGGTATTATTATTAATTTTTATACTTTAAGTTATAGGGTACATGTACACAACGTGCAGGTTTGTTACATAGGTGTACATGTGCCATGTTGGTTTGCTGCACCCTACTCTTCATTTACATTAGGTATTTTTCCTAATACTATCCCTCCCCCTGCCTCCCACCCCACAGGCCCCCATGTGTGATGTTCCCTGCCCTGTGTCCAAGTGTTTTCATTGTTCAATTCCCACCTATGAATGAGAACATGTGGTGTTTGGTTTTCTGTCCTTGTGATAGTTTGCTGAGAATGATGGCTTCCAGCCTCATCCATGTCCCTGCAAAGGACATCAACTCATTCTTTTTTATGGCTGCGTAGTATTCCATGGTGAATATGTGCCACATTTTCTTAATCCAGTCTATCACTGATGGACATTTGGGTTGGTTCCAAGTTTTTGCTATTGTGAATAGTGCCACAATAAACATACATGTGCATGTGCCTTTATAGCAGCATGATATATAATCCTTTGGGTATATACCCAGTAATGGGATGGCTGGGTCAAATGGTATTTCTAGTTCTAGATCCTTGAGGAATCGCCACACTGTCTTCCACAATGGTTGAACTAGTTTACACTCCCACCAACAGTGTAAAAGTGTTCCTGTTTCTCCACATCCTCTGCAGCACCTGTTGTTTCCTGACTTTTTAATGATCACCATTCTAACTGGTGTGAGATGGTATCTCATTGTGGTTTTGATTTGCATTTCTCTGATGGCCAGTAATGATGAGCATTTTTTCATGTGTCTGTTGGCTGCATAAATGTCTTGTTTTGAGAAGTGTCTGTTCATATCCTTTGCCCACTTGTTGATGGGGTTGTTTGTTTTTTTCTTGTAAATTTGTTTAAGTTCTTTGTAGATTCTGGATATTAGCCCTTTGTCAGGTGGGTAGATTGCAAAAATTTTCTCCCATTCTGTAGGTTGCCTGTTCACTCTGATGGTAGCTTCTTTTGCTGTGGAGAAGCTCTTTAGTTTAATTAGATCTCATTTGTCTATTTTGGCTTTTGTTGCCATTGCTTTTGGTGTTTTAGACATGAAGTCCTTGCCCATGCCTATGCCCTAAATGGTATTGCCTAGGTTTTCTTTTAGGGTTTGTATGGTTTTAGGTCTAACATTTAAGTCTTTAATCCATCTTGAATTAATTTTTGTATAAGGTGTAAGGAAGGGATCCAGTTTTAGCTTTCTACATATGGCTAGCCAGTTTTCCCAGCACCATTTATTAAATAGGGAATCCTTTCCCCATTTCTTGTTTTTGTCAGGTTTGTCAAATGTTGCAGGTTGTAGATGTGTGGTGTTATTTCTGAGGGCTCTGTTCTGTTCCATTGGTCTATCTCTCTGTTTTGGTACCAGTACCGTGCTGTTTTGGTTACTGTAGCCTTGTAGTATAGTTTGAAGTCAAGTAGTGTGATGCCTCTAGCTTTGTTCTTTTGGCTTAGGATTGTCTTGGCAATGTGGGCTCTTTTTTGGTTCCATATGAACTTTAAAGTAGTTTTTCCAATTCTGTTAAGAAAGTCATTGGTAGCTTGATGGGGATGGCATTGAATCTATAAATTGCCTTAGGAAGTATGGCCATTTTCACAATATTGATTCTTCCTGACCATGAGCATGGAATGTTCTTCCATTTGTTTGTGTTCTCTTTTATTTTGTTGAGCAGTGGTTTGTAGTTCTCCTTGAAGAGATCCTTCACATCCCTTGTAAGTTGGATTCCTAGGTATTTTATTCTCTTTGTAGCAATTGTGAATGGGAATTCACTCACAATTTGGCTCTCTATTTGTCTGTTTTTGGTGTATAGGAATGCTTGTGATTTTTGCACATTGATTTTGTATCCTGAGACTTTGCTGAAGTTGCTTATCAGCTTAAGGAGATTTTGGGCTGAGATGATGGGGTTTTCTAAATATACAGTCATGTCATCTGCAAACAGGGACAATTTGACTTCCTGTTTTCCTAATCGAATACACTTTATTTATTTCTCTTGCCTGATTGCCCTGGCTAGAACTTCCAACACTATGTTGAATAAGGGTGGTGAGAGAGGGCACCCCTAAGACAGGTATTATTTTCATTTTACAGATGAGAAGTTCATCAAAAGATTAAACACAGAGTTAGTGTATGATGTAGCAATTCCATTCCTAGGCATATAGTCGACTGAACAAGTAAAAGAGAAGGGTGTTGAGAATCAAAATGAATGTGGAGGAGGCAAAGAAAACAAGTCTCATAACACACCTTAAAAACAAACATCTTATGGGGATAAAATAACATTAACAGTTCTAGCCAACTCAACTGAAAGAGGTTTCTCCTTACTAATCCTAATGTCCAGCCATCTGACCCCACTGTCCCAGGTAAACTGGAGACATCTCCATCTCTAGTTTTGTTTTGGCCAGTTTAAGAAATAGCATTTTGGCCAGGCGCAGTGGCTCATGCCTGTAATCCCAGCACTTTGGAAGGCCAAGGTGGGCAGATCACAAGGTCAGGAGATCAAGACCATCCTCGCTAACATGGTGAAACCCCGTCTCTACTAAAAATACAAAACAATTAGCTGGGCATGGTGGCAGGCAGCTGTAGTCCCAGCTACTTGGGAGGCTGAGGCAGGAGAATGGCATAAACCCGGGAGGCGGAGCTTGCAGTAAGCTGAGATGGCGCCACTGCCCTCCAGCCTGGGCGACAGAGCGAGACTCCATCTCAAAAAAAAAAAAAAAAAGAAATAGCATTTTATCATTTACTTGCATTGCCTTATTTTATTCTAATCATCATATTCTTGTGCATTAGCCTGAAGAGGTGTTATTATTACCATTTTACATATGGGAAGACTGGGACTCCAGAAATTAAGCTGGCAACTAGCATCAAGCAAAGGTGGAACTCAGACACAGAATGTTTGATTTCCAGTTTAGTGTTCCTTATATTGTGCTGTTCTGTATAGTGTACCACCTTCTCAGCATATATTGCTTATTCTCCCTGATAATGTTTTATTTGGAGTGTTAATAATTAAAAACATTAATTGCAGTATGTATTTTAATTGATGGGCTCTGCTGATTTCAGAAACCACAAAACCACTGATTTATCAGATTGAGTAAGGAGTCCAGTCAGCAATGGAATTTATTAGCCCAGCTCTGCAGACATTACTAATATTTTCCTTAAGCAACATATTCCCTAAAACAGATGAAAGCAAAAAGCCCATGGCTAAAGCAAAGTGGATGGAACCCCACCAAATAAACATCATTAAAGTATGTTATTATATGTTAATTTTTCAGTAAAACTTTGTGTCCTCTAGCTTTGTCTTCTGCTTCTACTCTTCTTTTAAACACTATCATTACTAGATGTGTAATTGGCCCTCATGTAAAAACATTCTATTTTCTCAGTCTAATGAAGATAATTTACATTTCAAAACTTTAAAAATTAGAAATTATGAGTTTGAAAAGAAAAAGAAATGTAGTCTTGAACATAACCTCTAAAACTAAGACTATGTTGAGTGACTCCGGAATCCTCTCCACAATAGACAAATATTACCAAGGAATATAAAATATTATATTTCTGTTTGTTTGTGTTTTTAATTATAATATTCTAATAGTTCAGATTTGGACCATTTCTTTTTTTAAAGAATTTCCCTTAAGCTATAATAAATCATACAGGTGAAAAATGATATATGTGATCAGAGAAAATTTGTCTCTCTTTGAGGAAAGTAAAAGTTTGTGCCTGACTGGCTACTCCCAGAAAATCTGGAAAAGAGAGCTTATTTCTGTCTAGGCAGTGACGAACAAAAGGCTAACTTTTTTCAGGATTAAAAAATATGAGCCAGGAGCCAGGAGAGATTACAACAGAGTCCCAGCCATGCTGAGGGGTTCCTGGCTAACTTCTCCCTGATCCTCCCCACCCAAAACTGTCTAATATTATAAGGGGTAGGGTGTCACCTACAGAATTTCTCCAGCTGTTGAGCAATTATTCTTGTATCAAGAGAAAGTCTCCTCCTACATACTTTACAACCTGTATGTTTTTCCCCTTTACTTGATATTAAATCTTGCTCCTCAGGGTTAAAAGGAGCTAAGGAGCCTGCAACAGAATCAACTTGCAAACTAGTAGACTGGTTTGTTTTGTTAATGGTAATAACTGTTCTCGTTATTGGTTGCTGTATAACAAACTATGCCAAAACTTAATGGCTTAATACTACAAGTATTTTATTATACCTCCTTATTTTATAGGTATGGTATCTGGGCAGGGCTCAGCAGGGTGATTCTTCTGTCCCACATGGCACAACAAAGATCATTTGATGGTATTCTGCTGGTGGATCAGCTGCTTTGGAGAATCTAAAACAGCATCACTTTTGTGTCTGGCACCTTGGCAGGAATGGCTAGAAGGCTTGAATAAACAGGTACTGTATATCAGAAGCCTCTCTAAACAGGTAGTCTTAGAATAGCTGAAATTTTCTCATGGCAGCTCAAGACTCCCAGAGACCAAGAGACCCAGGTAGAAGCTGCAAAGCTTCTTACAACTGAGACTCAGAAGTCCCACATGACACTGTTGCAGTGTCATCTTTATCAAACTAGTCACTTATGGCAATGCAGATTCGAGTGAGTTATTACACTTCACCTCTCAATGAAGAAATAACAAAGAATTTGCCTCAATCTTTAATCTACCATAAAGTCTGTGGCCATTGAGCATTCAGTAATTTCTGCTGCTTTCAGTAATTTCTACAGTAAACTAAATTGCACAGTAACACAAAATCAACGATTCACCCAGTTAAGCATCAGCCTATCATCCCAACTCCTTGTAAACTGATTCTTTAAAAGTAGTATAGTGTGAATGAATGCTCATGGTAGTTTTCTTCACCCACCCCCTACAAATTCTCCTTCTTTGATCTCACCCGTGCATTGCAGAGTTCACCCAAGCATAGTTTTGTCTCGAAGATCCCTGCCTCAGCTTCCCAGCTAGAGTACCTCAGTCCCAGCCCAGCATCCCAGACCTCTGTTTGTCTAAGACAAAAGATTAAAGCATCACCAGTTCTCAAAGTTTATGCCATTACACTATTCTGTGTTTGTTTATAAATAGAGCCAGCATGATTTGAGGATGATGAAGGACATACCTGCTCCAGAATGAAAAGCTTCATTTTGGAGGTGAGGGGGGCTAAATTATCAGTGGATGGGAGTTACATTTCTTGGCTCCTTTTTTGACAAAAGTAATACAAAAACAAATTTTTGATGGAAAACTTCAAACACCATAGAAGTTGTAACATTTAGCCCAGTCAGCCATAACAAAATACCACAGACTGTAGGGTTTAAACAACAGAAATGCATTTTCTGACAGTTCTGGAGGCCAGAAGTACAAGATCAAGGCATCACAAGGTTTGATTTCTGGTGAGAGCTCTCCTCCTGGCTTGAAGATGGCTGCTTTGTCCTCATGGCTTTTCTTCTGAGCAGGGACATACACACACACACACACATGCATGCACACACACACACACACACACACGGAGAGAGACAGAGAGAGAGAGACAGAGAGAGCACTTCAGCTGCCTGGTGTCTCCTCTTCTAAGGACAGTAATCTTATTAGACCAGGGCCTCACTGTTTTGACCCCATTTAACCCTAGTTACTTCCTTAAAGGTCTCATCTCCAAATATAGCCACTCTAGGGTTCCAACATATGACTTTAGAGGGGATACAATTCAATCCATAACAGAAGTTCAAAACAAAATCTTCAAGCCCCCTGTCACCTGCCCTCTTCCCAAGCCCCTCTTTTGTGAATCAAATGGAGCTTTTGGAAATCGAGCTCTAATAGTCATCCTAGGCTGCCATAACAAAAATAATGAGCACACCTTGAGTACAACTGAGAGCTCCCTAAGCTCCATCGCCATAGGTCCACAGAATTCAGAGTAGAAGTTATATTATTCACAGTAACAGCATGTAAAGGAAAAAAAAACATGTAATTCTTAAAATGTATCCAGTGAAAATATACAATCACCAGTCATGTTGCTACTCTAATCATTTTATTAAAATACAAAAGCATATCTTAATTCAATCAGATAAATTTTCATTTTATAGTCAAGGCACATTTAAAAACAGAGATTGGCCGGGCGTGATGGCTCACGCCTGTAATCCCAGCACTTTGGGAGGCCAAGGCGGGCGGATCATGAGGTCAAGAGATCGAGATCATCCTAGCCAACATGGTGAAACCCCATCTCTACTAAAAATAAAAAAATTAGCTGGGCTTGGTGGCACATGCCTGTAATCCCAGCTACTCGGGAGGCTGAGGCAGGAGAATCGCTTGAACCCGGGAGGTGGAGGTTGCAGTGAGCCGAGATGGCACCACTGCACTCCAGCCTGGCGACAGAGTGAGACTCCATCTCAATAAATAAATAATTAAATAGATAAATAAATACAGAGACTGAACAATTTCTCTTATTTATTTATTTTTTTTTTTTGAGATAGAGTTTCACTCTTGTCACCCAGGCTAGAGTGCAATGGCGCAGTCTCGGCTCATTGCAACCTCCACCTCCTGGGTTCGAGCAGTTCTCCTGTTTCAGCCTCCTGCACAGCTAGGATTACAGGCACCTGCCACCACGTCTAGCTAATTTTTATATTTTTAGTGGAGACAGGGTCTCACCATGTTGGCCAGGCTGGTCTTGAACTCCTGACCTCAGGTGATCCACCCGCCTCGGCCTCCCAACATGCTGGGATTACAGGCGTGAGCCACTGCGCCTGGTGAGATTGAACAATTTCTATAGTGGAAACTTAAAAGCTGTTACCTTTGTTACAGATATATCCTTAATAGCAATTTAAAATTAAGGACTTACATAATGACCAAACTGTTTGGTAGAAGAGGGGAGGTGGGGCAGATTATACTTGAACTATACTGATGATAGGAGGTAACAATGTGGGAGCGTTACTTGTGGGTATCAGAAACAGTGTTTAAGTCATTTCATTTCCAGCACTACTCTAGACTTCATTAAGATTAATTAATTAAGATTAGCTTAATAATCCTGTGTCTGAATCACAAGGTTAGGTCCTGAACCTCTCCTTTCTCCTTGGCTGTGCACAGACTCAGAGCATGTAGTTGATTCATTCGTTCATTCATCAACAATTTATTGAGTGCCTATTTGGTGCCAGGAGGCTTGCTAGGTGCTGAGATACAAAGATCAGTAAGATATGGTCCCTGCCCTTGGGGTGTTTAAAGTTAAGTAAGGAAACACATATGAGTTAACAGTTGTAACCAAGACGTATTGGCACTAGAATAATAGGTGATCCAGTGTATGAAGAATCATAAAGTAGGGACTAGCCAACTCAGTCTCTTGAAGTTGCGTCAGAAAAGGTTTATAGGAAAAGCAACTCCAGCCTGGATACTGTGGCTCACTCCTGTAATACCAGCACTTTAGGAGGCTGAGGCAGGCGGATTGCTTGGGCTCAGGAGTTTAAGACCAGCCTGGGCAACATGGTGAAACCCCATCTCTACAAAAAATACAAAAATTAGCTGGGTGTGGTGGTCTACACCTGTGGTCCCAGCTACTTGGGAGGCTAAGGAAGGAGGATCACCTGAGCCCGGGGGGGTCAATGCTACAGTGAGCTGAGATTGCACCACTGCATTCCAGCCTGGGTGACAGAGTAAGACCCTGTTTCAAAAAAAAAAAAAATAGAAAAAAGAAAAAAAAAGCGCAACTCCATGTTATTACTAACAGATCCGTCAGACAGTATTTTCTTGTCAGGTTGTTGCTAACCCCTTAACTCACTGCCACGTGTCCTTATAGTAAAGTCAGAATTTTGCTAAAAAGCCAGTCCTGTGATACAATGAATGCCCCCTTTGGCCTCAAGTAAATAAAGGAAGACAAATTTTTTTTTAATCAAATCCAGGGCTTTGTTTGACAGCAATAGATATACTTGCTGGTAGACAATATACATGCATAAACGTCAAATACTGTTTTAAAAGTGTATTGAAAAGCAGCGCTGCAGGCTTGCCTATGATCAGAGAGTCTAGCCACTCCTGACAACCGACTGGAATGTGAAATTGGCGGCTGATAATGAACAAAAGGACACGTCAACTAGGAAGTTAGTGTATAGAAACACTTTAGTGCACAAACAAAGCACTAAATTACAATGTGGCTCTACAAATACCAGGGGGTGATAAGTCCACTGAGGTCATGAGTTAACTTTTCAGGCAGCTGGGATGATTAGGTGCAGATGGCTATCAGACTAATCACTGTTCTTGAATACTTCAGGATTCCCGTCTTGTGTCCTCTTATTACATTCCAGTTACAAAAATTAGAAGGAATTATGGCATTTGCTTGCTCATGGGTTATTTTACCCTGCCTCTAGAGGAAGGGAACACTATGCTGTTGGGTAAAACAAATGTCCTCATTTAAAATGTTTGGACCACGTGCAATGATTGGGGGTCTTGGCTTGTTTTCAAGACACTAGGCACTGAGGCTGAACCAAGCAGTCACACGCTCCAGAAGTAGTGGAAGAAACTACGGAAAACTGGCTCTGTGACACAGACTCTGGAGTTTGTGCCTAATGGTGCAGGTACTGAGGCCACGTTTCCTAAGGTGAGATGCAGATAGCACAGCAGGATAAAACCAAGCTGAAGCAAATAGCGTAATACCATAACCAGGCAAGTGCTGAGCAATTATATTTGGCAAAAATCTATGCTAAGCTGATGGAGGAACTAAGGAAGGAGTTACTCCTTCAGTGTTCGGAGTTCATGGACTAAACCAGGTGGAGTTCTTGTTCTAGAGATAAAGACTGGATGACTTGTTTGGTCAACTGTCTAAACTAAGAAAGGCATAACCAAGCATAATTCCAGGAAGATGCATAGATGTATGTGATTGAGTGGCAGTGGGGACCAGGGCTGGACTAGGTTAAGCTCTGAAAAGAGTACGGTGACCCCCAGCTATGCCGTACGTTGATCAGGAAAAAGACAAAGACACCTACCATCACGAATTCTGTTCAGCAACAAACTGAAGAATCTAGACAGTGCAGTAAGGTAAGAAAAATAAATAAAATATTTAAGAATGGGAAAGGAAGAAAGAAAACTCTCAATATTCACAGATGATATGATTTTGGACATAGAAAACCTCAAAAAAACTACAAATAAATCATTTGAATTAAAAATGGTTTTGGGCTGGGTGCGGTGGCTCATGCCTGCAATCCCAGCACTTTGGGAGGCCAAGATGGGTGGGTGGATTGCCTGAGCCCAGGAGTTTGAGAGCAGCCTGGGCAACATGGTGAAACCCCGTCTCTACCAAAAATGCAAAAACTTAGCAGAGCATGGTGGCACGCATCTATAGTTCCAGCTGCTCAGGAGGGTGAGGCATGAGAATTGCTTGAACTCAGGAGGTGGAAGTTGCAGTGAGCAGAGATCAGGCCACTGCAGTCCAGCCTGGGTGACAGAGTGAGACCCTGTCTCAAAACAACAAAAAATAAAAAGTAAAATAAAAATGGTATCACAAGATAGCAACTTACAAAGTCAGTATATAAAAATTAATTGTATTTCTACATACCAGCAACAAACAGAAAATCAAATTCTTAAAAAGACACTATCTTTTAAAAAAGGTATCATCTTGGCATGGTGCCATGGCTCACACCTCTAATTCCAGCACTTTGGGAGGCTGAGACAGGCAGATCACTTGAGGCCAGGAGTTTGGGACCAGCCTGGCTAAGGTGGTGAAACCCCATCTCTACTAAAAATACAAAGATTAGCAGGTCATGGTAGTGGGCACCTGTAGTACCAGCTACTCCAGAGGCTGAGGCAGGAGAATCTCTGGAAACCAGGAGGCAGAGGCTGCAGTGAGCCCAGATCAAGCCACTGCATTCCAGCCTGGGCGACAGAGTGAGACTCCATCTCAAAACTATAAAATATATAAAAAAAGATATCATCTTAAAAATACGCAATTTGTAATAGTATCAAAAATACTTTAAAAACCTAGGAATTTTAAATGTGTAAGAACTTTACCAGAAAACTATATTACTGAGATAAATGAAAGCACAATAGAATTTTTTATTTTTTTTTTGAGATGGAGTCTCTGTTGCCCAGGCTGGAGTGCAATGGCGCGATCTCAGCTCACTGCAACCTTCACCTCCCGAGTTCAAGCGATTTTCCTGCCTCAGCCTCCTGAGTAGCTGGGATTACAGGTGTGTTCCACCACGCCCAGCTCATTTTTGTATTTTTAGTAGAGATGAGGTTTCACCATGTTGGTCAGGCTGGTCTCCAACTCCTGACCTCGTGATCCACCCACCTCAGCCTTCCAAAGTGCTGGGATTATAGGCATGAGCCACTGTGCCCCTCAGAACAATGAAATTAATGGAAGGATACTAAGTTCGTGAATTAGAAGTGTTAACAATGTGAAGATGTCAATTCTCCCTAAGTCAGCCTAGAGATTTATAGCAGTCTTGATTAAAAGGTTTTTAAAAAAAATAATCACTCCTGTAATCCCAGCTCTTTGAGAGGCCAAGGCGGGTGGATCACGAGGTCAGTTCAAGACCAGCCTGGCCAAGATGATGAAACCCCATCTCTACTAAAAATACAAAAAAAAATTAGCTGGATGTGGTGGCAGGTGCCTGTAATCCCAGGTACTCAGGAGGCTGAGGCAGGGCACTGCTTGAACCCGGGAGGTAGAGGTTGTAGTGAGCCAAGATCTCGCCATTGCACTCCAGCCTGGGCAACAGAGCGAGACTCCGTCTCAAAAAAAAAGAAAAGAAAAGAAAATCAGTTTTTAAAGAATATTTGGGGGCAGGCATGGTGGTTCATGCCTGTTATCCCAGTACTTTAGAAGGCTGAGATGGGAGGATCTCTTGACCCCAGGAATTCGAGGCCAACCTAGGCAACATAAAGAGACTCCATCTCTACAACAAATAAAAAATTAGTGGACATAATGGGACACACCTGTGGTTCCAGCTACTTGGGAGGCTGAGATGGGAGGATATTGAGCCTGGGAGGTCAAGGCTTCAATGAGTCATGATTATGCCCCAGCACTCCATCCCAGGCCACAGAGTGAGACCTTGTTTCAAAAGAGAGAGAGAGGGAGAGAGAGAGAGAGAGAAAGTATTTGGAACCTGACAATCTGTTCTAAGATTTATATAGAAATGCAAAGGCCAAGAATAGCCAAGATACTTTTGAATAAGATGAAAATGATGGGAGAACTTGCTCCTTATCAGAATTAAGATAGTGCAATATGGTGCAAAAATAGAAAAAATTTTAAACATAAAGCAAAATAGCTCAGAAACCAACTTACATCAATTTTATTTAGGGCAAAGGTAGCACACATGTGTGGTATAAAAATGCAATTTTTAAAATTGATGGTTCTAAAAAATTGACTATCTATATGGAAAAAATGTCAAACCTCATACTATACATAAAAATCAATTTCAGATGGATGCTGGTAACACAGAAATGGCTCCTATAAGACCAACCCTCCTATAAATAATAAACTTGGGACAAAAATATAAAAACCCCTGAATGCCTAGAAAAAAAATCAAAAGTGAACAGAAACTCAAAGGGATCTACATGGAAAAAGGGTAAAGCACAAGTGGGTTTCCCATTTTTACAGCTTTTCACTTGTACACATGTCCAACAGTAGACACAAACAAGAATGCATATAGCAGTCAGTTCATAATGGTTAAAAACTGAAGACAACCCACATGCTCATCAACATGACAGTAAGCAATAAACTGTGGTATATTTACATAACCAAATATTAGTAGCAGCTAAAATGAATAAACTACAGTGACATGCAGTAACATTGATGAATCCAAAGTTATACAATAAAGATTATATACAAAAGTTAGACAATAAAGATTACATACAAAAAATTTAACTTATGAAAACTTCTATGTTAAAAACACAATAAAATAAAAACATATTTTTAAAGCATACATCTAGATGAAAAACTATATAAACTATTCACAATAGCAAAGACTTGGAACCAACCCAAATGTCCATCAATGATAGACTGGATAAAGAAAATGTGGCACATATACACCATGGAATACTATGCAGCCATAAAAAAGGATGGGTTCATGTCCTTTGTAGGGACATGGATGCAGCTGGAAACCATCATTCTCAGCAAACTATTGCAAGGACAGAAAGCCAAACACCGCATGTTCTCACTCATAGGTGGGAATTGAACAATGAGAACACTTAGACATAGGAAGGGGAACATCACACACTGGGGCCTGTTGTGGGGTGGGGGGAGTGGGGAGGGATAGCATTAGGAGATATACCTAATGTAAATGATGAGTTAATGGGTGCAGCACACCAACATGGCACATGTATACATATGTAACAAACCTGCATGTTGTGCACATGTACCCTAGAACTTAAAGTATACTAATAAAAAATAAATAAATAAATAAGTATGCTATATGTATTGTTAAAAAAAAGAAAGCAAAACTATATAAAAATCAATGGAATGAAAATAGCTACATTGGGTTGGGGAAGGCGAGTGCAGAGTTTACTGGAGAGATCATTTAGTTAGGTTTATTGGCAGATTTTATTTTGAGTGGTGGACTCATAAAAGCACTTGTTAAAGTATTAAATATAACTAACTAAAGAAAACTAGGCCATTGATGGACCAATTATGAGAGTGAATCATGAGTCACGAACTGTGATTAAACCAATTTTGTGTACTTGGGGTTCACAAAAGAAAGGTAGAAAGGGAGGGAAAGGCCGGACATCTAGGGTTGGGAGAAAATAAAGACTGAAATTAGATAACATTGTTGGAGCAGCCTTTGGCTATCAGAGAAAGGGTAGAGATTGGGTTTATTCAGGGCAGGCAATTGTTCAGTGTTTGCAGCGGGAGGCCTAGGGAGTGAGTGATGGTGGATTGCAGCTGACACCAAATCTGTGCTGAGGGCTACATGAGCAAGGGGAGGCCTGGCCCCAGAACAGCAGGGATGGGACTTAGAGAAACTGCTTCTTCTGATTGGGGTGTCGTTGTTGTGGGGTTGGAATGCCTTACTGGGGAGATTGCCACTGGGCTACTCCCTCATAGAGGGAGTGGGGCGCTGAATGAGTCACACAAAGCTTGGGGAAGTAGATAGAATTGAGAATCTGCACTGGAAAGGGGCTGAGCCTTCCATTGGGACTCTAAGTGCTGGAGGTTAAAAACATCAGCTTAGTTCAAATCCCAATTCTTCCTTTTATGGTTGTGTGACTTTAGGCAAGTTACTTACTCATCTGCTCTAAGGCTTCGTTCCCCAGTCTGCAAATTGGAGATGGTAATGCTTACATCACAGGGTTTTCCTAAAAGTTAAATAGAATAATGTGTGCAAAAGGTGTGGTATCTTAAAACTCAATAACTGATAGCTATGTATTTTTTTATTCTTTTAAGAAGCAGAGCCACTCAGCAATTTAGCTCTAAAGCAGACCCGTCCTTAGATAGGAACCTGAATATGAGTGGGAGGAAGGCACAGGGCTGGGCAAGCCAGAAGCTGGAAGAGGGGGACAGTCAGAGTGACTTCTGTAAAGCCAGAAGCATGGCTTATCTACCACCCTGCTGGGATATTTAAGAGAACCCCCTTTCTCAGGTTTGTTCTTCTCAAAATAAACGGGGGCATGGTTGGTGATTCATCATTCACAAGGAACCCCACCCTACCAAAAGCCAGTCTCCTCATGTAATAGCTACAGAAGGCTGGAAGTTTTCACTACCCAGGCCAATGACACCCTCACTATCCAACCCTCCTCATTCATTTCTAGTTTTATTCAAGATTAGCTCCCTCTCACTTACAAAACAAAAAAGGTTCTTATCCTAAGAAAATTATGCTTTTATAGGATTCTTGGGATTTGACATAGGTACTTTGTGAAGTTGTCTGTTTTGAATTATTTGTATTGTCTTTTTTCTCTTATTTTTTTTTTTGCGGGGGGCAAGAGGGGACTGTTTTTGACATTGTTTTTCCTGCTCTATCCTCTAGGTAAGGCTCCTTTTGAAAATGTCAGCCTGCTTGAGCCCTGCTCAGGAGACATGAGGAAAGGTGTTCTCCATGATTGATCTGTATATTCCCAGTTTCCAAGTGTGGCAGTAACAGTGAGAATAAAAGGACAGAAATCTCAAAAGGATAAAAAAATTAGCAGGCACTGGTGAAGGGCCACTCTTACAGCCGTTGCTTTCCATCATGACTTGACCTCAAACAGCTCTTTTTGTCTCTTGGGCTTTACGGAGATCATGTGTTTGGGATTTTTCCCCCTTTTGGGGGCTAATAGGAGTGAGACCAGAGAACTGTGGCAAAAGCCTCAGGGTTGGCTGTTGTCACAGTCTTCTCATTTTCTTCTTAACAGGACAAACAGGCTATATCACCTCTCTATGCAGGTATGAAAGCTTCTGAATTCTTCCACTGCACTTGCTTAAGAACAGATCTCCAACATTCTCTAACAACAGCTGTCAGCTCTCAGTGTCCATGAATGATTATTTGGCCTCTGCACTTTGAAGGTATCACCTTCACTGCCCATCACTTCCATCTAGTCACCTCTCATTACCCCATTGGCTTGCTGCTTTATCATCCCTATGGTTCTAGAAAAATGTGACAATGAGCCACCTAGGTGAAAATC
The DNA here is from genome assembly GCF_000001405.40 of Homo sapiens. Lineage (NCBI taxonomy): Eukaryota > Metazoa > Chordata > Mammalia > Primates > Hominidae > Homo > Homo sapiens. Next base: position 94,716,356 of record NC_000013.11, on the reverse strand, counting down.
CAATGAGAGAGAGGAGGATGAAATGATGGGGGACAATGATTCTGTTCACATTGGGACCCAAGAATTCTCCCCTCCCTTGTGGAAGAGAAAGCAAGCAAGCCAGCCTGTCGTGTTGCCAAGGTATTTTTTATTCCCCAACAATCTCATTGCTGCCTCCTAGTGAAAGTTTTAGAATTGAAAAGAGACTATTTTCTGGGGAGAATTGAAGGGGGAAAAGAGGAAACTCAATTTACACAGGCCCACAACTTTTTCTGAGGGAGTGTCACTCAGTTTCCGACTAGATACATTTGCGATCACATATATCACTGTGGCCGCAAGGGAAATACAGACCCACACGAATTCTACCGATCAAATCTATACTGTTCTTTAGGTGTTTACAATCAAGAGTTGACAAAATAAAGCTCATCAAACTTACAATTCTCTTTCAATTTATTTTCCTTCACTATTCACTCACACAGACTATTCCATTTCCTATATGCTGGGATTTTTTTAATCTTTAGGACAAAACTGAGCAAGAATAAAAATATACCTCTATCAATTCAAACACAAGATATGAGGAAATTAAAAGCAAATTTACATTTTGGTACATATGAATGAAAATGGCTTGAAAATTTACTTTGTTAAAAGCTCAACCAGATTCAGGCAAGAGGTGTGAAGGCTGGTTAATAACAGCAATGCCACATTGCCTTTCTTTAATGAATGGCCGATTATGAGGGCTCTTTCTTTGGTTGTGAAGGGTTAGGCCAAGAATATTGATCCCCTAGAAGCCAAGAACTAAAACCAAATCTTTCCTATTTTGAAATGTGGGAAGTTTCATTTGGTGAATAGACAAGCACACAAATAGTCATTTTCTTCTTATGACACCTTTGTTTCCCACAGTTCAACATTCTTGGACTTGAGAGTGTTCAAATTTGGCTCATTTAATATCACTAGACAGACAATATTGTAAATGTATACTGGAAAAAACTATAGCCAAGGAACCTTACATATATTATTCCTATAAGACATTGCACATGTAAGCATACATTTCAATCATATATACAAACATTTCTAATGTAATAATTTATTGCAGTAGATTTTTACACTTAAATTTGAATAGTATAAAATCACTTAACTCACTAATATAAAACACATTTTCACAATCCTTCTCCCTTTTTATGTGTCAAAATAATTTTCACGATTAAATTTAACTTTATTCACAATATTTAGTGAATAACAGATTTCATGTTTTGTGGCCTATATATACATATGTTCTTTATGTTCCAGTGTATAGTATTTTTGTCTCAAACCTATAAGTCAGTAGGTGAAAAGCTCAGGGACGATAATTTTGTAGTTTATCATCACAAAACAGTATATTTAATATTCCAGTCTATGTAATTACACATGCTAGTGTTTTCCCATTGCTCCAGCCAGAGTCTGTGAATGACAAGAGTGTCTTTACAGAGCCTGTAAAGGAATATGGTTCTGGAGAAATCAGTCCAATTATTTTAACAATGCAAGGGCATAACCGATACAAAATAAGCTTGTCAATACGACATCTTCAGAAAAACAAAAACCCACATAGATGCCACTGCTGTTCACAGTTTTGTTATCACGACTGTAATTTTTAAGTCACTATTCTTTTATTAAAATGAACAAAACAAGCCTAACTTTTACATAAATCTGATGGCCTGAAACAGTTTTAATTCACGTTCATAATTACAATCAAAGCTTTTGTGTGTGTGTGTGTGTGTGTGTGTGTGTGTGTGTGAATGAACTGAACATAAATCGTAGGAAGACTTAAAGAGTTAACCGTTTGTAGATGTTCCTACTTGCACATACCACAGGGCTAGGTCAAATCCAAACTGCCAAAGAAAGAAGGCAAGCAAGTTCTCCCTGAAGGGCAGGCCACCATGTGAATAAAACCTCCAGACAGATCATGTTCTAAATGTGCCGCAGCATACCAAAAAGTGAGGAAAATACGGAAACAGAATCATGCTGTTTGACTTCTGCATCGTGTTAACTATTTTTTTTAAAAAACTGCTCTAACTACTAAAGAAGGAAATTATGCTTAGCATAAAAATATTCCAGCACTGAGTGATTGGTACGTTTTACTTCTCTCTTCCAGGGAAACTACTTACACTTATTGATTTTAAACACCTTCACCTCAGCAGCGCATGTAAGTGAGACACTGTAAGTTAACTGTACCTTAAAGAGATCAGTATATAGATGGTTCTGGCGACCAAGATTACAACAAAAGACAAACAACACAGAATTTTTAAAGAGCTGAATAGTCAGTCAAGGATGCATACTCTCAGTCTGGGCTAGCTCTTTTTTGGAAAGGTTGCCAAGAATGTCCTTATTCCCTCCAGAGTTATTTTTCACTCCACTACCTCTGACTAGGTGCATCGCCAGTGCAAGAAAATGCGAGAAGCCTCTGTTTCTGTTGCAAGCAACACCTGGACCTCCAAGGAAAATGAGCACTTTCTTGCTAGGAACAGTCTCAAACATTTTCAAGGGTGAGTCTCCCCTTCTCCAGGTTTAACCCTCTTCCTCCGTAGCTGGAGAGGCTCTCCTACTCGTGCCCGCCGCCTTCTTCCTCCCGGCGAGGATTCCAGGGCCACAACCAGGGCAGCTGCACGCCAGGCCGGCCTGGGTAGCCGGGATGACACCAGGGTTTGCCAACGCCAAACAGGGCGCAGACTCCCCGGCGCGCTCCGGACTCTCCACTCGCCTAAACCTGCTCTCAAGTGAAAAGGAGTGGGAGGAGGAGGATTGGGAGGGGGCGGGGGGCGGAGGGGATCTGTTAATTCGAGGTCCTGGGGGTGTGGGAGCGGGAGGCGGCTCCGCTGATCCCTCCTCCCTCCCCGAGTCCTGGGCTCCACCTCCTCCGCAGGCCCCCAGATATACACACACAGCCGCGGCTGGACATGCACACCCAGTGCCGGCTCCGGGCGCGCACACATGCAGGTAGCCACACTCACCTGAGCCGGTGCAGAGGGCGGCCTGGGCTGGGAAGGGGCCCCCTGCGCCGCGGGAGTGGGGAGAGCGGGAGGTGCCACAGCGCGGACCTGCGAACTGAGGTGATGGCCCGTTTTCCTTAACTCTCCTGCAGCACCTCCGCCCCTGCGCCGGCTCGGCTCTGGCCACAGCAGCGAGGACAGAGGGGCCCCGGGCGCGGCGGACTCGCGGGCGCACGCTCCCAGGAGCGCGCCGAGAGGGGCGCCGCGGCGCAGGAAACTTGGGCGAAGTTAGTTGCAAGTGCCAGGCGGCTGCCGAGAAGAGCGAGGCGGGGACGCGGCCGGTGCCAGGCCTGCGGCGCCGCGTGGAGGCTGCGCTGCCCTCCGCGGCCGGCGAGCTCCGGGAGCCCTAAGTCGGCAGGCGCGCCTGAAGGGGCTCGGAGCGAACAGAGCCGGCATGGCCCAGGGGACGGCCGGACGCGGCTCCTCGGCGAGCCGGGAGAACTTCCTCTGAGGCCGGGCGACCAACGCTTGCTCAAGCCTCATCCACCCTCCTTCCTCGCCCCACCCGTCAGTCCAGCAGCGGGAGAGGAAGACTCGAGAGGCAGGTGCTGCGGGGGACAGCTCCCCCCTCCAAAAAAAAAAAATCACCCAGCCGATTGGGGGTTTCCCATCGGCGCACCCTGCCCGGAGCCAAGAAGACAGGCTGGTGCTGCTGTATTTGTATTTATATCCATTGCTGCGCTCTGCGTTCTCGTGGCACGCCTGGACACTCCTCCGCCTCCCCCTCCTCTTCCTCCTCCAGGGCCACCTCCCCGCCTTCCCCACCCCCATCTGCTTCTGTCAAATGAGAAAGTCACCGAGGAGAACCCAAACACTCCAGCCGCTGAGAGCCCCCTTTGGCACTTGGCAGCACGCGGCGGCGGGCTCCTCGGCTCAACTTCGAGGAGTCTCCGCGACGCAACTTTTGGGGACGCTTTGCATTTAAGAGAGAACGACCGAGGAGGAGGAGCGCTCTGCCCGGCCGCCGCTACCTGCGGGGAGCTCACCAGCAAACGCCACTGCAGACGAAGGACCCAAAGAACGTAAAGGGCAAACTGCCGCCGCGGGGAGGGGGCACCGCCGAGAAGTTAGAGTGTCCCAGAGACAACCTGCTCGAGCGCTCGGCCGGAGACACTAAGGCGGCCCGGGGCGCGGCGTGGCCCTGGGCTGGTCCCCCAGCCCCCTCCTCCGGGGCGGGAGCGACGCCGGGGCGCGACGAGCCCCGGCCGGCCGAGCGGGTCTCCGCGGGCAGCCAACATTGATTTCCTCCGGGCCGAGGGCGAGGGCCCGGGAGGCGGCGGGCTGCAGCCGCGGCAGGGCGAGAGCATGTCCAAGCCGGTGGACCACGTCAAGCGGCCCATGAACGCCTTCATGGTGTGGTCGCGGGCTCAGCGGCGCAAGATGGCCCAGGAGAACCCCAAGATGCACAACTCGGAGATCAGCAAGCGCTTGGGCGCCGAGTGGAAACTGCTCACAGAGTCGGAGAAGCGGCCGTTCATCGACGAGGCCAAGCGTCTACGCGCCATGCACATGAAGGAGCACCCCGACTACAAGTACCGGCCGCGGCGCAAGCCCAAGACGCTGCTCAAGAAGGACAAGTTCGCCTTCCCGGTGCCCTACGGCCTGGGCGGCGTGGCGGACGCCGAGCACCCTGCGCTCAAGGCGGGCGCCGGGCTGCACGCGGGGGCGGGCGGCGGCCTGGTGCCTGAGTCGCTGCTCGCCAATCCCGAGAAGGCGGCCGCGGCCGCCGCCGCTGCCGCCGCACGCGTCTTCTTCCCGCAGTCGGCCGCTGCCGCCGCCGCTGCCGCCGCCGCCGCCGCCGCGGGCAGCCCCTACTCGCTGCTCGACCTGGGCTCCAAAATGGCAGAGATCTCGTCGTCCTCGTCCGGCCTCCCGTACGCGTCGTCGCTGGGCTACCCGACCGCGGGCGCGGGCGCCTTCCACGGCGCGGCGGCGGCGGCTGCAGCGGCGGCCGCCGCCGCCGGGGGGCACACGCACTCGCACCCCAGCCCGGGCAACCCGGGCTACATGATCCCGTGCAACTGCAGCGCGTGGCCCAGCCCCGGGCTGCAGCCGCCGCTCGCCTACATCCTGCTGCCGGGCATGGGCAAGCCCCAGCTGGACCCCTACCCCGCGGCCTACGCTGCCGCGCTATGACCCCGCGGGGCCGCCTCGCGAGGACCGGTGTGCACACGTGTACATATGTATAGGTACGAGCGCTGCGGCCTCCCCGTGCGCCCTCCCGCGACCGGGGGCCCGGTTTGTATGTACATAGAATGTATAGGTGCCAGGTAGAGGCAGAGAGGCCAGGCGGGGCAGGAGTGGCCAAGCGCGCAAGGGCGCGGGCGAGCAGGCCTGTGAATTCGCAGGATCATTTCAGACCCGCACTTCGGCAGCCAACTCGAAAGCAGGCGGTTGTGTGCGGCAGCAGTTGGCGTTTGCTTTGCACTTCGGAACCTGTTGCGTTTTGACCCACGGAGGTGGAGGAGTAACTTTTTGACATGTTGGCCTTTCCAGTTTTGTTGGAAGTTTCATGGTCGGTTTTGTTTTTGTTTCTCATTCTTCTTCCTCGCCCCTCAGCCCCCCAACCCCCAACCCCCTCCCGGTCCGTGTTGCATGCACGCTGTTCAAATGTGAGGTCTGAAATGGCTGGCACACGGGAAAAGCTGCTTGTGTCATTCGTTTCTGGGAGTGGGATGGCTCTGAGCAGCCTCGCCTCCCTGTTTGTACTATTTGAACTTTGCAGATCTCTGTTCTCTCAAGCAGAACTCCCAACCAGATCCATTCTTGACCAGTGACCGGCTCGAATCTGGCCTTTTGTGTGAGATGATCACGGTTTCTTTTGTTTATCACGCCATTTGCAAATCAGAGCAAGAGCTCTTTCTCAAGGGCAAGAAACGCAAACAAGAAATATTTGTGAGATGAAAGTTGTCAATTGGATTTTCTTCCTAAACAAACAACAACAACAAACTACTAGAAGTCTCCCTGAGTCCACTCGCTTGGATTTCTGACACAGTTTACAAAAAAGGAAAAAGGCACTGCTCCTATTTTCCCTTATGGCTGAGTTCACCTTAAGATTGTAAATGTGTATATGTCAGTGAAAACATTGAGGCTTGGAAAATGTGTTATTTTCGTTGCCCTAAGTTTGAGTCGACTTTAGACTCAAAAACATTTTGAGCGAATATCAAAGTTAACTTTTAAAAATTGCGAAACTATTTCAGAATCGCAATTTTATCGAAGATTAAATCAGACTTTTTTGTCTGGTAATTATATATTTATTATTTAGCAAAACTGAAGAAAAAAAGCACAGAATTGTTTCAACAGATGTCTCTCATTTTCAGCTAGCATTTCTCTCCCAAGTTGAGCTGGTTTAATGTGTTTTGGATTTCCCTCCTCAATTGGCTTATTTTTTAGATCACCTGCAATTCATTTGCAAATTGCAATAAAACACATTTTAGAAAAAAGGAACCTTCAATTATTAGCTTTGTTTCTTTTTAAATGTATATATTTTGACTAATGTTTGTGAATGAAGTTGGCTAACATGTATTTAGTTTCATTTTGGCTTTATGTAATATAAAGTTTTTAAAATTTTAAATATGGTTTTAACCTTTATGTGTAAATGATTTTCTAGTGTGACCTTCTAATTTAATATTAGACGTCTAAGGTATATCTGTAAATTAGAATCCGACTATCACTCTGTTCATTTTTTTTGAACAAAGAGTTTAAATAAAGCCTGAACCAGGGAAAAGAAAAATCTTCTATTTCTTGTTGAGTTCCTAACAAGATTTTTATCTGAATTGCCCTTACGTGCCTGGTCCAGGTGAAGTGTAAGGTATCCTCCAAAGGCACCCTTTGTTTCACTTTTGAATAGATTTACTAGGAAATCTAAATCAAGCCATTGTTATTCAGAGCCAAAAACCTGATTTATCACATTTTTAATCGTGAATAGGAAAGAAGATTTTTAAAAAGCCCAAGTCGTTGTATTAGCTTTAACAACAACAAAAAAAAGGCATTCATGAACCAGTAGAACAGAGCCCATTGAAAACATCCAGACCTTTCAAAGCATTTCACCAGTTTCTAGTAACATTTTAAGAGGGGAAAGTTGCTTGACCACTTTATCTTGTTAGTTGAAGAGCCCCACCACTTAAATCAGTGTAATTTGTTCTCCTATCTTTGGGGTATTCCTTGTTGACACCTTAAGGTTTTATTTGGAAGGATAATCACTACTAACGACAAAGTACAAATTTTGGCCTCTTTAGGACTTAATTTTGTTATGCTAATCGCATTAAAGTAGAAGTATAACATTCAAATGGAGAGGGTTGGATTTCTAGGGCTAGACAAATTGCTACTAAAGTTTGAAAAATCATAAAGGATTTTAATTTTAGACAAGAAATAGAAGACTGTCAGAAAAAAAAAAATAGGAAGATCTCGCCCCCCCGCAACCAAAATGGAAATTCTCAAGATACTATATACAAGTCTTAAACCAGTTTCCCCATTGAGACCATCTCTGGAGCTGCACGTCTTTATAAACGACCCAAGTCTTTAAAGTCATTGTTTTCCCCCAACGGAATAATATTTTAAAAACCATGAAAAGTTTTGGAAATGTGAGAAATAGGCTCTGCTGGTTTGACCCTGATTCACTAATTAAAATGATCCCTCTCCTGTTATTCCCTGAGCTCTTTGCAATATTATAAGTTAATTCATATGGTTCTGAGCGATTATGCAAAACTAATTTGGACTGTCCAGGGGTAATTATCCCTGACACGGTTAATTAAATCCTTTCAAGGCTTCGTCTTTCCCTTTTGTAGCAGCCCATCCCTTCTCAACACGGAACTTCCTGCGGCTCGCTGGAAATCACCCCAGCCCTAAATCTTAGTTACCACCCTGAGCCTTCCAGCTCGGCCGCCTCCTCGGCCTGAAGACTCCCCGCCTCCTCCCGCCCCCTCCCCTTTTCCCAAAGATCAGCGTTTTCTGGGAGAAACGCTCCGGAGTTGTTGATGAATGAGAAGAGGACTGGAAAGATGGGTAAGAGGAGGGGTGAGGATGCCGAGGGGGAGCACCGAGGTCATATCGCCAACAGATTGTGCGGCTGTTTGAGGACCTCCACAGGCCCCACAGACTCGTTTATCACCCATTCTGACTCCAATGGTCTTGCTAACAAGTTGGCGGGTTTTGCGCCTGCAGAGAGCCTCCTGCCAAGTTAGACTGTGCAGAAGTAAGGGGTTGGAGCGGGGGGAGCGGCTCCGGGGCAAGAGGGCGTAGAGAAAGGCCCGGGGGTGGGTGGTGTAAGCGTCTGAAAGTGGCCCACAAATGCAGCGCTGTGATTGGGCAGAGAGCTGCTGCTGGCTCGCGATCTCTATCTCCATCTCTTTATCTATCTCCGTCTCTCTCCCTGTTTCTCCATTTTTCTTTCTTTCCTTCTCTCTCCTTCCTTCCTTCCATCTTTCTTCTTTCCCTTCCTTTTATTCTTCTATTTTCGTTTCTTTTCAAGGTTTTTTTTAAAGCCATGATGCAATTTCTTTGGTATTCACCGTTGTCCCAAAACTTGAAGCAAGCCTCGTATCCAAGGGGCCAGGCATGTTGCTTCGGGCTTTGTGCAAACAGGTGGAATTGCGCTGTGTAAGCAGTAAGAACTGGTGCTGGGGACGCTGTCGCGCGAGGGGGTGGCTTTGGGAGAGCAGGGTTGCTGGCCGCGATTGTTACTTCCCTTGACAATTTCCTCCTCCCCCTCCCCCAAGAAGATAGGAGAAAGCACCGCGGATCTCCCTCTCACCCCAGGCTCGGGGCGCAGAAGATGGAGAGAAGATTCCACTCTCCCCGGAGCAGATAGGGACGGTCGCGCCAGCCAATCAGAGCGCGGCTCGGCGCCGGCGCTCCCGGCCGCCTGGGCCGCCGTGTCCTCCAGGCAAGCGAAGTTCCCGCAACTCGTCCGCCTCGAGGGTCCGCGTCTTTCTTGCGCCCGCGGCCCAGCGGAGGCCGAGGGAGCCGTCCAAACTTTATTAATCTCTCCTCCTTTCTTTCTCCCTCAGCCCAGTGCATCTCAAAGGTCAGCCCTCTTCTTTTAAAAGACTGATATTATTAATGCACTGACAATTCCTCCCCCCCTTTTCTTTTTTCTCTCTTGCAGGGGGGAAAAAAAGGGAAATGGTGAAAAGAGCTTTTTTTATCCTTTTTTTTTTTTTTGTCCTTCAGTGGGAGCGTTTAGACAGTCGAGGAGGTTTTGTCCGAGAACAAAACGCAGGGTTGGGAGGTTTTGTGAGAGTGTTGTTTGTTGAAGTGGAGCTAAGAAAAAGCGGCGGCTTTCTCCTCATTGTGAAGAAACCAATCAGTGGTATTTGGAAAACTGTTAGCATTGTGCACTTCTTCTGTGTCCATTGTGAGGCGTTTCTTTTCACAAGGTTTTTTTTTCAGCCGATCCAGCTGGCCGGAATGAATAGCGGTGCAATGTGTACACGCTTTGTCCCTCCGGCCTTCAAGTAGCCCCCATTGAATAGACTAAGTTGACACTGCGTGACAGTGAAACAACATAATAAAAAATACATGAGCCCCTGAATAGGAGCAGGCGCATAAATAAATAAAATGGGTGACCAAAACTGGATAAACTGAATGACAAAACGGTGAAAGGGGAACAAAAAGATATTTAACACGCTAGATTAGCATTAGAATGCGATCTACAAGGCAGAACAATTGATGAATAGGTTTACCGGCCAAGAAAGAAATGGACTAAATGCCCTTTGAATAGATATGCTTTTTGCAAGGGCTTTGAATAGATATGCTTTTGCAAGGGCTGAATGGGAAAAGGTAAAGATGAAGCTATGCAAATGAGCCGGGGAACTTTTTATATATATTCTTTAAACACACACACACACACTGCGGGGGGAAGAGTGCTGCCTCGGGATGTTTATAGAAGCAATAATTGCCATTATTAGCATTGTCTGCGGCAGATAGAAATTGAACAGGTTGGGATAATATAGGGTAGCAGTAATTATTCTTCTAATTAATGGTCCTTTGCTACTTGAAAAAAGAAAAAAGGAAAGAAGTAGTAAAAGTTATGCAGAAGTTATGTTTCCTTGTGTCCATTTGCCCAGCGCTGGAATCTGTGGAGCAGGAAGCCTGGCAATTCCAAGATACGCGATGATCTTCAAACATTCCCGGGAGCCAGTCCTGAGGCTCTGGCTTCAGGGCCTAGTTTCCATTTATGCCGCGTTTTTGAGAGTCTAATACTGTGTCTGGCACATGGTAGGTGCTCACTGAATAGTCGTGGTATGAATGAATGAACGAATGAATGAATGAATGAATGAATGAATATAAGTTTAATGGGGGAAACCCGGGCCTCCTAATAAAGGTAGGGGCTGGGGGATACCTAGGGGCTTCCCCAGGAGGATTTCTTTTTTCATCATCCCACCCCTGGGAGAAAGGTCCACGCAGGATGGTCGCTTCCCCCTTGCTGAGAGTTTTGCCTTCAGCCTATCTGGGCCGCTGGAAAAGAGGAGAAGAATAAACAAGAGACAAGCAACTACTCCCCTACCGGCGTTCCGTCCTTGTCCTCACTGCCAAATCCACTCCAAAGCCGAGGATGGTGAGACTGTGAAGTTGCAAAGAAACACAGAGCCCACCCCCTTAAAGAATTACGATATATTTAAAGTTTGCCTCTTTCAGGTTTCTCTCCTTGGCTCCTGCCCCTTTCCCCTCCCGGCTCCTTGTCCTTGACTGAACCTCATGGGACAGAGAACCTCCTGTCCCCCACGAGGCAAGGCGCGAACCCGCAGAGATCTGGGGTGCCCTTTGGTTCCCTGCGCTGCCCTGGAGGCGTCCATAGAGGCCTTTGCCGCCAAGGACAGCAATTGTTTTATTTTCGATGGTTGCTCGCCAGGCCTGCGGGTCGCGGGCCCACCCAGCCGTCGAACTTTCCAGTCGTTATCAGCGCTGCTCCTAACTTAATGGAATAATGCAAATTATAGCCTGCCCAGCTGACACGTCCCTGCGAATGCGCCGGGGCTGAGCTCTGGCCAGCCGCTCTCTCGACGTCCTGGACGGCCGGAGGGAATGAAGCTCTGAATTGTGACAAAAGTGGGGGGGGGGCACCCCAAATTCTCAAAGCAATGTTCTTTTTTTTTTCTTTTTTCTTAAGCAATTGAGCCTTACCAAATGTCGGGGCCGCACGGAAGCCTTGCATATTTTAAAGTGTAACCTGAGCCTTCGCGGTTTCAGCTTCACTTAAAACATGCAAATTCTTGAAATTGAAAAATCTGAAAAACTTCCGAAGAGTTCTATCTGAATAAATCCAAATCCATTGGGAGTCGCTTTGAGGAGACAAAACGCACAGCGATTTGGGGTGAGGGATATTTGTGGGGAGGCAGGACGTGCTGGATTGGGTTTCCAGGGTCAAGGTGTCTCTGGGCCTTCGACGATAGCCTTAGCGCAGAGCAGGGAAGTGGCACCGCTAGGCAGCAAGCTCAGTTGCTCTACTTTTGTGACCCATCCCCCCACCCCCCCCACCGCCACCCTTGCCTCCGGGCCACTGCCCCTCTCTGCAAGCTTTGTCCGCTGGACTCCGTTGCCCTTGCGCGGCCGCCCCATCACTCACGCTTGACTGGAGGAAATAAAATTGGCGTTGGCTTTTTAATTCCAAGCTTCGTGCTTGATTGGGGGAGGGGTTATTTAGGTATTTTTTTTTTCAAACAGAAGAAATTTAGGTACTAATTGTAAACACCCCGTTGCTCTTCTTGAAAGTATGTATCATATTAGCCGAGGCCTTGGAGACACACGGCCTATTACTCATTTCCAGCCTCTAGGCAAAGAATTCTATGGAGATCCACCAGTAAAACCAGATTTCTTAAGGGAAATTACCAGGACGTCTTCAGACTCTCTTCAAGGGATATTACTGGTTGTCGATTACACTTGAGCACACTCTTCTCTAGCCCACCCCTACCATTTTATTTTGGGATCACCCTAAGGAAATTAGCCATTTGCAGAAAGCTTGAAATCCCGAAAGGAGAGGCACAACCTAGGGTAAAAGAGACCGAGTGAAGCTTTTCAGATTGATTGTCTCCACTGGGGCCACTTTTCATAAGGTCGGGAGTGGAGAGGAGTGTCTGCAGAAGAGAGACTACCTTTAAAGGGGCTCTCCCGAACTCAGGAGGTGAGGGGGACTTCCTAGAGTTGTCACCACCTGTAGGTGGATTTGTCATCACTATGTAGTGTCTCCTGGGGAGCCAGCCTGTTCTCCCCAGAGTCCCCCTCAGGTACTGTCCCAGAGTTCAGGGGAGCCTTTAGCGCTTTCTCCGTTTGCCCTGAGGGTATTGCATGTACAAAAGCTCCTTCACGCGCGCGCGCACACATAGACATCCAGCGGGTTTGGAGTGTACCCCTGTTTATTTGTCACCACGTGGTAAACCCCAGATTTGGAAGTCATCACTATGCGGGCGCGCATCAGGATCCAGGGGAGACTGTGTGGGGTTGGGACTGCGCACAAACACAGGGGAATTCTGCACAACAAACATTTGCGCGAGCGCTCTCCCTCGCCCCCTCTCGCTTAGCTGGATTTTTGTAAGGGGGTTTCTTTTAAATTGGATTATCCGAATGGTCGCCCATATGGCCTTACTCTGCCTGCATAGACTGGCCGGGTGAAGACGAGTGAAAGGACGCACGGAGAGCCTGAGACAGAAGATAGAGAACTTCTTCAGAGCAGCGTAGGAAAAGTGGGTGCTGGGTGAAACGGAAGGCAAAGAGAGAGAATAGAAGAAGAATCTACAAGAACGAGAATGCAACAGCAGCATTGCAGACGCACCTTCAGGTTCACCTGCGGAAGGCACGCCCAGGGCGGAGGAGTGGCGGGACTGGCGGAAGATCAGGAGGCGGCGGAGGACCCCAGGGTTCCCAACACTGACCCCTCCGCAAAGTTCCTCCCTGGGAGAAGAGACTGGCCAGGTCAGGGAGGGAGGGGTGTGGGAGGCGATGATCACGCGGGCTCTGGCAGGATCCGCACGGAACAGAGAGATCTGGAAGGGAGAGAGGGTCTTAGAGGACACCCCAGCCTCCAGTCCCGGTGACCCCTCCCTCTGGGGCTGGAGCCACATTAGAAAGAAAAGTGTCTGAAATTAGGTGCGGCCTCTCCCCCCGCTAATTTAACCCCTGCAGACCCACAGTGGAAAGCAGATTTTGTGCAGCCTGAAATTTATCTAAGTCTTGGGGGCTTATTTAGTAAAAAATAAATCATAATCCTGATAGGACTTTAGAAGGGGGGTCGGCACAAGTGTGGGACTCTTTCTTGCCGGGAAACGGAATCTGCCCCTGGTAGACCCATTGGACTACCTTGGGATCTTGTTCCCAGCTCCAGTGGTGAGGCGAGCGCCTGGGGGCATCAATCAGCCCCCTTCTGATCATCGCCCTTACCCTCCTTCGCAGCAGCTGCCCAACTTTGGGCTGGTTGGAGAAGGGGCTGGCGGGACAAAGGCGCCAACTGCTTGTCCGGATTGCTGTTCTTCCTTTTCGGGGACTAGGTTTTCTCCCGTAAACTTAGACTTGTGTAGGTCGAGCGGTTGATTAATATGGATTGGAGCTCGGCTGCTCAAGGCCGCGTGAATAAACATGAGCGCGCGGCGGCTAGGCTCACCGCTCCCCGAACTTCTCTGGGGCGCCGGGAGCCGGAACTGCGAAGCAGCTCGTTCCAGATGCGGGCGGGACTGCGGGTCCACCTAAACCAGCGCGGTCTCTGTGCGCCCCCCGACCCGCACACACACACCCTAGCCTGGATGCCCTAGCGTACCGCAGGCGTCACGGATCTGCGCTCACTCAACTCTCCGGGGTCTTTGGACACCGTTTCTTTGCTTTCTAGACGCTGCCTCCACTCTAGGATACAGATTCAGATTTTGGGAACCTGGGGTGCGGGAGGTTGCGGGTGGGGGAGATTCTCCCCATTTCCCAAGTGTTGAGCAAGGGTTACCCAACTTGAATCACTGCGCAAAACAAAGGCGACCCTAAGTGTGTCCACGGATGCGCGGGGTGGAGATCCTGGCCCCGCAGCTGGAAAGAATGTGTTAAGCCGCGGATTCCGGGGAGGACACAGCGCTCACAGAAGGCCCTTGTTTTCTGAAGTCTGCGGGCCTACAGGCGGCTGCGGGGATCATCACCTACCCACTACACGTCCAAAGACTTCACCATCTCCCGCTTGGAAAAGTCGCCCTTGCGACTTGTCTCCCTGAAGCCACCGTGTCTTCGTCTTTGGAACCTACGAGAAGTGTCAAAGCTAAGTGTATGTGTAGGCTTCGGCAGCTTCACCACCCGCCCCCACCCATGGCCTCCAGGTCGCTGTCTCTCCGCTCTCATATGCACACACTGAGTGACCGGTCTGGGCCGGGGCGGAATCGGGTGCCCGCCAACCCCAGCGCAGCTCAGAGTCTCAGCGAGGAGGCGAAGGCTTGGCGGGATGAGGCTTCCGTGGGCCTTAAGGCCTTCCTCAAGCCTGCAGACTCCTGCTACTGCAAAACCAACAAGGCCCCACGTCCCACCTTGGGCTGCCACCTCCGCCCACACCACGAGTCTAAGTAGTCGGCTTCTTAGTATCCCCAGGACTGCGCGCTCCGGGCTGTGCGGGGCACAGAGCAGCGCTGGGAAGGTGGGAAGGGCTTCGCAAAAGACATGCATCGTGCCAGTCATTAGGTTGGCGGGATGAAGTCCCAAGAGCGCTACTTGGAGCTTGCCGCCCCTCCCCTGTCCCTAGCATTTGTCCGAGGTCACCCAAAGGCTGCCCTTGAGATAAGGAGCGGGGTTTGTCTGCTAAAGTGTTGGGGACAAGACCAAGCCCGGGACCCAACCCAGATCCCAAGGCCCAAGGCTTTTCTTAAAAACTGTTCCCTGGAAAATGGTGTGGGCTTGGGACATCTATTGACCCACGCGCCCCAGCCCAGGTCCTGGGCTGCCTTCCCGCATCCAGATCACATTTATTGGACATAAAGGCCGCGCTAGTCCGTGGCTGGGAGCTTTTCTCTTTGCAGGAAGAACAGAGGTTGACAATTCTAGAACAGCAGGGCAAGCCTCGGAGGAGGTTTGGGTCTACTGGCGAAAGAGGAGAAAGACCTTTCTGCTGGGAAAATGCTGTCTCATAAGAAGGTCAGGAGTGGGCTACAAGGCACTTGGCATCCTGTACTGAAAGATGGAGGTGCACAGCTAA
This sequence comes from Homo sapiens, assembly GCF_000001405.40. NCBI lineage: Eukaryota > Metazoa > Chordata > Mammalia > Primates > Hominidae > Homo > Homo sapiens. Next base: position 94,701,203 of record NC_000013.11, on the reverse strand, counting down.
ACAAAGCCCATCTGGAAGAAATTTTATCTATACAATACCAAGATAGACAACCCTAAGTCATTTGGGGATGCCAATGAGCCCCTAATAACTGCTTTTCCTCAGTTCCTAATTTTGTGCCAGATGAGCCTCTCTGATGCACCAGGCCAGGAGGCATCATTCTCCTTGTATTTTGTATGAATGGTGCCCCCTAGATGCCTCTTTCCCAGGCTTATCTGTAATCTCCCCGACAAGTATTTCCAATATATAGATAAGGAGGGGCTTTCCAAGCTCACACATCAAGTAACTAGTAGAACTTCCAGACATCTACCTGCCCCCAGAGCCAAACCCCTTTAACCTTGCTACCCTTTACTATATATGAAAGGAAGTACCCTTCCACAATTTTAGCCACGTAAGAAGTTCCCTGATATCCTTGCAAATCAAAACAGAGGCTTGTTGATAATGTGCTATTTCTGGAATGCCCCTCCAGGCTGAAAATCCATCCTATCATGACTGCAGACAGACAGGTCGGGGGACACTGTGAGTGGAGGGGAAAAAAACTTTGTCTTACTTTTCTGTCTTAGTGAAACAAACCATCAACAAGTCTTTTTCTCTTGAGCCACAAATGTTTGAAGTCAATGACTTTCGAAAAATGAGTGAAATCCACGCAGGAAAATCCAGCGGTGAGCAGATTCCCCAGACAATGCCTCACCTTTTCTTCTCTCCCCATCTCTCTTCCTCATTTTCCTTCTCCTGGTTATAGTTCCTTGTGGGCCTTCTGGCATTTTTCTTAGTCCAGGGTAGTGAAAGTGTTGCTAAACCCTGGTGTAATGCCTTAAATGCTTCCTTGTTAAGCATTTGAGAGGGTGGAGAGCTGTGTTTTGCTGGATTTAGAATCCTTCCGGCTATGCCGAAGGGTACAGTAGAGCAACAAAGGTCAGTGAACTCTGGTTACTAATGCTATCTCCTGCCATTCTCCAAGGTACCTGGTGCCAATGAGCAAATACCTTCACTTCCACCCACACAGCTGCTCACTTACTAGGCTCTGTGTACCCATAGACGCTGCCTTCTCTTCTGTGCTGCTGAGGAACAATCCCTGCTCCCAGCAAGGGTCAGCCTCTCTACTGCACACTAGATCTCATTCCTTCTGTGGTAGGCAGCCTCTAAGATGACTTCAATCCCCACCTCCTGGTATTCACGCCTTTGTGTAAACTCCTCCCCTTGAGTATAAGCTGGACTTGCTGCTAACATTGAATATGACCAAGTGATTTCCCTTCTCAGATGGTGACTTCTGCTCCCACCCCTCTCTCTCCCAAACCCTCTCTGTCTCTTTTTCAGCTCTTGTTCTAAGGGAAGCAAGCTGCTCCATGGAAAGACCCACAGGGCAAGAGCTGATGTATCTGGCCAAAGGACAGCAAAGACTTGAGGCCTGTCAGCAGCTAAGTGAAAAAGTCACCCGATCAAACCTTGAGATGACTACAGCCCCAGGTGGCACCTTGATTGCAGCTTTGGAAGAGACCCTGAGCTAGAGGATACTCAACAGCAAGGCCCCCTGGATTCAAAACCCACTGAAACCATAAGATAATCTGTTTTTGTTGTTTTAAGCCATTAAGTTTTGGAGTGACTTGTGACACAGCAAGAGGTAGTGAATATACTGTGTGATGTAGTCAAGGACATAGCTCCAGAAAAATCTCTCCCCTTTCTCTTGCAACATCAAACCAAATAGCCTGTAGTCCCAATTATTTGGGAGGCTGAGAAAGGAGGATCACTTGAGCCCAGGAGTTCTGGGCTGTAGTGCACTATGCCCATTGGATGCCTGCAATAAGTTCAGCATCAATATGTTGACCTCCTGGTAGATAGGGACCACCAGGTTGCCTAAGGAGGGGTGAACTGGCACAGGTTGGAAATGGAGCAAGTCAAAACTCCTGCACTGATGAGTAGTACGATTGCACCTGTAAATAGCCAAAGCAATGTAGCCTGGACAACATAGCAAGACCCCATCTCTTTAAAAAAAGAAAGAAAAGAGAAAGAAAGAAACCAAACTTTTTCTTCCCTACTGAATCATTTTTGCAGCATAAAATATTTGTTATTTCCTCTTTTTTAAAAAACCTCTTGGTCAAGAGTGGTGGCTCATGCTTGTAATCCCAGCACCTTGGGAGGCCAAGGTGGGAGGATTGCTGCAGCCCGGGAGTTCAAGACCAGTCTAGGCAGCATAGAAAGACTTCATCTCTACAAAAAATAGAAAATTAGTTGGGTGTTGGTGGTGTATGCCGGTAGTCCTAGCTACATGGGAGGCTGAGGCAGTGAGGCAGGAGGATGGTTTGGGTCCAGAAGGTTGAGGCTGCAGTGAGCCAAGATCCCTGCCACTGCACTCCAAGGGGATAACAGAGTGAGACGCTATCCCAAAACAAACAAACAAAAACCAAACCAGAACAAAAAACTCCCAGGACCTCATTTTTTCTCTTCTCTGTTCCCTTTTACAATGAATTCCTTAAAAAGAAAACATGTCTATATTCCCTATTTCCCTGTTTTCTCTTTTCTCTTGAAATCCCTCCAGTTAGAGTTTGCCTTCCCTCCCCAACTCCACTTCACCAAAACTTGCTCTGATCGACTCCCCTGTTGCTAAATCGAATGGTCAGTTCTCATCTAACTTGATCCATCAGCAGCATTTGACAGAGTTGATCATGCTCTCCCCAGGAAATTTTACTTGGTTTTGAGAGCTCCACCCTCAGTCTTTCTACTGCCTCATTGGATGCTCTTTGCTGTTCTCCTTTCCTGGTTCCACTCCTCTCCAACCTTTTATTGAGTTTTATCAAGAAAGATAGGAATTCAACTGGGTGTGGTGGCTCATGCCTATAATCCCAGCATTTTGGGAGGCCAAGGCAGGAGGATCACTTGAGCCCAGGAGTTTGAGAACAGCCTAGGCAACATACGGAGACCCTGTCTCTACAGAATAAAAGAGGAGGAGGAGAAAGAAAGATAGGAATTCATTTAATAGTCTCCTATCTTCAAGCAAGCTGCAATTGTCTTTGATATTATTTAACAGTTTCAGTTGAAGCCAATATGCTGTCAATCACATATCATTGTAACTAGCAATATTTATTTGTCACTATGAGCAAGGGTAAGCTGCAAAAACACATAAGCCCCAAATTTCAATGACTTAATATAAAAAGTTTATTTTTTACTCCAGCAGGGGCTGTGCTCCTCCCGGCTGGTGGAGATTCCATCTTAATACATGCTTCTCTGACCACCTGAGCAGGGGAATACAGCCTAACAGTCATATGCTAGCTCTTAAAATTTCTCACCAAAAGCAATACTCATCACTTCTGCTCACATTTCGTTGGCCAAAGTGTGTCTTATGGCCACATCAAATCTCAAAGGGGGCACAGAATGATAATCCTACCACATACCGAGAAGGCGGAGAGCCAGAACTATTTGGTGAACTGCACTACTGACCACCTTCATAGATAAACATCCACTGATAAACACCCTCAGTCAAAACAAAAACAAAAACAAAAACAAACAAACAAACATTACAGCCAGGCTTGGTGGCTCACACCTGTAATCCCAGTACTTTGGGAGGCCAAGGTGGGAGGATTGCTTGAGCCCAGGAGTTTGAGGCTGCAATAAGCTAAAAATTTATCTTCTCTCTGAATTCAGCAGTCCCATTGCTGCTAAGGAGTTCTGGAAGGTTCATAACAACACCATAGGACTTGAAACTGTCCTTCTGTAGGGCATTAAAGAGTTTCTTGTTGTCTGTGCTTGTACTAAAGAAGAAGGAGAAGGAGGAGAGACTGATAAACTGTAGCCCTAGCTTTTCCTTCCATCTTTCCAATCTTATATCCACTCTCCCCACACACATACATGCATTCATCCTTATATACACATCACACTAAATGAGTCCCTTTCTGGAACTTGGGTTGTAATTCTCCTACCTGTGTCCCCCACGCCCATTCCCAAAGTGATATACATCTTTCAAAGTTCTGCCCAAGTCTCACATTCTCCATAACTTATTTTTTTAGAGATGGGATCTTGCTACATTGCCCAGGCTGGACTCACATTCCTGGCCAGAAGGTGATCCTCCTGCCTCAGCCTCCTGAATAGCTGGGACTACAGCTTCAAACTATTTTGCCTGGCTACCCCATCAACTTTTGATGCCATTTAGGGTTTTTCTTGTCCTTCTATTTTTTAAATTATATTTTGTTGTTGTTTTTGTTCTATTAAGCACCTATTAGCTTAACTGGATTTAGTGATTCTGTATATGTGTCATTATCAGCACAATTGTGTGAAAAGCAGAGGTGTCTTATTTGCCTTTGTATATCAGTATAGCACCTTCCCCTTTCCTCAGTGCCTAGTTCAGACTCTGACTCTCAATAACTATTTGTAATAATTTATTCTGTCTGTGTTAGTGTATTTTCTGGTAACTTCTGGACTTACAGACAATTGGAAACACTTCTAACTTTAATCATTCCAAGCTGTCTCTTCTCTTCTGACCTTACTACACACTCACTAGGCACTTTTCAGTCAACTCGAATCTAAATGCAAGATCTATTCAAAGAAGCCTAAATCTTAGCATTCAAATACTCGATTAAGTCGTAAGTCCTCTGGGCTCATGTCTTGTCTTTCTTGTCCATATCTTGTTGGGCATATAAGGAGGTAAAGGAAGGAGATCATTGAAAACACAATACAAGAGGAACCTGTATTAGTTGGGATAATTATTGTAAGCTACGATGACAAATTACCCCACATCTCAGTGACTTGACACATTAAAAGTTTATTTTTCATGCATGCCACAGTCTAAGGCAAGACATGTGGTTCCCCTCTAAGCAGTGAGTCAGGATCTAGACTTGTTTTGTTGCTAGGCCACCACCTAGGGTTTTCTGGATCTGATTGACAGGCAGTGATAGCCCATGGCTCTTGCAGGGCATTTTATGCTAAGCCTGGGAATGGTAGGCTTTACTCCAGCCCATATTCCTATGGACAATACACCAACCTAATTGCAATGAATGCTGGGAAATATAATTTACTTGTGTGCCAAGAAAAAGAAAAGAATATTGGTGAACATCTCACCTGCTTCTTTTAAAGCCTAGAAAATCATTTATTCACTTTACAATATAAAGACACTGCTCCAACACTTTGGTGAACAGATAGATTCAAATCTATAAAAAGGGTGCATGGGGAATTCCTCCATGTCAACAATTAATTCTTGCTCTCCTCTATTTTTCATAAAACCCAGAATTCACTCACTCTTGCCCCCAAAATCAAGAGCTAGGTAGGGAGCCTCTCCCGTCAGATATTTTTTCCTTTTTCCCTAGACTCACATTACAAAAAACACACTACAACTGTTTTTTTTCCCAGCTCTGCAAAGCATCAGAATCAATGTGAGATTTTTAACCATCATAGACACTCAAGGCTCTCTCAAGGCCTACTGAATTCAAATTTTCTAAGACTAGCACTCAGGCACCTATATTTCTAAAATATTCCCCTGATGATTCTGGTACACACCCAGGATTGACAACCATTGTTCAGACCTGAGAAAGGAGTGTCCAGTAAGCCCCACAGTCAGATAATTTCAATGTTTTCATGCTGTAGTAAACTTTCATGTTTATTTGTCTTGGCAAATGCATTAGTCCATTTTCACGCTGCTGATCAAGACATAGCCAAGACTGCGTATTTTATAAAGAAAAAATTGGTTTAATGGACTCACAGTTCCGTGTGGCTGGGGAGGCCTCACAATCATGATGGAAGGCGAAAGGCATGTCTTACATGGTGGCAGGCAAAGAGCAAATGAGATCCAAGCAAAAGGGGTTTCTCCTTATAAAACCATCAGCTCTCATGAGACTTCACTACCACAAGACCAGTATGGGGAAAACCGCCCCCGTGATTCATTTAGCCCCCACCAGGTCCCTCCCACAACACGTGGGAATTATGACAGCTACAATTCAAAATGAGATTTGGGTGGGGATACAGCCAAACCATATCAGCAAATAAACGTACAAACAGAAGCCAAAATATGTTGTTCTCAACTAGATTCAATTTAATAAAAAATAAAATAAAATGTTGTATTGGTGAAGACAATATGGTGTGAATGAAAGAGAACAAAACCAGAAGCCAGAAGATCAGGTTCTATGAATGTTCATTTATGTTACCTTGGACAAGTAATTTGCCCTCCTGGAGTTTTTGTTTTCCTATCTATAAAACAGAAACATCCAACTTGACCTATCAGTAATCTTTAGCATACACAATTACTTTCTCCTTCCAGAAACACTTTCTTCAGTTGGTCTCCCGGACCTCACAGTCTATCGGCTTTCCTCCTACCACCCTGTTCTCTCCTTCCTATCTTTTTGTTTTTTCTTCTGGTTTCTCCTCTTTTCATTAGCTTTAAACATTAGGATGCCCAAGGCTTAGCCCATGGGCCTCTCCTCGTCTCTGTCTACACTCATTCCCTTGGCGATTGTATCAGTTTTCTATTGCTGCATAATGAATGACTACAAATGTAGTAGCTTAAGTGACATTAACTTTTAGTTCTTAGATCTGCAGGTCAGAAGTCCAGGTATGGTGTGACTAGGTCCTCTGCTCAGGTTCTCAAAAGCTGAAGTCAAGGGGTCGGCCAGGCCAAGCTCTCACCTGGAGGCTCAGGAGAAGAATGTGCTTCCAAGCTCATTCAGGTTGTGGGCAGAATTCAGTTCCTTGAGATTATAGGACTGAGGCCCCAATTTCCTGCCAGCTGTCAGGTGGGAGCTGCTCTCAGCTCCTAGAGGCTGCCCACATTCTCACATTTGAGGTTGGCCCCTGTCCTCCAACCCTAAAGCCAGCAATGGAAGATTTCTTGTGCATGTGATCCCTTATGCTTCAAATTTCTCTCTTCCTTTGTCTCTCCTCCCTGCAGCCATATGTAAGGACCGTGGGAATTAAGTTAGATCCATTTGGATTATTTCCTTTAATTAACTCAGAAATCAACATATTAGTAGCTGTTAGGAACCAAATGTTTCATACATTGAAGCCCTAATCCCCTATATGATGGTTATTGGAGATGGGGCCTTTAGGAGGAAACTGAAGTTAGATGAGGTCGTGAAGATGAAGCTTTCATTATGGAATTGATGCCCTTTTAAAATTGATGCCAACGAGCTTGCCCTCTCTCTTTCTCTTTGCTGTGGGAGGACACAATGAGAAGGTGGCCATCTGCAAGCCAGGAAGAGAGCTCTCATCAGAACCTGACCATGCTGCCACCCTGATCTCAGACTGCCAGTCTCCAGAACTGTGAGGAAATAAATTTCTACTGTTTAAGTCACCCAGTTTGTGAAATTTTGTTATAATAGCCCAAGCTGACTAATACAATAACCTTAATTGTACCTGCAAAATCCCTTTTGCCATATGCTATAACATAATCTCAGGAGTGATATGATAATTCACAGATTTCACCCATAGTCGAGGGGAGGAGATTATAGAAGGGCAGTATCATTGGGAGTTATGTCAGAATTCTGCTTACCACAATAATCTAGTCTCATGGCTTTAAAAATCATCTTCATGATGAGGCGAGGTGGCTCACATCTGTAATCCCAGCCCTTTGGGAGGCCGAGGTGGGCAGATCACTTGAGGTCAGAAGTTCAAGACCAGCCTGGCCAACATGGTGAAACTCTGTCTCTACTAAAAATACAAAAATTAGGTGGGCATGGTGGTGCATGCCTATAGTCCCAGCTACTCGGGAGGCTGAGGCAGGAGAACCGCTTGAACCCAGGAGGCAGAGGTTGCAGTGAGCTGAGATGGTGCCACTGCACTCCAGCCTGGCAATAGAGTGAGACTCCATTTCAAAAAAAAAATCATCTACATGCTCATAATTCTTAAATTTATTTATCTAGTCTAGACCTCTCCCCTGATATCTAGACTTATCTATTCAACTTCCCCCTAGATATTTCCACTTGGATGTTTTATAGGCGCCTCAAACTTTATATATATGGAACAAAAACTCCCGATATTCCCACCCAGATTTGTTTCTTCCATAATCCTTCTCATCTCAGCAAATGGCACCTTCATCCTTTCAGTTGCTCAGGGCAAAAACCTTGGCGTCATCATGGACTCCTCTCTTTCCCTAACAACTTACATTCTACCCAGTAGGAAATCCTCTGGAATCTAGCTTCAAAATATGTCCAAGATCCAAACCATTATCATCTCCCACCTCAAATATTGCAACAACTCTGTGTTTATTTTCTATTGCTGCCCTAACAAACTATCACACATTTAGCAACAATATCCCTTAATTATCTCACAGTTCTATAGGTCAGAAGCCAGGGGACTTGGCTAGGACTTATGCTGAGTCTCACAGACTGGCTTGAGCTCTTATCTGGAGGCTCTTCGGAGAACCCACTTCCAGTTTTCTTCAGATTGCTGGCGACATTCAGCTCCTTCTAGTGGTTTCCATGTGGCCCCCTTCAACAAGAGAAAATCAAGTCTCTCTCATGCTTTATGTCTCTTGGACTCTTTCTTCTGCCAGAGAAAACTCTCTGCTTTTGAAAGTTCTTGGGGATTTGGGAGGTTGAAATTGGGCCCATTTCAGCAAGCCAGGAAAATCTCCCTATTTTCAAGTCCATAACTTTAACTACATCTGCAAGGTGCCTTTGGTCATGGAATGTAACATATTCACAAGTTTCAGGGATCAGGGCACGGACATTTTAGGAAACCATTTCTGTCTGCAGCAGCCTCCCAAACTGGTGTCCCCACTGCACACTTGTTCCCCTTCCTATTTTCAACACAGCAGGCAGACCTGCAATGACTTCTCATCTTACTCAGTGCAAATCTACATCTTCACAATGCCCACATGCCCTACACTGGAAGGTAACTAGGATTCCCTTTTCCTTTTTTTATTTTCCGGCCTCATCTCCCTGCTGCCCTTCTTGCTGCTGCTCAAACACCAAGCACGCCCTCCCTTCCCCACATTTGCACTTTCTTGGCCTCAAATTCACTTTCTCCAGTGTCTGCATGGCTCACCACCCCATCTGCTCAATGTCAATGCTGAGATGCCGCCTTCACAGTGAGGCCCTTCCTAACGCCTACTGAAAATTTCAACCTCCCAAATCCCCAGGATTTCCTATTTCCTTTCCAGGCTTTCTCCTTCTTCATAGCACTTTTCACTTTCAAACATAACATACATTCTATCTATATTTGTTTACTGTAATCACCAAAGCAAGCACCACAAAGTAGGGATTTTTGTCCATTTTGTTCACTGCTTTATTTCCAATTCCTAGAGCAGTGCCTGGCACATAGCAAACTTTTTTTTTTTTTTTTTTTGAGATGGAGTCTTGCTCTGTTGCCCAGACTGGAGTGCAGTGGCACAACCTTGTTTTACTGCAACCTCCACCTCCTGGGTTCAAGTGATTTTCCTGCCTCAGCTTCCCAAGTAGCTGGGATTACAGGCTCCTGCCACCATGCCGGGCTAATTTTTGTATTTTTAGTAGAGACAGGGTTTTGCCATGTTGGCCAGGTTGGTCTCGAACTCTTGACCTCAGGTGATCTGCCTGCCTCAGCCTCCCAAAGTGCTGGGATTACAGGCGTGAGCCATCATGCCTGGCACTCAGTAAACTTTTGCTGGATGATTGAATAGATGAGTATTCAGTGTGGAGCAGAACTTGCCCCACATAGAGGAAATGTGGGCTTGGGGATGGGAGAAATGGGTTGGACCTCACATCTTATGAAGTGCCCCTTCCTTATCAGACAAAACTGTAAGTTCCATGAAGACCAGGCTGGGGTCACATTCACAGTACCTGGCACAAAGCAGGTTCTCAGGAAGTATTTGCTAACTACTGCTGATATGATGCGCTAGATTCTGCACATAGATCATCTCATCAGATTCACACAACCTATGGATTATTAATAATGTTATTTTACTTATTTAATCCTATTCATTGAGTTGCCGGTGAGCCAGATGAAATATTACAGTGTGAAAGTACTTTGGGAAGTGTCAAATAATGTATTTCTGGAAAGAAACTTTGGGTTCCCAGTCTACCTTTACATCCCAAGCAGTCTTCCCCTCCACAAGTGTGCACATTTTGGAAAGCATTAATGTTGGAAAGACAGCACGGCAGGCACAGTGTCAGGATTGTGAAGTCTAGAGTCTGCCAAGGCAAGGTCTGACTGTTGCCTTCGCCGTTGAGGAGGTGTGTGACCTTAGGGTAGTTACATAACCTTGCTAAGCCTCCATTTTCTCTTCTTTAAAAATAGGGCTAATTGTTGCACCTTGTAGGGATATTGTGAGGACTGAATGAGATAAGATAGGTGAAAATACCCAGCAGAATGCCTGCTACTGAGTAGACAGACAATAATGTGAATTTTCGGTCTTCCTTTTACGGGAGCCCAAATCCACCTCTCTGTGACGTTTACCCTTTAATACGAGCTCTGCTCTTGGGAGCAGTGGAGAATGAAACGACTCTCCGTTCCAAACAGCTTTTGAAGCCAGTTATCATGTTCCCTCTCAATCTTCTCTTTCTAAAGGTGAAAATGCTCAGTTTATTCAACGATTCCTTATGAAAACTGGTTTTGATTTCTAAATGTGCACTAGTTTGACAACACAGCTTTTAAAACGTACTATCTAGGAAGGACTTATATTAGAGGTTAAGTTCCATGGAGCCAGGGCTTTTTCTTTTTCTTTTTTTTTTTTTTTTGTCTGTTTAGTTCCTGATGTACCCTCTGCACCTAGAAAAGTGCCTTGCACAGAGTAGGCCCTCAGTAAATATTTGTTTGTTCGTTTGTTTGTTTATTTATTTATTTATTTGAGACAGAGTCTCACTCCGTCATCCAGACTGGAGTGCAGTGGCGCAATCTCGGCTCACTGCAACCTCCACCTCCTGAATTCAAGTGATTCTAGATTCTCATGCCTCAGCCTCCTGAGTAGCTGGGATCACAAGCACGTGCCACCATGCCCAGCTAATTTTTGTATTTTCAGTAGAGAAGGCATTTCACCATGTTTGCCAGGCTGGTCTCAAACTTCTGGCCTCAAGTGATCTGCCCACTTTGGCCTCCCAAAGTGCTAGAATTATAGGCATGAGCCATTGTGCCCAACCAATATTTGTTTATTTAAAGGATGAATCTACAGATATGGTCTGGGTTTTCGTGTGTTTGTTTGTTTTTTTTGAGACAGGGTCTCTCTCTGTCACTTAGGCTGGAGTACAGTAGCGCAATCAGGGCTCACTGTAGCTTTGATGTCCTGGGCTCAAGCAATCCTTCCCCCTCAGCCTCTGGAGTAGCCGGGACTATAGGCATTTGCCACCATGCTCAGCTAATTCTTCTTTTCAATTTTATGTAGAGAAGGGGTCTCACTATGTTGACCAGGCTACTGCTGACATGGTCTGTGCCACCCTGTCCTGGGGATCATAAGGTTTTTAATGCCAGCTGTCCTTCTCAAGTCTCTTTGGGTTCTAAGCAAGAGAGAAACCTGCTTCAAATTTATTTTTAAAGACAATTTCTTGGACAATACCCTTAAAATTTCTCAGCTGCCAGACTTGAAGTTTGGGCCACACAATTCTCAGGGGACTCTTCCAATTCTAGGATTCTGATGTTGCCTCTTTTTTAAAAAAGTTGAGATATAATTCACATAGCATAAAATTCAACATTTTAAAGTATACAATTCACTTTAGTGGATTATTAAAAGTCAGTTTTTAGTATAATCATGAAATAGCACAACCATTACCATTATCTAATTCCAGAACATTTCCATCACCTCAAAAAGAAACCCTGTACCTATTAGTAATCAGCCTTAATTCTATCACCTGCCACCAGCACCTGCAACTACTAATCTACTTTCTGTTTCTATGGATTTGCCTATTTTGTACCTTTCATGTAAATGGAATCCTACAAAATGTAGCCTTTTGTGTCTGGTTAATTTCACTTAGCATAAGGCTTTCAAGGTTCATCCCTGTTGTAGCATGTATTCCTTTCTATACCTGGATAATATTCCATTGTATGGATATACCACATTTTGTTTTGTATTCCTCACAGTTAATGAACATTTGGGTGTGTCTATTTTTTGGCTATTGTGAATAATGCTTCTGTGAACACTTGTGTACAAGTTTTTGTGTGGACATATATTTTCAATGATTTTGGTTACAGGAGTGGAATTCCTGGGTCATATGGTAATTCTATGTTTAGAATTTTAACTTTATGTTTAGAAGTTTAAAGAACTGCCAAACTGTTTTCCACAGTGGCTGCACCATATTATACATTTGTACCAGTAATCTATGAAGGTTCTCATTTCTCCACATCCTTGCCAACACTTGTTATTTTCAGTTTCTTTGATTCTAGCCTGTTCTTCCATACTAGTGAGTGTGAAGTGGTATCTCACTGTGGTGTCTGAGTTGCATGTAGTTGCCTCTTGTATGTCAGAAAGTTTAGAGGTACTCCTCTCAAATGTTCATATCACCCTTTTTGTCTTACTATTAGTCATACATTTGTTAAAAAATTCTTTTTCTTTTTTTTTTCTGCAAGAGACAGATCTAGCTCTGTCGTCCAGGCTGGAGTGCAATGGTGTGATCATAGCTCACTGCAGCCTCAAACTCCTGGGCTCAAGCAATCCTCCCACTTCAGCCTCCCAAGTAGCTGGAACTACAGGCATGCACAATGGCACCCAGCTTACTTTTTGTATTTTTTTAGTAGAGATGGGGTCTTGCTCTGTTGCCCAGGCTGGTCTCAAAGTCTTGGCCTCAAGCAATCCTCCTGTCTTGGCTTCCCTAAGTGCTGGGATTGCAGTCATGAGCCTACTCCCATCCATAAACAATTCTTACAATTAATTCTACTTTCTTACAATTAATTTTATTTTCAACTTGTACCAACTTCTTGAAGCAACAAGTTTGTTAAATGTACTCTCTGCCTAAAATAGTACCTGCTTTCGTCATTTAAAATAAAAACTGATTACTTCAACTTTCACAACTCAGTTCTAACAATCCATTAGTTAAGAGCTTTCACACTCAACCCTCCTCACTCTTCAGGTTTCTGTGGACATAATGGGTCCTGCGGAGTATTGCCTCTCAAGAGTTGAGTTTTTCAGTGTTCTGAAGTCTCTGGCTGCATGGATAGAACTTCATCAGAAGTGGGGTGCAAGGAGGGTGAGGAGATGTCATGACATCTTCATCCCTGCATAACTTCTCACAGACATAAAAGTCAATGAGCAAAAACCAAACCATCTCCTGGGATAAATGCAAATAATCCTGGACCACAAATTCACAGCAGGAAAAGATCCACCCCAAGTATCACACACACTTAGTGTAACACAGTGGTTCTCAACCAGGACAATTTTGGCCCCCAGGAGAACATTTGGCAATGTCTGGAGATGCTTTTGATTGTCTCCTGGCATGTAGTGGGTAGAGGACAGGAGGCTGCTAAACATCCTGCAATGCACGATTCAGATCCCAACCAAAAACAAAGAAAAAACAAAAGAACTCCAAAAACTACTTGGCTCCAAATGTCAATAGTGTGAGCTTGGGAAACCCTGATATAATAGAATTGCAAAGAAGACTCTTCTTATCTTTGATTTGTATCACATTTCAGAGATTTTGATTGAGCCTAACTGGTTTAGCCTCTCCAGTTGAGCCTCCAGGTGGTAGTGGGGAAGAGTTCAATTTCTATACTCCTACTAACAAGCAGTACTTGACATTCCACCTGTGGCTGCAGTGAATTCTAGTCATGTATAAAATATATAATTATAGGCCGGGCATGGTGGCTCACGCCTGTAATCCCAACACTTTGGGAGGCCGAGGCGGGTGGATCACCTGAGGTCAGGCATTCAAGACCAACCTGGCCAACACGGTGAAACCCTGTCTCTACTAAAAATACAAAAATTTTCTGGGCATGGCGGCACACACCTGTAGTCCCAGCTACTCGGGAGGCTGAGGCAGGAGGTTCGCTTGAACCTGGGAAGCAGAGGTTCCTGTGAGCAGAGATCGCACCATTGCACTCCAGCCTGAGTGACAAGAGTGAAACTCTCTCTCTCCCTCTCCCTCCCTCTCACCCTCTCTCTCTCCCCATATATATATGTATATACATATATACATGTATATATATATACACACATATACACGTATATGTATATACATATATACATGTATATATATATACACACATATATACGTATATGTATATGTATATGTATATGTATATGTATATGTATATGTATATGTATATGTATATGTATCCTGAAGTTTCCTGGAAAAAAAGAAACTCTGCTTCCAGACTTCAGTTTTTCCTCTTAAGGCCTTCAGATGATTGGATGAGCCCCATCTGCATTATCAAGGGTAATCTCCTGTACTTAAAGTCAACTGATTGTAGATGTTAATGTCACATCTACAAAATACCTTCATAACAATACCTACATTAGTGTTTGGTTAAACAACTGTGTACTTTAGCCTAGGCAAACTGACACACAAAATTAACCGTCACACCAATGAAATAATCAGTCATTTCAAATATATTCCCTTGTACAAGCTCTTGGATTACAAAACAAGGAGTCTATATGTCATAGCCCCATGGCTTGCTGCTTCGGATAATCCCCAGGTAAGCTGCCCATGCAGACAGGATCTTCCCCTGGACACAGCAGGCCCCTGTTTCACATTTGCTCCTGTTACAAAGCGGGAAGTGTCTTGCAATCATTTAAGGCCAACCTCTTCACCTACCCTCTGGATCCCATGCCTTCTTGCCTTCCGAAAGACTTTGACTTAATATTATTCCTTCCCCTATATCATCACCAGTTTCTCCTTTTCTATTGTTTCATTTCCAAATGTTTTGGAACACTCTCCGCTGTTTCACATCTCCAAACCATGCCCAGGAGTCAAGGAGTTCACATCGATATGGCCTCAGACACCAGTGTCTGTTCCTTTGAGTGAGCTTCCATTTTGATTTGTCAATACTCATGCCATGCAAGTTATCAAATATGTTTAATGTCATTCTAATATAAAACTTGCCTTTGACCTCACATCCTCCAGCTAATGCCCCATTTCTCTGCTTCCCATTACACAGGGCTACCACAAATGGCTGTGCAAGTTATGCATCATATAAAGCGTGCCTCTAGGAGTCGCTTGGTACACAACCAAACTTGGAATCCCTCTAAGGCCAGTGAACTTCAGGGCCCCTCTCCTGCACAGAACTCTTCCAAGGCCCTGGGAGAAAGGGAAGAGTGGCTGGCAATGGGCTCACATGAACTTTTTTTTTTTCTTTGGTAAAATAGGTAAAAGTGAGATATTTTAACCATAATTGGTTAAGACTACAGTCTCTTTCCTTCTGTCACACTTCCCTTGTGTCAGACAGCCTTGGAGTGACTGAGGGCATTTGGGGGATCCAGCTAATTAGAAGTTGGGGGATACATTTAGTCTGCCATTAGTGGAATGTATTTTCACATGGGTATAAATTTGGGTGTAATTAATGCAACCCATCCGAGTAGAAATGGCTTCCAGGAATTCTCACACTTCTGACTTGACTTGAGTCATTAGATAAAAGTATGAGGCCATGATAAGTTTGGGAAACAACTTTAGATATGTGAAGCCAGAAGCTAGTCTCTGGAAATTTTTTCCACATAGTCAGGCATGAAACGGTTAAGGGAAAAGTCAGTTCTTACTGACTAAATGTAAGTTCTTAGCTTGATAATGCAACAAACATATTGATTTTAAATTTATCATTGTTGGTGGGCAGAGTGGCTCACACCTGTAATCCCAGAACTTTGGGAAGCCAAGGTGGGAGGATCGCTTGAGCTCAGGAGTTTGAGACCAGCCTGGGCAACACAGTGAGACTTTGTCTCTACAAAAAATTAAACAAATAGCCAGATGTGGTGGTGCACACCTGTGGTCCCAGCTACTCAGGAGGCTGAGGTGGGAGGATCACTTTTGCCTGGGAGATAGAGGCTGTAGTAAGCTATGATTGTGCCTGGGTGACAGAATGAGACCCTGTCTCAAAAAATAAATAAATAAATAATTTAATAAATAAAAAATTAAGATAATTAATTAATCATAGAAACAGCATTGTTTATTATAGGAATCAAACAAAAATAGAATATATTAGAATTTCTGTAATTGGGCATAAATGTGCTCTACAAACAGTAAATATTACTGTACATAAAATCACATTTTATATATGCCATCACTATAATGAGGGAATCAACAACTACTTAATTCAATTTTAATAGAATCAATCAATTCAAATATTTAAGACTAGTCACTACTCAAGAAAATTTGAAATACCTTGCATTCTTAGAGCTCTTCTGTTGAAAAAAAAAAACTTGGTAGAGAGTTTCCCAAATTCCTATTATTCTAAAAATTTGCATCACCTCATCAAATTGTGAAGCTGAAACAAACTCTTCTAAACTGTCGATAATAAAAATGCAAATTTCTAGCATCCATGCTAGAGGCAAGATAAAATTATCTTGTTTTTTTAATAGAAAATATGATAAAGTCATTGTCAAAAAAGAATGATAAAAAATACAGACAAAAATAGAAAAAATTATAATGGTGCATCTGGCAGTTAATTAATGTAAATAGTATTTTTCTGGGTTTTTTTTCTTTCTTTTTTTTTTTTTTTTTTTTCCAAAACAGGGTCTTGCTCTGACACCAGGCTGGAGTACAGTGGCATGTCATGGTTTACTGCAGCTTTGAACATCTGGGCTCAAGCATCTTTTCACCTCAGCCCCCAGAGTAGCTGGGATCACAGGTGTGTGTTCCCATGTACCACCAATTTTTAATTTTTTTTTTTGTAGAGACAGGATCTTGCTATGTCGTCCAGGCTGGTCTTGAACTCCTGGGCTCAGGTGATCCTCCCACCTCGGCCACCCAAAGTGCTGGGATTACAGGCATGAGCTACCTCAGCTAGCCTATTTTTCTGTATTTTGTTGTATGTAGAATTTGTCAGACTTTTTATTACTTATCTATTTATTTATCTTTGAGACAGGGTCTCACTCTGTCACCCAGGCTGGAGTGCAATGGCATGATCTCAGCTCACTGCAACCTCCACTTCCTGGGATCAAGCAATTCTCCCACCTCAGCCTCCTAAGTAGCTGGGACTACAGGTTCACGCCACCACACCTGGCTAATTTTTGTATTTTTTGGTAGAGACAGGGTTTCACCATGTTGGCGAGGCTGGCCTCAAACTCCTGTACTCCAGTGATCTGCCCACCTCAGCCTCCCAAAGTGCTGGGATTACAGGTGTGAGCCACGGCACCCAGCCAAATTTGTCAGACTTAAAAAAATGTATAATTTATTTTGTAATTTCTGTAATCTAAATAAATATTTTGTAATTTAAATAAATATTTGTATTCACACAGGATTTTGTATTAATTGTGTATTTAGATTTTGTAATCTAGATACATATTTGTATTCACACAGGATTTTTGTATTTTTATTTTAAAAATATCTTAACATATGTATTTTTATTTTTATGTTTTGTTTTCATGCTCTGTTTTCCCTGAAGGTATTACTTTTTTTGAAATAAGAAAATTGTAGAGACTTCAGCTCCCACAAAGCCTGAATTCGCCTTGCCTGAGGCCAGCGTCCTCATGGCTCCGCAGAGGCTGCTCTCTGGATCGCAGTCAACCTCTAACTGGCAAATCCTTGCATTGCTCAGCTCTCTGCAGCCTTTCACACAGGCCACGCTCCCTCCTTCCTGAAACTCTTCCCTTGGCTTAGATGGCACCACACCCTTCTGTTTTTCCTCCTGCCTCTCCAACTGTCCTACTCAGTCTCTGTGGCTGCTTTGCCTGCTCCCCTCAACCTCTACTGTGTCTCCTAATCTTCTCCCTCTGCATCCCTTCCCAGCTGACCTCATTCAGTCCCACAGCTTTAAATGCCACACATATTCCTGCAGTTCTCAAGTCACCCGCCCTAACGTTTTCCCAGAACTCAGTCTCACGGATCCCATGCTCTGCCTGACATCTCTCTTTACTTACACATCTAATACGCACCTCAAGCATCATGTCCCAAACAGAACCTTTCATTCATCCCCCACCTACTCTTGGACCTGCTCTTGCCCCATCCTTCTCATTTTTGTGAATGATTCTATCATCTACAGTATTTGGTTGCTCAGGCCAAAATTCTAGGAGTTATCCATTCTTTTAGTCTCTTTCTCCAAATCTCCAATAACAAGTGCTCTTGCCTCTTCCTCCCAAGTAAAACCAGCTTCTAGTCACTTCTCTCCAGCTCTGCTGCCCTCTTACCTGGTCACTGCAGCAGCAATCTGAACAGTCTCTCTGCCCCCATTCTTGCCCTGCCCCAATCCATTCTCCACACTACACAGTCACGGTAAATCAGATCACATCCTTCTCTTGCTTAAAATGTTTCAGGGACTGCCACTGTATCCAGAATAAAATGCCCTTGTCCACCAAACACTACAATCTCCTTCTCCTGGCTGACTTCATCCCCTCTCCTGCTTGCCCACAATGGTCCAGCCACACTGGCCTGTCTCTGATTTGAACATGTGAAGCTCATTTTGCCTCAGGGTTCACGCTTCTGTTCCTTCTGCCTGGAATGCTCTTCTCCATGACCTTTCCATGGCTGACTCCTTGTCGATCTTGCTCCCTCAGAGGCCTCTGCTGAGCAGCCATCTCCTCACTCTACCACATAAATCTATTTTATTTCTTTTCTTTGCACTTACCACTGTCTGATACATCCTAATTTGCCTATTTATTGTCTTTCTCCCTGCTCTCATGGAAACTCCTTGAGAGCAGAGACTTTGTGTGTCTTATCATCTCACTGTGTACAGTACTCAATAAATGCCTGTAAAAATGAACAAATGAACGAACGAATGAATGAATGAATGAATGAGTCTGTTTTATGAATGGGAGAACTGAGGCACAGAGAGTTAAGTCCCTAGACTAAGATAACACAACCATAGGTGTTAGAGCCAAGGTTTGAACCCAGGCAGTTAGTTTCAGAGTCCCTGATCTTAACCACAATAACTTTCTGCCCTTCTCCACCCACCTGGCACAGACTTGGTTAGAATTAAAGACCAGAAGGGCAAGAGAAAGGAGCATACAGGGTGGCTTTCTGTCTCAGATCCAAGGAAGGCTCCCCTTGGAACACAGGGAGAACAAAACAACCTAGTGGGGACTGCTCTTAAATGTTACAAGGCGGAATGTGAGTGGATTTTCAGAGCCATTTGAAATCCACCCACCTTCTATTAGACCCCATCTTCAAGTCCGCTTATACAAAAGCTGGCAAAAAAACTGCCCCCAAAGCCTTCCCAGGGATTCTGAGCAGATATTAAAGTCATCCTTGTCTTTAGTCTGACCAAAAACAAAACAAAAGAAAGTCTACCTCACGGCACTGGCATAAAGTCACCTTCACATGCAAGGAGGCTGTGCCTGGGGACTGCCAGTCTGGCCTTTCTAAGGTGCCCTCACAAGGTGAGTGTGAATGGGTGAGGAGCCAGCCAGCCACTCCCCGGCACCGTCATCCCCTGAGAAAGCAATTTCCTTTCCCTCCAAGCAGCACAAGCTTTAAAATATGGTCTCAGAGTTCCTGAGCCTGAGGTAATTTGTTTTTGCTGCATTGGATGAAATATCGTGGCCTATTCTTCCCTGTGTCTAAGTCACTTCCTGAAGTTAAATGTGCCTAAGGAGGGGCAATCATGCAATTAATGTATACAGGCAGCCAGGCTTTGTGGTTCACGCCTGTAAACCCAGCACTTTGGGAGGCCGAGGTGGGCAGATCACTTAAAGCCAGGAGTTCAAGACCAGCCTCGCCAACATGTTAAAACCCTGTCTCTACTAAAAATACAAAAATTAGCCAGGTGTGGTGGCACACGCCTGTAATCCCAGCTACTAGGGAGGCTGAGGCAGGAGAATCGCTTGAGCTTGGGAGGTGGAGGCTGCAGTGAGCCAAGATCACACCACTGTACACCAGGCTGGGCAACAGAGCAAGACTCCATCATACACACACACACACACACACACACACCAAAAACAAACCAAAAAACCTATAGAGGCACCACTCAGGAATTAACTCTTCAACGGTATCTTCATCTCGCCCCATCCTCCACTGCTTTTTTCCCCAGAGTTACTTGTTGGTTGGTGGGTTGCTGTTTTTTGTTTTCCCTTCCCCACCAGCTCCTTCCGTCCTGAAACCCAGAAAAGCAGAATGCTTTCCACGTATTGTTGACTTTCTCCTTGTGTTTTCTGTTCAGTGTGTGACAACAGCAGAGGTAGAATGAAAGGATTACAGATCTTTGGAAATGAGTATTTTCAAGCTCATTGCTTGGAGAAACTACTAATCACTTTAGCAAAGGTTATTCATTGGAAACCAGGCAATTTAAACACACATTTCTCTCTTTCAGATGTAATTTTTGTAAAATGATAATAATTCAGCAGTTAGTAGAAAGAGCAGGACAGTTGTATATCAAGATCACATTCCAGCCCTCTACCATTTCTATTTCTGACACATAATAAAGGGCAACATATTAATAAGAGAGAAATTCAGAAGGTACTTTCAACCAAGAATGACTACAGAAAGATTATTTTTTGACCTTTGTCTTTCTATGCTGGAAGAAAACTAAGACCAAAATACCAACTTTGGTTACCATGAATTGACCAAGATTAGATTTATTGACATAATGTCATCTTCTTTCTTTTCTTTTCTTTTCCTTTTCTTTTTTTTTTTTTTTTTAAGTCAGAGTCTTACCTTGTCACCCAGAGTGGAGTGCAGTGGTGTGATCTCAGCTCACTGCAACCTCCGCCTCCTGGGTTCAAGCAATTCTCCTGCCTCAGCCTCCTGAGTAGCTGGGATTATAGATGTGTCCCACCATGCCAGGCTAATTTTTGTATTTCTAGTGAAGACGGGGTTTCGCCCATGTTGGCCAGGTTGGTCTCGAACTCCTGACCTCAAGTGCTCTGCCCACCTCGGCCTCCCAAAATGCTGGGATTACAGGTGTGAGCCACCATACCTGTCTTCTTTCTTATGTGTTGCTTGGAAATGGCTATTGGCAAGCTATAACTTATACAGGTGTAAATACTTTAATATCAAAATTAAAACATTATTATTTAATATAAGACAGTTAAATCCTAGTACATCAGAAAATTTGAGTTCAACTTGGTTAAAACTTGAGAGAGAGAGAGAGACAGAGTGTGTGTGTGTGTGTGTGTGTGTGTGTGTGTGTGTGTGTTCCTCCTTATTTTTGAGCCTTGGAGCTTCCAGCAGTTATTTATGATAAGGGCTTCCCAAAATCAAGTGTTGAGGACATCACTGGGGGAGATCAGGGACAGCGTTTTAGTTGAGTGGCAGATTCATGAACCGAGCACAATGTGGAAATGTATTAATCGTAATCAAAAGACATAGGATGGCAGGGTAGGGAGGGCCCTTAAGAGTTATGTAATCTCATCACTCTGTATTCAAAAAAAGGCTCTCCTGATAACCTATTATATTATGAAGGGTGGAGGAGGAAGGAGCTCCTCCCCATCTTGATCCAGTCTGGCTGGGTTGTTTGGTGAACTTGTTGATGACTCAACTACAAGTTCTGATCACAAATAAAGTAGGATTTCTAGTAGGATTCTTTGTTAATTGTTTCAGTTTAATGCATAGGATTGAAAATTTGAACGTTTGCTCAATCCACATGCTTCTTGAGTAAGGACGGGCTGGGCGTGAGAAGACAGGCAGGTTCTTCTGGTGTGCTCAGGAGATGTCAGTATTTTCCAGGTTTCCAGGGGGGTCTTGGGGAGTTGAGCTCCAGCTTCAGTTAGAAGCTCTCTTCTATAGGAAGGAAGCTCACATGACCTCCCGCCAATCCAACTAGAAATGGCTCAAAGTGCTGACAAAGTCTCCTGGAGCAGCCAGTGGAGCTTAACTCTGGAAGACAGTTACAAGCTCTGCTGATGAAATCAATTACAATGAACAGAATTTTAAGACACTTGTGGCCAGATGATAATCAGACATGGTGGTTACAATTTCCATGGCAGATGTAGATCCTGCTCTTGAAACTCCCACATTGAAAGGACTGTGGAGCTCCTAACTTCATAGATGACCTCCACATTTAAAACACCATGGAGTTCCAAATACCCACTTGTAAGTCTCATGTAAGTACAAGCATTACTGAAAGGCGTATGTGAATTAAGAGGAATAATCTTTCTTCTGGGTTTGGAGGCAAACCATTTACCAGCATTTGGTTTTCAGGTTTCAAAAAAAAGTTTTTCCCTTGATGTTCAGATACTAGCTCATTTCACCGATCTGTCTGGTTTCTTGAATTTCATAGCAGAATTCAAACAATGTCCACTAAGTCTGAGTCATGTAGGGAGGTTTTTGGCAGCTAAATCTGTACACCCAAGGGTGCTTTCTGTTTTATTAATTAATTAATTATTATTTAAGTCCAAAGCTGTTTTATTTTCACTGGGTCACATTTTGATCCATAACATTCCACTTTTTGAAGGGAAGTGCCAGTTCGCATTTAGTCTGGTGGGATTCCAAGTGGCCATGAGCCACTGATTATTCAGCAGACACTAAAGACGTGTGAGCCTCTTCTTGCTGATTCCTTCCGCTAGAAGAATGCACTTTCCTGATAAATGAAATCTGGAAACCTCTCTTCTCTTTAATTTGCGTGAGGGAATTAGGCAGAGGGCCTACAAGGATTAGGAGGGCTCTTGTACCATTCATCTGGAGTCGCACAGCAGTCACAGAGCTCTGTGGAGATGGCGCCATCTCCACCATATTCAACATGGAAATGACTCTGTAATCGAACTCCATTAGACACTAAGGCTGAGCCTCCCTCAAGTAAGAAATTTAAATATTTGGGAATATTATCTGGGAAATTTGGCTTTAAAAAACATTCACCTGATATATTTGGGTGATTCATTAAAAAATCATTCTCCAGAAGTTAAAAATATTCAAAGAATGACCTGGATTCTTCCTTCCTGTTGATATGTAAGGACATATTCTAAAATACACACATTGTATTCTAATTGCTTAGCCACTGAATTTCAATTCTTTCTCTGGAAAGAGGTCAGATTGACTTAGAGAAGAGAGAGGTCTAGGTCTCGTGCCTGGCCATTCTCCAAAGCCTTGGTCTTGCATCTCTACCCACCTGCTGGATATTTGAACTTGGATGTCTAGTAGTCATCCCAAAGCCCAGCTAGCTCTCAGCTCCAATCTCCCCTTTTCCCCCTAACTGGCCTTCTCCTGATTCCCCTCACTGCCTGTCGCACCAACTCTCTCTGCTGCCTTCTTTTCTTTTGTCCTGCATAGCCATGAGTCCCCAGGGCTTGCTGGGCATTCCTTTGCACTATCTCTCACACCCCACCCTTCCTTTCTATTCCCATTGCCTCCAGACCCCTGCTGCTTCAAGCCTGGATGATTATAATAGCATCCTAACTAATCGCTTACTTGTTTCTCCCCCTCCAATTCACTGCTGCCACAGTAATCTCCCTAAAACACCATTTAATCATGCCAAACCCTTAATTAAAAATCTTCATTATCTCTTCATTACCACCAGGATAAAGTCCAAGCGCCTTAGTTTCCTTCCACTATCTGGCCTCAATCCACATTTCCAGCTTACTGCCCACTATTTCCCCACAGTTTTTGTAGACTCCACGAAAACCAGTCTAACCACACCATTCACCCACGTGGAATGGTTTCTCCAGGTCTACTGAGATTTGTGTGTATTCCTTGAGGCCCACGTGAAGTCCTTCCGCCTTTTGTGAGGCTTTTTCTCTGGGCAACTGTGTCCTCCTTAGAGCTCCCAGAATACTCAGTGTTCTTTACCACGGTCTGTCATTATTTAGTTTTTGAAGTACTTGTGTTTTCTGCCTACTAAACTGTGTCTTGAGATCAGATACATCTTTATATCTCCCTCTCATTATAATCACCACTACCACACCCTGACAACCATCCCAATAAATTACAATTATGATGTGATCTGGTTATATGATGTTTGGGGTTTGATAGCCAAAGAAAATAACTGTTGTAATATGTCCATTGTGATTCTTTTTATTTGGGACAACTGATATGGGCAATTGGAATGCTATATTATGAAGGGAATTATTTGGTGAATGCATACTCAGTTGAATTTAGCCAATCCCAAAGAAATATAGTTAAAGAAGAAGTGCTGGGGAAAATCATTTGTAGGGAAAGATTGCAATACTCTACACTCCTAAGGACTATGGAATACAATGGAGAAAACCCTTGTGCACAGCTGTAGAATAGTAGAGAGGTTAAAGGGAAAGTGGACACAATTGTGTTACTAAGTTACCATTTCCTTTTAAATTCAGAAATGTGTACCTCTGCCCTCTTTGCATTTATGTTAGACCCACATTGGAGTAAGGCACACAACACCAGGATGGAGAAGCATCAGACGGCTGTCATGATTCTCTTTTGTCTTTTGGTTCTGATTAGATATAGGTACCTCAAACTGAGGAGGACTTAATGGATAAAGAACAAAACCAAACCAGCAAGTGTCTTCCCTTCTCTGTGCTAGCCAAGAGTGCATTTCACTTCAAGGGCCTTGGACCTTATAGTGCACTTCAACTCACTGTATCCCTGCATCTCTAAGATCCTGCAGGAGTTAAGTGCTCTCCTGGTTCCCATGGCATCCTGAGATCAGGCACCCATAATCTCATGTGCTCTGATCATGGGAGTAAGAATCTTCCTTAGGGTCATTTGTGTACAGAATGCCTCCTTTCTCCACTTTCCTCCCACTTGCTGGGGAAGAGCTGTCAGGAAACAGACTTCATAAGAAAGCAACATCCAGTGGTTGGAGATGCTGGATTTTTTTTCATTTTCCTTTCCTTTTTTTTCATTTTTGTTTTTGGTCTTAAAACACATTTTCCCCCACCGGGAAACAGGAATCTGGGCCACGTGTGCATTGGCATTGTCTCTGGAAGCCAGAGGTACAAACAATCACATCTACAGTTACCACACCCCTGGGCACCAGCTAGAGGTCTTCTCATGTTGTCAATGTCCCTACTGCACAGCTGTCATCTGAGGAGTCCCCAAGAACTAGCTGATGCTCTCCAACCTGCTTATATCATCTTTCCCAAAGGGTCCTCTGCAACAGGCTTTTCTTTGTTTCTCCCAGTAAAACATTAAAACAGTATTTCAGTCAATGAGATCTGAGGTCACACTATGTGTGCAAGACACCCAGAAGACATCATTTTTAAAAACTCAGATTCATTTGGAGCCAGTGAACTCACATTCACATGACTTGAGGTTGTCTTCAGGTTAAGGTGACATATAAACACTTATGAATTACAAATTATTAATATAGTATGTTACTGAAGGAAGTAATCTGAGTTCAAAGTTGCCCTAAAAGTGTTAAAGTTGAGGAAAATATTGATGCAGATGAAAGAAAATAGAGAAACATGGTATATAAAAACACATGGAGCTGAGTTGGAGTAATTTCTTCAATAAGGATGGGAGTTTAAGAGAATTCTGAATGGAAGTTCCTTTTCCCATCAGGCTTGAAACACAAATTTAGTCTAATGCATCGTTGCATCCATGTCAAACAGCTTAGTGCCAGGCATAGAGTAGGTGTGCAATAAATGTCTCACCTACAATTGGTGCATGAAAAATTAAGTGTTGCAAGATCAAATATATCAAATAAAAATTAGCATATTTCTAACCTTCCTCTATTTTGGTTTAAAATTTTTTATCTTCTTGACTTTTTGACAGGGCTGAGCGGCCAAATGTAAAGGCAGGCCTGTGTTGATTATTATTTATTGCACACCTGTAATGGTCTACTTGGCACATGAGGGTTGTGAGAATCAGATGAGAGGCCATGTTATTGCCTAAGAAAGATAATACAACCAAAGCATGTTTAAAAGCTTTTTGCTATTGGATGGACACTAAGGTCTTCAGAGAAAAGATAAGGGCATCTTCTAAATCACTCATGTGCTATAGATAACGTCTTTATTTAAAAAGTTCAATTTTCCCAAGGTTTTTCCCTCCAGGTCAAAATAACAGTTGCCCTTTCTTGCCTGGATACCTTGCATAACGTACCTTCCAGACTAAAGAGGTAACTGTAATAATTTCCCTCCCCTTGGAAGGGCATATATAGCACAGACCAGAAATATGACTGGAACAACCATTCTTTAGAGAGGAGAAAATATGGAGGCCTTGCTCTCTGTGTGATGCTGGAGGTCTCCACAGTAGCAGCGTGCTAATTGGTGAACTGTGCACCTGCAGATAGCGGGGCAACTCTCTTTGTGACCTCTAGGCACAGGAGCGCCACCTAGTGAGGAAATCCCACTTCAAAACTTTCCAAGCAAAACCACCCCTACTTTATTCATTTCACTTTTCCTTGAAAAATAATTCTTTTAAGCTCACACAAACATGCTTATAATTTTAAATATTTTAATAAAGAATCCTAACTTCAGAGTAAAAATACTAGAGCTAGTCAAATACATTGTGAATCAGGAAATTCACTTTGTATTACTAACAATTTCTTTCAAATTTCTTTTCACCCATGTGTATTTTCAAAAATGCTGATAGGGTATTTTGAAATATAAAGAAAACCTTCAAAACTCTGGAAGAAAATAAAAGAGGCATGGAAGAGGGGTTGGGAATAGAGTGGAGAGAAACAGAAACAAGACTTCATTATATGTCATATATTGCTTGTTTATTTTTGAACTGTGTGAATGTACTGCTAATAAAAAAATTAAGTTAAAACAGAGAAGACAGCACGTATTCATGTTGCAAGTAGTCATTCCATTTCAGCAAAAACAATATCACCAGTCACATTAAATTTATTTGACAGTTTGCAAAGAAAATGCATCCTTCCCATGAGATTCAAGAATTATCTCCAATTACTTATCTGCTAAATGTAGATGGGTACATATAAAAAGTTGATCTCTCTCTCTCTCTCTCATCCCTCTCTCTCTCCTTTCTCTCTCTCTCTCTCTCACACACACACACACACACACACACACTTCCTCTGAGTTTCTTACATCTGACACAAGCAGATATCTCAGCTATTGATTTTTTTAAAAAAATACTTAAGTCAATGGTACTCAACTTCCTTGGACAAGCTCTGTCAAGTGTTTTACCTAATTTTACCCTTGGACATACTAACTAAAAAAAAAACAATGGATGTTAAAAGTTACAAAGCGAAGTTCAAAGGACATGTCTTTCAGGTTGCCCACAACTGCTGAAGGCAGGCTCCCATTTATCTTCTGCTACTTAGAACTTGTGCAAAATGTGGCTTATTGTCATGACAAAGACACAAACTCAGAAACTGTCAGGCCAGGCCTTGTCAGCGTTCCTGAGATGCCAGGCCACCCGTCAGTGTGTCTGGGAGGGGCAGACCACAGTCATGCCTTCCAGCACACCTCACAAGGTTTGATAATTTGCTTTGAGGTTATTTTATAAAAAGCCAAACTGTCTACTTAAAAAATGTGAAGATGAACGTGTTGTTTTGAAGATTTTTTTTTGCCTCTATTTGCGGTTGAATTTTTTCTGTCCAGAGATCATTTTACGATTAGCTAAAAGACCCTAAAGGCTCCAAAATTGTTTTTATAAAATGGGAAGAAAGCAATATTCAAGAAATTAGGCAACTTTTGCTAAGTAAGCAAATGCACTTTTTTTCGAGTTTGTTTTGGAATTTTGAATCAGATTGCCAGTGAATAAAAGCCATACTATCACTGCATTTTACTGTGATTTGCTTTTGGTATGAATATTTGGAAAAATATTGCCTTTGTGCCACATTTAAAGCATTATAATGGAAAATAAAAGAACAGGTTTGGGATTTTGCATATAAACTGCAGATTGTGGCCTGAACATAATCTAATCTTAACAGTATATGTTGCTGTACCTACTGCCAAGTGTAAGTACCATCTTCTGTTACATATATATAAATAAAAACTATAGGCCAGGCGCGATGGCTCATGCCTGTAATCCCAGCACTTTGAGAGGCCGGGGCAGGTGGATCATGAGGTCAGGAGATCGAGACCATCCTGGCTAACACGGTGAAACCCCGTCTCTACTAAAAAATACAAAAAATTAGCCGGGCCTGGTGGTGGGTGCCTGAAGTCCCAGCTACTCAGGAGGCTGAGGCAGGAGAATGGCGTGAACCCGGGAGGCGGAGCTTGCAGTGAGCCGAGATCGAGCCACTGCACTCCAGCCTGGGCGACAGAGCGAGACTCTGTCTCAAAAAAAAAAAAAAAAAAAAAACTATAGAGAATAGTAAAAAATAACTTCAGCAATTATTATATGACATGTTTCAACAATTTTTCTTTACTAATATTCCCTTAAAGTATTAGATTAAATACAGGCTGATAGCTAAAAACAAGAGAATTGAAGTAAAGGTGTGTTGAGACTTTTTAGATACATACATTTCTACCTCTCACTGTATAAGCTTGTGGTTTTAATTAAATGCTATAAAATAGAGTAGAATCAATGACAAGGCCATTATTCCGTAAAAATGGACTAGATTTGAGAGTGTTATTTATCTGACAATTGGTTTTGACATTATAAAAAAAGGGGAAAGTATGTACTATTACAACTGTTTAATAATATCTGGATTATAACTCTAGTCACATAGTTGCAAAGCTAAAAAGAGGTGAAACTGAACCATTCTCTAGTAAACTCATGCCAATATCCCATCTAAACTGTTGTACAATCATCCTCTTTATTTCATATCTGACTGTTCTGAAATTGTTCTTAGAGCAACGACTGTGATCCAACATTTAGTAATGGATCACTTAAGTAGAACATGTCCCTGCCCCACAAATCAGTCAGAATTTGATACTGGATTCTCAACTAGAAACTACTCATATTGCTAGAGCTATAAGCAATATGAAAAAAATCTTCGTTTTTGTATATACATGATTCTCAAGTTATTATTTTCTCTAAAAGTATTATCCATTTTGGTTGCTTAGTTCTTTATAGCTGAGAAAGAGTCTAGCATTCTTTTGGGGCTTTTTGAGACACTGTTGCCCAGGCTGGAGAGCAGTGGTACAACCTCAGTACAACCTGCAGCCTCAACTTCCTGGGTTCAAGCAATCCTCCCACCTCAGCCTCCCAAGTAGCTGGAACTACAGGTGTGCAACAGCATATCCAGCTAATTTTTAATTTTTTATAGAGATGAGATCTCCCTATGTTGCCTCAACTGGTGCTGAACTCCTGAGCTCAAGCGATTTCCCCTCCTTGGCCTCCCAAAGTGCTGGGATTACAGGCATGAGCCACGGCACCCTGCCTAGCATTCTTTATAAAATATTACAACTATTTCTTTTCAGAAAATTGCTGCATGTTATGATAAGACATTTTGTCATGAACTAGGTGGATTTATATGGGAGAAATTATTTGTAGCTCACTCTTCAATTAATAAATAGAAATGCTGGTTGTTTCAACTGGACCATTTTTAAAAGTGAATTGGAGCTAATTATTAAACTTTCTATTCAGAATTCTACCTAGAACTAAACAGCAGATATATTAGCAAAATCATTTAAATTAGACAAAACTATGATTAATATATAATTCTTACAAACACATGATTACATACTGCATGACCTAAAGCACTACAACACTACTCTCAACATATTCTGTGAAAATTTCACTAACTTCCTAAGGAATTCCATTTTTCTTTGTAAATCTGTTTAAATCACTAGCTATCCCAGCAAGTACCTTAGCTGGAAAGTTAAACATGGAATTTTTCTCAGTAAGACTTTCCTTTCTTCATTCATTCATTCCTCCACAAATAATGGATGAGTTGTACATCAATGAACAAATATACATTGAGTACGTAATCAGTGCCAAAATGAAAATATACTTATAAATTGATGTGAGTGAGATGCAGGAAAAGAATAGGGTGCGCTGAAGAATAATAGAATTACCTACTTTAGATGGGGTCTTCAGAGAGACCTCTTTGAGGAAGCAACATGTAAGTCACCTGAAGAATGAACCTGCAGCAGCCAGGTGATGAGTGAGGCGGGGTAGATAAACAATGATTTTTTTTGGTATAAATTTGCAATATTTGGGGCATATTTCCACTAAAAAAAAATATTTGGTGGCCAGGCACAGTAGGCTCATGCCTGTAATCCCAGCACTTTGGGAGGCCAAGGTGGGTGGATCACCTGAGGTCAGGAGTTTGAGACCAGCCTGGCCAACATAGCGAAAACCCATCTCTACTATACAGAAAGTAGCTGGGTGTGGTGGCGCATGCCTGTAATCCCAGCTACTCAGGAGGCTGAGGCATGAGAATTGCTTGAACCCGGGAGGTGGAGGTTGCAGTGAGCCGAGATGGAGTCACTGCACTCCTGCCTGGGTAACAGAGGAAGAGAAAGAAAGAAAAGAAAGGAAAGAAGAAAGGAAGGAAAGAAGGAAGGAAGGAAGAAAGGAAGGGAGAAAGAGAAAGAGAGAGAGAAGGAAGGAAAGGAGAAAGAGAGACAGAGAGAAGGAAGGAAGGAAGGAAATAAATAAATAGTTATTTAACTGGGCATCTTGTATTTTATCTGGCAATCCCAGGTGGGCACCTGAGGTCAAATCAACTGGGAAGGTCCTGGATTGGGCCAGAGCCTCACCACTTTGGAGGGGGTGAGTTGTCTGGCATGAAGTGATGGAAGAAGGGTATAGGTGAGTTGAGGTAGGAGGGCCAGGAGCCCAAGATTACTGCGTGGCTTGTTGAGATGATTCTTTCATGCCACGGATTTTGCCTAAAGCAAAGTTTTGCAGCACATTAGTCAGAGGCTAATTTCAATTTAATATAACTTTTCAATTAATATAAAAACCTGAGAAACATTCTCGACAAATGCACAAACTGTAAACTCCAGCAAGATTTGCTAATTTTCTTGAAAGATAAGTTTAAATAAGGCCTTAGTGGATAAATTATGTGTAGGTTCAATCTCTGCTTTCCACTTGGCTATTTTATCCAGAATTGGCCCAGTCTGTCACTGTACATGTAGAGGTACTGACAAATGCTGCTGTGGACTGAATATATGTGTTCCCCCAAATTCACAGGTTGAAGCCTAAATCCCCATTGTGATGGTATTTGGAGGCAGGGCCTTTAGGAAGTGATTAGGTCATGGGATTGGAGACTACATAAATGGGATTTGTGCCTTTATATAAAGAGACCTGAGGGAGACGATCTCTCTCCCGGCCATGTGAGGATACCATGAGAAGACAGCCATCTGTGAACCAGGAAGGATGTCTTTCCAGACCCGGGATCACCAGACCCCTTGATCTTAGACTCTCCAGTCCCCAGAACTATGAAAAATAAATTTCTTTTTGCTTTTTAAAACAGAGTCTCGCTTTGTCGCCCAGGCTGGAGTGCAGTGGCATGATCTCGGCTCACTGCAACCTCTGCCTCCTGGGTTCAAGCGATTCTCCTGCCTCAGCCTCCCAAGTAGCTGGGATTAGAGGCACCTGCTACAACGCCCGGCTAATTTTTTGTATTTTTAGTAGAGACAGGATTTCACCACGTTGGCCACGCTGGTCTCGAACTCCTGGTCTCCAGCGATCCACCCGCCTCAGCCTCCCAAAGTGCTGGGATCACAGGCATGAGCCATCGTACCCAGGCAAAAAATAAATTTCTGTTGTTTAGGGCACCTTGTCTAAGATATTCTGTTATAGCAGCTTGAATGGACTGAGACAGATGATGTCTGGAGAACCAGAAGGTACTGGCAGGCTGAGTTGCCCTACGGAGGCATTTGACTCAACTCTGGCCTATTACAGGGCTGTTCACTTCAGCCCCTTGGGTAGTCTCACATAAACCTCTCTGAGTAGCACATATGATTTAGCCTTTTCAGATATTTGAGTCAAGAAAACATACTAGTCTCTGTTTTGTAATATTTTATTTAGTGTTAGAAATCATATTATACAATCACCTCCCCCCGCCCAGTGGTTATCCCCACAGAAAGTATACATGTCACAAGTTTGTTCATAACATTTAACTGGTAGCTTTTTGTTAATATACTGTTAAATATTATCACAACGTTTTTCATTCCAACCACAAAACAATCTAGAAAATATTATAATTCAGCTATCTGGGGAAACTAGGAAGCCAAAGGTTTAGAAAATAACAACAAAAAACACCATCAAAAATACACAAAGTGACTCACAAAGGAATATCTGCATTCCATATGCTTTGGGGGAAGTGTGTCCGTTTCCCAGAGCAGCTATAACAGAGGACCACCAACTAGGTGGCTCGAACAACAGAAATTTGTTGTCTCACAATTCTGGAAGCCAGAAGTCTGAAATCAAGGTGTCAGCAGGTTGATCCCCTCTGAGGGCTGCAGGGAGAATTTCTCCCAGGCTTCTCTCCTGCTTCTGGTGGTTTGCTGGCAATGCCTGGTGTTCCATGGCTGCACGCATGCACATGCAGCCCCCTGATCCTCTGTCTTCACATGGCCTTCTCCCTGTGTCCCTTCATATTATCTTCCCTCTATGCATGTTTTCTCCTTTTTATAAAAACAACACAGTCATATTGGATGAGGGCCCACTCTAACAACCTCATCTTAACTTCATCGCCTACAAACACCCTATTTCCAAACAGGTCACATTAACAGGTACTAGGGGTCGGGACTTCTTCAACATCTTTTTGGGGAAGATAATTTGTATTACTCCATTTTCATGCTGCTGACAAAGACTTACTTAATTTATAAAGAAAAAGAGATTTGATGAACTCACAGTTCCACATAGCTGGGGAGGCCTCAGAATCATGGCAGAAGGCAAAAGGCACGTCTTACGTGGTGGCAGGCAAGACAGAATGAGAGCCCAGCAAAAGGGGAAACCCCTTATGAAACCATCAGATCTCGTGAGACTTATTCACTGCCACCAGAATATGGGGGAAATCACCCCCATGATTCAATTAGGTCCCTCCCACAACACGTGGGAATTATGGGAACCACAATTCAAGATGAGATTTGGGTGGGGGCACAGCCAAACCATATCACAATTCAACCCATAATGGGGAACTGAACAATACTGGAAAACCTCGGGGTTTAAAAATAATAATAATAATGCTAAGCTGGTACTATTTTCTTAACCTCAGTTTTGATTACTAAGGAGTCTATGTTTGAGTCCAAAAGCATCTTAATCTATGCAGTCCCAGGAAGACAAGTTTTACACTAGATGACATGATACAAGATGCTGTTTCAGCAGACAGTCACAGGGGAGCTGATTACAACTCACCCTCCTGACCACTGACCAAAAATCAGTGATCAAAAGCTTCAAAAGGACCCATTTTAAAAGCTAGTAGTAGTCTGATTTTTGACAAATCAAGATTCCCTAGAAAGATAGATTGCTTAGTTATGCAGTGAAAAGCTCTGGCTTCCTGGTTTCCCCAGATAACTGATGGCTTTGGCTTTGGGCAGATATTTAACCTTTCTTTTTTTTTCTTTTCTTTTTCTTTCTTTTTTAATTGAGACAGGGTCTTGCTCTGTTGCCCAGGTTGGAGTGCAGTGGTGCAACCCTGGCTCACTGCAGTCTTGACCTCCTGGGTTCAAGCGATCTTCCCGCCTTAGTCTCCCTAGTAGGTGGGACTACAGGCATCTGCTACCACACCCAGCTAATTTTTCTTTTATTTTTAGAGACAAGGTCTCCCTATGTTGCCCAGGCTGGTCTCAAACTCCTGGGCTCAAGCAATCGTCCTACCTCAGCCTCCCAAAGTGTTGGGATTACAGGCATGAGCCACTGCGCCCTTTTCTGTCTCAGTCTCCTCATGAGGGAAGTAGACAATGACCCCTAAGTTCCTTCCCAGACCTATGTACCAGTCACCACTGAACACTGAAAGCCATGATGTGATGTGTTCATGCATACCCGAGACAGGAAAAGAAGTAGCTCTGTCTCATAATCCAGAGTAAGATCTTCAGGCCCTAATCCATGCCTGCACCCTGTATGTTCCATTGACTTAACAGGTGCCTGTCAATAAATATGACACTAACTCCTACACAGTGGTAATGTGCAGGAGTTGTGGAAATACCAATGCACCAATTACAGGAAATGGAAAAACGTAAAGAAACTCTTACTAAGCAGCACATCTCTGTGCTCCCCTTGCCCTGTATAACTTCCTCTCCACCCACTCAGAGACATGGGGGAGTCACTGTGTGAACAGTGTTACAAAAAAAATAGGGACCAAGGCCTTTGCCTTTGAGCAATTTGTTGGTCCCTGTAGAAGGTTTACCAAACAGAAGCATAAATGAACTAAAAGGAACATGAACATTGAGAAGTAGCCATCTAAGTATAGAGGAAGAACCATTCTAAACGGAGCAGCAAGGCCTGGGACACTAGCCACATTCAGAATGTAGACACTAGCCACACTCAGAAATGCCTAATGGCAGGATTGACAGACTATCTTTTGTCTTTTCAGAGCAAGGATCTTACAAAGTGCTTCATAACACACACATTTGTGTGTGTGTGTGTGTGTGTGAATGTGAACACACAAATGGCAGTCAGTAGTGGAACTACTTCTTTAACATGTTTTCACAAGAATTTCAGCTCACAGAGTGTGGAAAGTGTTTTGAGAGTCTCAGAAAAGTACCCCAAATATGACTCCTTTTTATTCTTCAATATGTCCTCAAAATATAGAAGATCCAACTGGACCTATGTAGATCTGTGGATGAAGACTTGGCAAGATCCTCTTTGTTTAATCTTGGCTGGGTTAGTGCTAGGATTTTTGTAAACCTGTCTAGAAAACTATGTCTTTTCACCTTCATTTGGCTACACATTATTGCAGAGGAAGGGTAAATCAAATTTCTTGATGGTGATTGCTCTAGAAGGATGGGGATGAAGGTGAGCTTGGTTTGGTAGACTTCTTTGCATTTCCAAGACGTCATGTAAGACTTGCTTTCCTCTGGCAATGACTATTGGAAGAGAGACTCCTTTCCTCTGAGAAGCAGTAACTGCTACTTCCCTATCCAGTATCACATTTGAAGGGACTTCTCTTTGGGCAACAGTCATGAAACTTCCAGCATTCCCTAAAGGGAAGTAACTCTTTTTTGGCTGGATGTTTGAACTGGCTCCCCGGGTATTCACATGAGCAGACATTTTTCTCTGAGAACAAGTTGCTGTTTTCTGCTGAGTGAGGAGGTTGGAATGAGCTACCTCGTGTCACTACTTGCATCAGTAAAGCTGAGATTGACAAATGATTTGCCCCCGTCACTAGGATAGCACGTTGATGATGTTGGCGAGACTTTTCCGGCATGGGGCATGCTGCAGAAATCAGCGTTGAGTGTATGTGTATTTGTGTCTGTTTTATAATTTGGCTCTTTTGGGACATACCATTATATCAATAGAAAGGCTCATAGTGTGGGGAAATAATCTGCTAAGGGATTTGTTGCACCTTCTTCCTCACCAAACATCTTTATCAAATGCTGAGCAATGCTGTGTCAGGTGTGTTTTGGGGTTTGCAAGGGGGCTTTAGGCTTAATAGCCAAAAAACAGGCCATACCAATAGACACGGGAATCCCTTATGAACCTCTGCATATATAAATCCTGAGTACCCTATTCAAAACAAGCTGGTGATGTGTTTTCTTTGTCAGTTGCCATAAACTAATTCCAGCTGCAAGTGTGTGCAACTTATCCCTGTTACTTCCTCTGTCACTCAGCTTACCACAGCAATGACAGTCACTGATTATAGATGCACTTCAGGGGTGGTTTATGCATAGAGGTAGCAGCATACTAAATGTTGCTTTAGGGAGGAGGAACTCATGATCATTAATGGCAAGGATAATAACGGTAGGTGTAAGGCAAAGTTGGGGTTTATCATATTTCTTAGTGAAAGAGGAAATAGTCCTTTATCACCAGCTGATCTGTCCCGTCAAAGACAAAGGGAGTCCTTTGGACGGGAAAGTTAAATGGGTTGTCATCTTGGCTGCATCTCACCCCATGCATGGTTCCATTTATCTTTTCTCCTGACATTGTCTGTAACCTAAAGACTCCCATCCACAATAGAGACTTCAAATGGGTAGGGAGGAGAATTAAGAGCTTATCAGACATCTGGTGATAGGCAACTTGGGTTTAGGCTTAGACGTTATAGGATCTCCATTTAGAAACATCAAAATGTTCATTTTGTGCCAGTTTGAAATGTGACTTTCAAAGATGACCCTAATCTTAGGGGAGTAGATAGTCTGTCTGACATATGTGAATTTCACTAGACAGCCTGGTTTTGCTTCCCTGTGAGGAATTAAAGTAGATATGCTAAAAGGTTGTACCTCTTTCAAAGCCGATTCTCCCTGTAAGAAAGTGTTAAACTGCAGTTGGCGATGGAAATGGCTGATAAGGCGTCTAGTCGGTGCCACTGCCTCCGTGGGTGGCTGCTCTTTTGACTTATCTGAATTCGAAGTGAGGGGCTGTTTGTAACAAAGTCTTATGGACCAAATTTACATGGTCAGAAAGGTTTATAATATAACAAACACGCTTATCATCACTAGAATCTTTACAACAGCTTGGATGACTTTTTAATTGTGGCTTAATATAGTTAATTATGGCAACCTTTCCCCATTTTCCAGGATGATGAATTAATATTACAGATCATTAACGTTACTAAATTGGCATAATGATATAGTAGATTTAACGTCCCAGTTACGTTAAGACCTGCTTTATAATTTGGCTCTTTTGTTATTTGCCTTAAACAGGAGAAGCATGCAATGTACTTGCCTCTTACAGTAGGCTGCATGTAACCACTTGTACTATTTTCCTTAATAAATTATTGATATAGAAAATCCCAAATGGAAGACTTCTTCATCTTCAGACTCCATATGAAGCCAACATTTTCTTTCTAATATCCACTTCATCAGTAATAAAAGTTAGAAAGCTCTGGCTCTTCAGCCAGGTTTTATAATTAGAGAAGACCGTATTTTACATCTGCAAAATACTCATGCTTAGTGGGAAAAAAATGAGAAACACGATATGTTCCATTCTGTTGCAATGGTTATACCATTTTAATCTCTTAAGTTCAATATATATCCTCTAGCAGGCTATACTTCTAGGATTTCATTTTTAGATCCTTAAGGCTGCATATATCTGTCAAACCGACATAATGAATTTAAAGTGCTAATGCCTAGAAGACCAGAAAAACATTGAAATATATCCTTGGTTGATTAAATTACCACCTCCAGCTACTTTACATCCTCATGTCCAAATAGATTTTCTTTTTACTTACCAAGTGCCGGATCTGCAAGATGTGGAAGATGTAATTTTACGGTGAAAACATGCACATGTCTTTAGACAAGAGCATTTTATTTAAGCATCTTTTTAAAGTCTGTACAGTACTTCTGTGATAGGACTTGCAATTTGATTATGGTCCTTTCAATTATGCTCAACCTGCAGGTTAACCTTGGGATCTGACATGTAACTTACAATTGTATACTTAGAATGAAATTTGCGTTAACAATCTGGGTACTAATATTCAAATGGTCATGATAACAACATTGAAAATATGTCAACTTGTTTTGCAAAAATAAAAAGGCAATGATGAATCATGTTAAAAGTTGTTTGTTCAGGAACTGCTTAGATTGAGAGAGTGACAACTCAAGGCAGCAAAAATGACTGAGAGGCATTCCTTGCTTCTGAATGGGGTTGCCTGGTCATCTAACTAGTCTGTCACAAAAGGGAGACCTGGTGGAAAATCTTATTCCTGCCTGTAAAAGTAGCAGTCAAAATAATCCTAAAATAAACATGTTATGGACCTGAGTGGGGAGAAAATATTGGTTTTCCATTCAACTTTTACTTCTGGAATTTAGGGTAGAATCAAAGCTGAAAGATAATCATTTCTTTCTATATGCCTGTATTCACAGACCTACACTGCCTTAAATAACTCCACACAACTATGCACACTGTCACGTAGTCTAATTCATACACATGTACAAACACACACGTATACTCAAGCAAACCATCATAAAACTCATATATACAGATTGTAGTATCAGTAATCACTCTCTCACCATATTTAACAGGAAAAGTAACAGCAAACTCAGCAGCAGTTTTGGGGGCTCAATTTCTATTGGAAGATGACCCATTATAAGTATCAACTATATGACACCCTGTCCTGACCATGAGCCACTGGAAGGACCAATTCTGACCCATTGGTATGTTTACTGTCCATACCAGTCTGAACTTGACTAAGGGTGGAAGAGAATGGTTCTGCCATTTCAAGGTTAAGTTTCTAGAACCTTGTAGTGCCAACATACAATGCAAAGACAGTGAGTATCAGTGGTTAGACATCAGGGTACTGTGATGTCTGGGGTGAAACTAAAGACCACGATGAACGTGAAATAAAATGACAAGTATCAGAGGAAATGGGGGAAGGTACCGAAGGCAAGAGAGCAGATTTGTAGAGCTTTCAAATGAAACGTTATAATCCCTTTGACAATCCTGTTGACTATGAGCTATAGCAATAGGAGTACAACACAGAAAAAAAGATACATTGTGGGATAAACAGCTTCTTATAAGGTAAAACTGAATGGCCAAAATAGATTAATAAGGAGACACAATGGAGAGAAAAAAAGAAATGAGTCAGTGGCAATATAAGAAAAAGGTAAAAGTGAACAGAGGACAGAAAGGCAGGAAAGAAAAAAAAATGTAAATGAGTGAGACAAAAAAACCAAAAGACGAAAAAGAAAAAGAGAACAAGAGGGGGAAAGAAGTAATATTTTTTTTGATAAAAATGCACAAAAGGGAAGATGAACTTTGTTCTTTTTCTCTTTCTACTCTCCTCTCTTTTTCTGCTTTTCGCCTCGCAGCACGCCAGCCTAAGCTGAGAGCTGTAATGTCATTAAATTGCAAATGCTTTTTCATTTCCGACACACACTGTTTACTTATCTGGCAAAAACATATGTTGGAAGGAATCCGTTAAATTCTGCCCATTGCCTTGGGTAAAAGTGCAATGGAAACGGCCTCACCGAGCGTCCTCTTTCTTCTTCTTTAGCACTCCCCTTATCTACAAGACGGCTTCGCAGAAAACTGGCTAGTTCAATGAAAAATGAAGATACAGCGGGAGATTAGGGAAGAACACTGAGCACAAAATTCCTGGAGAGAGGGTCACTCCATTGCAAATGATTTCACTCCTCTAGATCTGCATAAATTACTATTTTTAAGGCATCTCCAAAGTCTGTATATTTTTCTCACTCTGTCAAACATTTAATTTCACGCCCCGTGTTCTGAATATGCTAAAATGCATATCTCTGATGCACCTTTAAGCCAGAAAAACGAATGCAAAATTGAAGATAAAATGATGTGATTTGCACTACAAGCCTATTACTTGAGGTATTTACATATAGTTTACCTCTGCAGTTCTGAGGATGATTTATTTAAAAAAATCTGGATTAAGCTCATATAAATATGTATAAATCTTTGTTTAGAAAATAGATTTTGCAGCTGTTGTGTCAAAAAAGTTCTTTAAGATTCTGTGAAGAATTTTCCTTTTAGCACGCTTTAAGAGGGGAAAAAAGGGGGACAGAATTTGACATTCTGCTTGGCGGGGAGAAAAAAGCCTATTCCACCATTCGGCAGTTATAAAGATTCCTTTTATTGCCCTTCTTTGCCCAAAGCAGCTGGTTCCTCCTTGCTCTTTTATTATACTCATTTCATTTTCTTTTTCCCCCGCTTTTTGCTTGGGACCAAATAATAGTGTCCTGGATTACAAAGCTCAAATTAAATATCAGTGTTTAATGACTGAAACAATCATGAGTTTCTGAGATGTGCCCCCAGTTCCTGCTCTCCTTTTTCCAAACAGGCTGCCTTCTGCTGCTTCCCACACACAGCCTCTGCACTGACACGGAGCCTTGGAACTGCTGAGGGAGCCGACTTCTAGCTACTGATTTGAAAATGATTATTAACGTAGGGCAAGCAAGATATCTGATCCGCTGGAGAAGCAATTCTAAAAACACTGGAGTTTTGTTTAAACAATCTCCACATGTGCATTTCAGCCCCCCTCTCATTTTTTTTTAAATCTAGAGTTTTGCCTCTTTGTCTGAAAAAAAAAAAAAATGCTTCATTTAGTCCGGCCTCTCACATCCTCCCTGATCCCCATCCCTCTGCGATTATTATGGGGGAATTACTCTTTGCTATTTTCTTGTTAGGCTTTGGGTTTAGGAGAATTTAGATAACAAAGTTGGCTAATTCAGGACTGAACACACATTGGACTCTGCAAATATACCACCCGCTACATGATAAGGGCAGGGCCCAGCTTCTGGGCTGCACCTGCTGTGATGCTGTGGGAACAGCTGCTTCTGGAAGCAGGTAGTGGGAACAGCTATTACTTCAAAGCCCACAATAATCCTTTCGCAATTAAAACAAGAAAGGGATGTTTACAGGCATTTGATCGCTTTAGGTGGAGATATGAGTTTGCTTACAAAGATTGAATTCCAGTTCTGGTGTGCTGTGCCTGCTTAAAGTTGACTAATGACGACTTAAAATAATGAAACTGCAGTCATTTTCAAAAGTTAAGTCATTCTTTTTGCACAAAATGGCTTAACGATCCCCCCTAGTGGCCTGACTCTTGTTACTATGATTTGTGAATACTCTCCTTTCCAAAACTGCCCTATTGGTTTGTTTATAGGTTCATAGCAAAGAAACTGCAGATAAAACCAAAGTCAGATCATTTAGAATTGAACTGAGCTTCCACTAAATTCCTCCTTTTTTGCTCCTAGACAGTGGCTATTGCTCTTAGAGCAATCAGACTAAAGATTCCCACAGAGCCAGCTTTATATCTTGAGGGTTTTCTTAAAACTGATGAATAAACTCAGGTTTCCCACGTTCACACTTCCATTGCTGAAATCAGTGAATAGCAGGGTGTAATGCACTCTATCTTTTCAATATTGCTGGTGGTAGATTTGAGTTTCTGAAGGGAAAATGAGTAAATCATAGAAATGTTCTATGTCTTGTTTTCAGGTAGGTTTGGCCCAAACTGGATTATTTCAATCCTTTGGGATAGAATTATCTTTAAATGATTGAAAAACCCTATATGTTTTTCAAGTGTAACCTCCAAGAAAATGCCTGGTCATCATTGCCACGCCAGTGTTTAATCCTTTTTCTTCACTCTGCATACAAAGGGTGGGCCATCCATTTACTTCAGTGTTTACAGGTGAGATGAACTCTCTTCTGCTTCCTTCAAGGCCCCTGTGGACACCCAAGGGAGGCTGTAACTGAGCTGAAGCCATCTGAATATTTTAAGCTCAGAACATGGAGACAGGGAGAGATTTCCAAACCCGAAGGCTAACTTCTTTTCCTTTGACCACGTTGCCAGTCACATTCCTCTTCTGGAGTATGTAGTTTTGGAATCTAGCACTTCCATTCATCATGGAAGGGGCTATACAGTTTTCCCCCTTAATAGCTCACATGGAAACACTATCAAGATTTCTTACATTACTGGAATATTAAAGAATATTAGATATGTACTAAATGTGCATCTACAAAAAATAGTGCAAAATAATCCTAAAGCCCTAAATCCTGACCTGCAAGAAGCTTATGTTAGAAAAAAGTAACATCAAAATGAATCCATTGCCAACCTCTGCACTTCAGCCTTGAAAACTTCCAGACCTTTCAGTCCTGTTTTCTTCCACATATTTAGACTATTTCCTTCAAAATCACTTGGATATGACTTCATTTCCTTCCTTTCAGTTTCTGCAATCTCCATCCTGGTCCACAAAATCATCATTTCTTGCTACAAATATCTCTAGGAGCCCTAGTACCTACTTTTATTTATGGATTAATTAATCTTAAACCCAGTGGCAAGAAATTTTTCCCTAACCATGCAACTTTCCTTCTTAGAAATCTGCTCTAGTTCCCAATTACATAATCATGAAACTTAATCTCCTTAGCTTTTAGGATCCCTAAAATGACCAGCCTTTTCAATCAATCAGTTAGTAATGTAATTGTCATTTCCTCTATCTGCTAGCTTTCCTTTCCCACCCTAGTTAGTTAAACCTGTTTGTACTTCCTTGAACCACCACTTGGGATTTTGCACATACTCAGACCTCTCCTGCGTAGGCAGATCAACCCTGAAGCTAACAAATCTTAAGCTTCAGGGCCTTGCTTGCACCAGCTAAGACCTTATGCCTAACTTTGCATTTGTTTTCTTAAGGAGGACCCTTATATAAATTGTATAAGCTTCACTTCCCACAAAATCAAGATCCACTCCAGGCTTTCTCCTTTATTATTTCACCTAGGTGTGGACATCTACTCAGTTCAGAATGTTCTTAGGATATACACACATGCCTGTTCATTCTCTCTCTCTCTCTCTCTCTCTGAACTATGTATTGCACTTGTGTCTGTTATCAGTTTTAGGAGCCTGAGGGTTTTCCTCCCTCCAATTGTGCTATCTTTCCCATTAGATGATATCATAAGCCATTCTAAAGTAGGGACTATTTCTTATTTATATTCTGTAAGAGTACTGAGTACCAGAATATAAGAGCATTGGTTTAATATTTTAACATATTGAACAAACATGTTTACCAACTGCTTCTTGAGGAAGCTTGAAAATGGTTTACTTATAAGTGTCTATTTTAAAAATTATTAGAGGCTAAACCTATAATTTCACAATAGCAAGATCATTCAAATAGAAATCAAAACAAACATTCATAGAACATGTTCATTGCTGTATCTTTAACCCTAGCATGGGCGGGTAATAAATACTTTTTGAGGCCACATGCAGTGGTTTATACCTGTTATTCCAGCGTTTTGGGAGGCTGAGGTGGGAAGATTGCTCGAGCCCAAGAGTTTGAGACATGCCTGGCCAACAAGGTGAAACCCCATCCCCACTAAAAAAAAAATACAAAAATTAGCAGGGCCTGGTGGCAGGCACCTGTAATCCCAGCTACTTGGGAGGCTGAGGCAGGAGAATCGCTTGAACCTGGGAGGTGGAGGTTGCAGTGAGCCCAGATCACACCACTGCACTCCAGCCTGGGCAATAGAGCGAGACTTCATCTTGAAAAACAACCAACCAAACAAACAAACAAATAAACTTTTTGAATAAATTATACATAAGTCAGGACTTGGAGTGAGAACAGAGAGACTTTCTCATTGGTTTATGTAACTGAAAAGCCAGAGGCTTTCACTGGCTCCCGGCACAGCTGGATCCAGAAATCAGTCTCTTCCCCCATTTGGTGCTTCTTTCTTCTGCATTGAATTCACCCTCAGGCAGGTCTACTTCATGCAGTTGCATGATGACCTTCAGCACCTCTAAGCATCCTATTGGTTCAGAAGCCACAGAATAAAAAATCAAAACAAAACTTTCCCAAAATTTCCAACAAAAGTTGCAAAATTGAGTCTCACTGGGCTGACCTTAGGCACAACCTAAGTCATGTGTCCCTGCTGACCTGTGCTTAGAATAGACATGCAACTTTGGGGATGGGGAGGGGAGTGAACCTCATTGAGACTATGGATTGAGAGAGTGGTTAGAGGTGATTCTCTAGAGGGAAATTGAGATGCTGCTTCCAAAAGAAGGGAACAGATGCTGGGTAGGCAAAAATGGCCATACCTGCCTCCTGGCCCTCACGTAGCTTTTGATCTAGTTGGAGAGGAAAAGACAAACGCCTGAAAAACTAAATAACAATATAAATAGATACGTAATAGATATGTAAGTAGTATTGCACAGCAAACAAATGGTGCACTCACATGTGTGAGTAGGAATGAGATCATCCTGAAGAAGTCCTTAAAAACGAATTCTAAAAAGCACCTATATAAAGTATCTTTGTCATTCTAGGCCACTTCCATTTCTTTACAGAAAAAAATGACGAATACTTAAAAAGAAACAAAAATTTCTATAAATTGATGGTTGGGGTATAATTTGGTAGAACCACTGTAGAAAATAGTTGGGGATTACCTCGTAAGGTTGAATATATGTGTCGTCTGTGACCCAGTGGCCCCACCCGTCAGTGTATGTCTTAGAGAATTGCTTTCATAAGTGTACAAGAATATCCAATGTCTTTATCATCAGCACTGAACATAGTCACAAGCCAGAGGTTGCGCCAGACATGCACAGCTGTGTCATTAGCCACTGTGTTCCATGCATTGGCAACAGCATATACAGCATCCTTCACACTAAACTCCTTTTGAAAACCTTCCACACCCACTTCTTTTCACTGCTTCTAGCATGCTATTCAATAAAGTGTTTTTGTATTTACTCCTCATTCACCTAAGCATACCCTGGTTTCATGGCTGAATTAATGCAGTCACATATGGGGGAAAGTACATGGCATAGACATTATTTCTGAGAATTTCAGCTGGAGA
The DNA here is from genome assembly GCF_000001405.40 of Homo sapiens. NCBI lineage: Eukaryota > Metazoa > Chordata > Mammalia > Primates > Hominidae > Homo > Homo sapiens. Next base: position 94,657,131 of record NC_000013.11, on the reverse strand, counting down.
ATGAGATTATTTGTCAAGGAACAACAAAATCTTGCAGTCACCATCCAGTCCAGCCTCCCTGCGGTGAGCACAAGCTACTGGCAAAAAATGTTTGTGAAACCAAAAAGAAAAAAAAAAAAAAAAGTCCCTGGTGACTCATACCTTTCTGTAAGCATACTAATGGACTGGTAAGAAATTCACTCCTTGAAAACAGCAAGGATGCAAGTATTTTACTATTACAGCAAGTTTACATTTATGCATGCCTGCTGCATTAACACATCCCAGCACATTTGTTCTGTCCTTGGCCTTCTTAATCCTGTAAGGGCTGTCTCATCAGCTGTAGTCAGTGTCTTTCTGGGGCAATAAAATTGAAACAGTGATGTTTCATCAGCATTACAGACTTGTTCAGCATCAGGTTTTCATCAGTGATGACCTTGGCAAACTCATCAATGAATTTCTTATTTTTATTTATTATTGTTTTTTAATTTATTATTTATTTTTATTTATTTCTCACTTTGTCATCCAGGCTGGAGTACAGTGGCATGAATACAGCTCACTGCAGCCTCAGCCCTCTGGGTTCAAGTGATCCTCCCAACACAGCCTTCCAGTTAGCTAAGAAGATGAGTGCCTGCCACCATGCCCAGCTGATTTCTTAAAATTATTTTTTGTAGAGACAGGTTCTTGCCATGTTGCCTAGGCTGGCCTCGAACTCCTAGGCTCAAGCAATCTTCCCACCTTGGCCTCCCAAAGTTCTGGAATTACAGGCATAAACCACAATGCCCAGCCCATGCATCAGGGAATATCTTTGCTGCTTCATCAGCAGCAGATGCTTTATCACCACAAATATTTAAATGTTTAATGCTGTGTCTTTTCTTATATCTGCAACCAGCCTATTGAATATTCACAAATCCCTTCAATTTTCAGTTCATCATGATAGATATTTGCTTGTTTCATGATCAGCATACCAATAAGTGGCATGTGTCCACCATAATGCAGACAGATCCACACTTTCAATACACCATCAAGATCTTCATTTTTAGTTTTAGGCAGTTTCTCTATTTTTCAATTTCTGTTCATCATTTTCAACACAGAACTTCAACAGTTCATCCTTCTGTTTCTTCAGGTCCTATATAGTGGTCACTCCAATATCATACTCTCCTGTAAGATGCTTCTCACTTACACAGCTGTCCAGTTTCTCCAACATCTTGACTGTCTATGCTACAGATAAACATAAATGCTTTTTCTTATCACTGTTACCCAGAGGGATTCTGCAGGCCTTTTTTTTTTTTTAGCACTTTCAACAATATCTTTACACTGTAGAACACAGAATAAGTTAAAAAAACAGGCCAGGCATGGTGGCTCACATCTGTAATCCCTGCACTTTGGGAGGCCAAGGTGGGCGGATCACCTGAGGTCAGGAGTTCAAGACCAGCCTGACCAACATGGAGAAACCCTGTCTCTACTAAAAATAAAAAATTAGCCGGGCATCGTGGTACATGCTTCTAATCCCAGCTACTTGGGAGGCTGAGGCAGGAGAATCACTTGAACCCGGGAGGTGGAGGTTGTGGTGAGCCGAGATTGCGCCATTGCCCTCCAGCCTGGGCAACAAGAGTGAAACTCCACCTCAAAAAAAATAAAACAAAACCAAAAACAGAGTGAGTAACGCACATAGGTCGTGGCCCCAAGTGGGGCATCATGGGGAACCTGCCCATGGAGCATCCACCCTGCACATATACCATTTTATTACCCTTTGTGGGTGTGTTTGCATGGGGGAATTTCAGTGTGTGTTAAAAAGATACATCACAGCTGAAAGAGGGTGGGAGGGTCTTTTTCCTTTGGGGACACTGAGTAAATTCTATGTGTGGCCTTTGTTTTGACTGCAACCTGTCACATGAGGCCCAATGTGGAATTTTTTACTTGTGGTGTCACATTGGCACACAAAAAGTTTTGGATTTAGGAGCATTTGGAATTTTGGGTTTTTGGATTAGGGATGCTCAACTTGTAGTATATTCATACAATGAAATACTGTACAGTGGTGAAAAATGAAAGAACTACAGAGACACACAACAACAAAATGTATCTTGAAAACCTGACTGAAGAAGTCACATCCAGTATAACACCATTTTTACAAAGCTCAAAACCATGAAAAATGAAACAATATGTTGTGTAGGGGTATTGTTGTCTCTATATAAAATATTACACAATAAAAGGTTTTAAGTGCCTTCAGTCATAGCTTCAGGAGTCAAAAAAGGTAAAAATAAAAAAGAAAAAATCCATAAACTCCTATATTTGTGCTTCCTGAAAAATTTGTTTATGGATTATTTTCTTCGAAAGGAAAAAATCCTCTCAGTTTTGTTATCCATTTAATATATTTTTAAAAAGTGATTGTAGAGAATTTTTAATCTATAACAGTAGACAGAGTAGAACAGCAAAGCCCCATGTACTTATCACCTAGCTCTAGCAGATATTAACCCATGGTAGTTCTTCCCCATCTACACCTCCATCGACTATCCCTACCCTGTGTATTAAGTTGAAGCAAATATCCATGCATCATCATTTCATAATGACACTCATCCATACACATTTCAGTATATAGCTCCAAAAGTGACACTCTTAAGAAACCCACAATATCATTCTTACACTTTTTGAAAGCCACAATTCCTGGCTGGGCGCGGTCGCTCATGCCTGTAAACCCAGCACTTTCTCAGGCTGAGGAGAGCAGATCAACTGAGGTCGGGAGTTCAAAACAAGCCCGGCCAACATGGTAAAACCCCTTCTCTACTAAAAATACAAAAGTTAGCCAGGTGTGGTGGCACTCGCCTGTAGTCCCAGCTACTCGGGAGGCCGAGGCAGGAGAATCACTTGAATCCAGGAGGTGGAGATTTCAGTGAGCCAAGATCGAACCGCTGCGTGCCAGTCTGTGTGAGAGAGTAAGACTCTGTCGCAAAAATAAATAAATAAAAAGCCACAATTCCTTAACATCATAAAAAATACCTAGAATTCAAATTTGCAATTATCTCTTTTATGTCAAAAAGTTGTTTTGGTAGGGTTTTTTTGTTTTTAGTTTTTGTTTTTGAGACAGAGTCTCACTCTGTCGCCCAGGCTGGAGGGCAGTGGCACAATCTTGGCTCACTGCCACTCCGCCTCCCGGGTTCAAGCGATTCTCCCGCCTCAGCCTCTGGAGTAGCTGGGACTACAGGCATGCCCCACCACATCTGGCTAATTTTTGTATTTTTAGTAGAGACAGGGTTTCACCATGTTGGCCAGGCCGGTCTCAAACTCCCGACCTCAAGTGATCCACCTGCCTCCGCCTCCCAAAGTGCTGGGATTACAGGCATGAGCCACCGCACCCGGGTGTTTTGGTAGTTTTTTAAAAGCAAGATTCAAATAAGGGACACTTTTTCTTTTTTTTTTTTTTTTTGTTTGGTCTAGTTGATATGTCTGTTGTGTCTTTATTGTTTTATTTTGCTTTTCTGTAGTCATCTTCCATTTCTTTTTTCTTTGCAATTTTTTTTAATTGAACAATCTAAGTTGTTTTGTCCTGTAGAGTTTCTCTTCTTCTGCATTTTGCTGATTGCATCTTCTGATAAGTCTATCCTGTTCCTTTGTCTTCTGTTTTTCTAGGAAATTGAACATTGGATCTAGAGACTTGATCAAGTTCAGGCTGTATTCTTTGACAAGCCCACTTTGTTGGGTGGTTGTATCCTTGTATCAAAAAGCACATGATCTTTGGTTATTTTTGTGATGTTAGCAGGCACTGATGTTGAATGCGTAGATCCATTCATTATTTGGAGTTGCAAAACAGGAATAGTTTCTTGTCCCATCCCTTCTTCATTTATTAGCTGAAATACTTGTATAAAGAGAAATGTCTGCTCATTCACTAGTACAGTTTATGCACGGAAGGCATGATAAATGTTTGATTATTTTTCCCTTTATCAATCTTCAAAATTATGATTTGGTTTCCTTCAGTGACTATCATTTTTGGTATCATTATGAACTAATGTATTTAACATGTTTGATGCATTTCAATTCATTGCAGTAATTATTCTTGTCCTTCATTCTTTTTTTTTTCTGTATTATTTTTTATCCAGTGGAAGCAGTTACTATTTTTACTGATGCTGAAGTTCCCGCATTTTTGGTTATTGGGAGCCTTTTCAAACTGACCCCTAAGTCCATTAGACAAGATCCCAGTAATCTTTGATTATGTCCTTTCTTTCTGGTTTGACAAGATGTTCTGGCATCATCTTATAAATTTCCTGCTCCAAACCTGTGATACATGCAGCTGGCATCCTAGGTGCTAGAGGTGCTCACTGTTATGGGGCTCACCATTGTTTCTTGGTTTTTGCAGTGGACGGCACTAGGAAAGTATACATATTAAAAATAAACTATGTGTAGAGTTCACAGCAATACTTCTAGTTTAAATTCAGAGCTACAGGGTTTTACTCTGTCTTGGCCGTCTTTTATTGGTAAGTTTCTTTTTCCTTGTTAAGAATGGTGGTTCTCAAAACATTTAATATTTAGTTTAAAAAACTTGCTTTAGTAGTTGATCATTTTTACTAATTAATAAATTTAATTGGCGATGTTTCAGTTTTTGTCACAGTTCTAATTAAACTCCCTTAAAAAATTATCATAAACATAGGATTATTTTCCTAAAGAAAATTTTAAATTATAATATTTTATATCTAAGTAGTTCAAAACATTATTGGGACATTTCATGTCTTTTCTAGTAGTGTTAGTAATATGTAATGTTGGTAATGTTAGTATTTTACAGTTTGGGGTCTGAAAGTCCAAAAAATGATTTTTGACTTTTGAATAGTCAATAGTCACCCAGCTTGCTTTGTTTAAACACTCCATGTTTTGTTCATGTAGAATGTGATACTAAATCAGAAAACTTATCTAGTCTTGCATTTTAAAAAGTGTTTTGTAAGAGAGCTTAGTGATGGCTTAGAATGGCATCATCATATGAAAAGATAGGCCCAAACATTCAGTTGCTTCTAGTAACATAAACATATTATCAACCCTAACTAGCAGGTTAGTGGGGAGCTAGGATTAAATGCCAGTCTAGGATTAAATGCTTGAAGGGTGCTTCCCAAGTAGGCTCTTCTCACTTCTCTCTTCATAAAAATATAGGAATTGAACAACTTGTCCAAAGTCACACCATTACTTGATAGAGCTGGAGAGATCCTTGACTATAAAAGGCCAATGTCCATGCGTGTTCTTTCCACCAAGACAAACTGTTGTGATTTTAAAGTATGTGAACTATACATTTGACTAGATCTCTACATACTCATCCTTTATCTTATGTGTGTGCATATATATATACACATCTACATGTGTATATGTGCATAAACATATACATACATATATACATATGCACACACATATATAAAAAACATAAGGGATGAGTATGTAGAAGGCTAAGCATGTATACTACTCACAGGTATAACCAATACATAAACATGGCTGACACAGCTTCTTCAGATAATGAGTGCTATATATTTACTACAGGTTTTAACAATTTGTCTTTGAAGTACATGCTTAATTTGGATCATAAATCCAAAGGCCAAGTTTACTTTCCAGTCTTGACCTTGTTTAATTCTTGGCTTGTGCTCAAGAAATATTAAATTGTGGCCATATCATACCATGCCACCCTGAATGCATCCAAGATCAGACAACATTGTCTGATCTGGGAAGGTTAGCAGACTTGGTTAGTACTTTGATGGGAGATCGCCTGGGAATACCAGGTGCTGTAGGTTAAAAAAAAAAAAAGTAGCCATGGCCGGCGCGGTGGCTCATGCCAGTAATCTCAGCACTTTGGGAGGCTGAGACAGGTGGATCACTTGAGGTTAGGAGTTCGAGACCAGCCTGGCCAACATGGTGAAACCCCGTCTCTACTAAAAATACAAAAATTAGCTGGGCACAGTGGCACATGCCTGTAATCCCAGCTACTCAGGAGGCTGAGGCAGAAGAACTGCTTGAACCCGGGAGGCAGAGGTTGCAGTGAGCCGAGATTGTGCCGCTGCACTCCAGCCTGGGCGACAGAGCGAGACCCTGTCTCAAAAAAAAAAAAAAAAATTGGCCATAATGTTACAAGAAACAAAGTGAAAAACTCAAAATCAAAAGTCATATCAAGGGAAAAATTAAATAGGTCATTTATCGAAAAGTAAGCCAACAGTCATTCTGATCTCAAGTTTTCCAAGCAAAATAGATTGTAAGAAAAAGAACAATGATCCAATTAGGGTATTGTTAAACATACTACAGTAAACGTTCTGATTTCTATAATCTTTACTTACATAGCTGTCTAATGGAGCAAAATCTAGCCCTTGTACTATATATTCCTGAGGCAAGGTAGGCAACTCAATTCTAGCATTTCAGCCATTAACTTTAAATTTCTTACAACTCTAATATCTACTGGATGTACTTGTTGGCAAACCTGTTAGCTTTTCAAATATATTACACGTCATACCTAGTAACTATGAGGACTCATTTGTCACAATCTGGCTAAAGAAACTGGTGCTAAATTTTGTGCTTCTGGGTAGATGAAAGGAAAGTGAGCTAAAGTGTACAATTCCAACACCATTCCACAAATGTGGAAGCCAAAGGGTGAATACTAAAAAAAATGAAATGAGACATATCTGAAAAGTAGCTGCTGTATTTATGAGCTAATCACACCTCAAAGCATAACATTGTTTTTTTAAAAAATAACAGAAGCAATAAAATCCTATTATGGATTAATCTCATGCCAAATTTTGTTTTTGAATCAAATCTATTTTGAGCTAAAGAAAATACAAAAATGCAAATGAGGGCCCTGATCCTCCAGATCTTGTGAACATGTAAGGGCTGATACACTTCAAAGATTTTTTTTTAACTCATAAATTTAAATCATTATACGACACAGCAAAACATACTTATTTGTAAACCTTTTAATTTTGTATTCCATGTAAAGTTTCAGCCTAATAGAGGTCTTTAGGAGAGAGAGTTTTAAAAATCCTAAAATTAGATGTTTGCTCAATACATACTGATTTAATTTCTCAACAGTGTCCTATGCTCCTAGAGCGCGAGTGAGAATTCAGTTGTTTCACAAGACAAGCAAAGCTAAACGACAACAGCAAAACCATGTTTGAAAAGAGTCGGTGCCATCAAATATGCAGCCCCATCCTCTTCAGATACACACACCACTTGAACACAAAGGGTGAGAGAGTTCATGGACCAGTTGTTTGTGCAATATTCCCCTGTGTGCTTTCTCCATCTGGGATGAAATATTCATTAGTAGACCTAAACAAACTCTTCAGAACATTTTTATCTCAAAGTGAGAAAATGCTATTCAAACAGGCTGCTAATGAAGCCATCCACCATCTTGTTTGATGTTGCCCTTGTAGAAAGAGTGTCTCAAAGGCTTCAGGCAGTGCCTCCTCTCAGTTGGCAACTGTTTTAACCTTTGTAGGGCAGTTGTGTAGCTTTAACACAGGCTTTTCCTATAAAATGCCAACACACGTGCTGTAAATGTAAATATGGCGATATTCACCAACATCAACTGTGTAGTATCAGGCATCACATAAACTATATTTTACTGCATGAGGTTCACTCTGTAGCAGTACATAATAACATATCATTATAAAGATACTTTTTCTTAAAATTCAAAGTGTAAGAAAGAATGTGTTTTAGTTTCTGTCCTGAAGCCAGAGAATCCATTAGCATTGGGGAATAAATGTATACTGTTGGCAAAATATGTAAAAGAAGCATTTTGTACATATACCTTTCACAAGAATATCTCACACTACCTGCAAGCAAATATGTAATGTGAAATAATTTTATATTATTTCAAGATGTGTGTGTATATGTGTGTCATAGACACAAAACAATAAGTGAAGTGAAAGCATATAAGATGAAATTTTTACATTAAGATTGTAACGATGCAAAGACATTTTAAGATGCTCTTGTCATCCATGCAATTACAACTTTTGTTCCATTGGGTGACTACAGTGATTAGGAAGATGATTTTGTAGGATTTGAGCTGACACAAAATGTGTGTCAGAGCCCATAGGTACTATGTAGAAAGTCACCAAATACAGTATTCTCTACCACATGACACAGATATTTCAAACAATATTCATTTGAAGACAAAACTCAATATTTAACCCCAATGAAATTGCCCTTCTTCATGTACTTTCTGTTTTAATTCATGACACACTCTCTGTGGTAGGCAGAATTCTAAGATGCCCCCCAGGGACCCACACTTTCGAGTATAAGCAGGACCATGAATGTGATGAGAGAGCGCTCCAGTGATACCCCGTGTGGCAAAAGTGAAGGGATCGTGCAGATGTAATTCAAGTCCCTCCCCAGCTGGCCTTGAGTTAATCAAAAGAGAGATAAGCCTGAGTGGGCCTGATCTAATCAGGTGAGCCCTTTAAAGAAGGTCTAGAAGTAAACTAAACTCTAGAAGTCAGAGAGATTCTCCTGCTGCCCCTGAAGAAGTAAACTGCTGTGCTGAGAGAGGACCTGGGAGAGGGCCACATAGCAAGGAACTGGGAGCAGCCTCTAGATGCTAAGAGTGGCCGTGGCTGACAGCCAGTAAGAGAACAGGGACTGAATTCTGCTAACAACCACATAGGCTTGGAAGAACATTATGGGCTGCAGAAAAGAACACAGCCACTCTGACACCTTTGTTGAAGCTTTGTAAGACCCAGGGAAGAGGACCCAGCTCACTTGAGCCCAGGAGTTCAAGAGCAGCCTAGGCAACATAGTGAGACCTCATCTTCACAAAAATTTTTTAAAATGACGCGGGAAGCTCATATGAGCCCGGGAGGTTGAGGCGGTAGTGAGCTGTGATTGTGCTACAGCACTTTTGCCTGGGTAACAGAGCGAGATCCTGCCTCAAAAATAAATAAGTAAATAAGAACTAAAAAATAGGCCAGGCAGGGTGGCTCATGCCTGTAATCTCAGCACTTTCAGAGGCCAAGACAGGCGAATGGCTTGAGCCCAGCAGTTCAAGATCAGCCTGGCCAACATGGTGAAATCCTGTCTCTACCAAAAATACAAAAATTAGCCAGGTATGGTGGCAGGCACCTAAAGTCCAAGCTACTCCAGAGGCTGAAGCACAAGAATCACTTGAACCCAGGAGGCAGAGGTTACAGTGAGCCAAGATTGCAGCACTGCACTCCAGCCTGGGTGACAGAGCGAAACTCTGTCTCAAAAATAAATACATAAATACATGAGTAGAATTTGTATTCCTTAGTCTGTTATTCAAAAGGCTTTTTGATTGACCACCTTGCTAGCCTCTTCTGGCACTCTCCAACTTGTGTCCTGCCCTCTGGCCTTACCAAACAACATGTATTTCCCCAAATAAGCTCATTCAGACCTCTGCTTTGCATGGGCCATTTAGTTTGCTTAGAATGCCCTTCCTTCCTTGGGCCTTCTGGTAAACTTCCTGGCTCATTCTTCAAGATTCCAATATCTTCACCTTGCCTTTCATCACCATGAAGCCCTCTCTGTCCACCATCAAAACCCTGCAGTTGCTTTCTCCAGTCTTTCCATTAAACTGTGTGCAGAACTCCTCTGGTACTTACTCACTGTAATGCCTGTGTCTGATTCCATGCCTATCTGTTACCTGTAAGAGCTTCCTGAGGACAGAGCCTCCATCCCCTTTCTCATTCCTTTGTATCTTCACCTCTAACACACCCCTTGGGACATAGCAAGCAGTGAGTAAAACTTCACGAATGAAAGAAGATATAGTAGGAACTCAATAACAACATCAAATGTTATTTATGAAACTTCTAAAAATGCTTGGCATTGTACAAAGTGCTATGTAAAGTTTAAAAGGTACAATGAATTGACATCATAAACTAATATTGCTGATAAAGATAAACCATGAAAACACTACAAGCAGGAAGGAAATTAAAACAAACTAAAATTAACAGCAGAAATACTATTACATTTGTGCTGTGAATAAATGAGTGTACTGCAAAGTAAAAAAGTTAATTTGGGCATGAAACCGAAATCCAGAATTGAATAAGAAGTACAGAATTTCACTACAGAGGGGAAAGGCTACTATCCTGGCATCCTGCCCTTTCTCTCGTTTGCTGTCCTATAAAACTCACCTAGTGCCTACTACATGCCAGATGGAGTGCCCAATAAAACAGGTCCACTCCAGTCTAGCGGAACTTTTAGTGAAGATGCATTTCTGTTATGTTACCTTCCCCTTGATGAAAGAGGCTACTTGCCTTTAAAAATCTTTAAGAAACGATTTAGCATTGTTTATAAAAATGAAAAATCCACATGTCTAGGAATTCGTTAAGTAAGTTATGTTCACACAGTGGAATAGTGTTCAGGCATTTTAACTGGTGCTAAAAATTAATATATCCTGCACATGATGAAATAATATTATAGAATTATCCCATTTAATATGTGCATGATATTTATATTATACTTAACCTTAAGGGGGAAAATCTGCAAGAATATATACAAATTTATTAACAGTAGTGTCTAGTTGGTAGAGATAGGTTTTTCTGTTTTTTGCTTGTAATATTCTTTGCTTGATTATACTTTCTAATTTTCCCCTATTAAACTCCTCTAATTTTCTTGTGTATTTAGTTTTACAATGGAGTAAGAGAAAAAAGGAATTTTCAATTAAAATGAAAAAATACTTCTTTTTCCTTTGAGACAGGGTCTCTGTCACCCAGAGTGGAGTGCAATGGTGTGATCATGGCTCATTGCAGCCTTGACCTCCTGGGCTCAGGTGATCCTCCCACCTCAGTCTCCCAAACAGCTGGGACTAATTTTTTAAAATTTTTGTATATTTCATATTTGCCCAGCTAATTTTTGTAGTTTTTGTAGAGATGGGACTCACTATGTTGCTCAGGCTGGTCTCAAAAACTCCTGGGCTTAAGCAATCCTCCCACCTCAGCCTCTCAAATTGCTGCATGTAGCCATTAGGAAGTCATTTTTCCCATTAGCCAACTTAATTAGGCTGGTGGTCATCTTTCAACAAATATCTATTGAGTACCTATTATGTGTTAGGCTTCCTGCTAAGTTTTGAGAATAGACTAGTGATACAGTTCTTGCCCTCAAGGAGCTCAAAGCGTAGAGAAGAGGAAGAAAATGGAAAATTGAAGTGCAGTATGGCAAGGCAAGAACCACAGGAGCATAAGGGAGGGGTATCTAACCCACCTGGGAGCTAGGGGAGCCAGAGAGGCTTCCCAGAGGAACTCACACCTAAGGTGAGCCCTGAGGATCAAAAGCCAAAGGATTCTTATTAATCATTTCTTAAAAATTAACAAACAGCTTCCTTCCTTCCATAGTTGATGAGAGCCTAAATGAATGAGGATGTGTACTGACTTAGAGTTTTTCTTTCATGGATTCCATTAAGTAATACTCTCAGATGTCCTGTGGTCCCCAACTCAGGGCTGAGAGAGGCTCTCAGTGGCCAGTTGTCCTTTCCTTTGCTTCCGGTAGCACCATCAGCATTGGACTATGGCGACTGACTTTTGGCAGGGGGGAGCATGCCCAATCACTAAGTTCTTTCTAAAAGTCTAACCTAAATTGCTTTTACCATAGTTTTGAATTATTGCATATAATTCTGTTATCTGTGAAATATAAAAGAGCTATGTCCTCCATATCACACACTTCCCCTTCATTTACTTAAAAAAAAAATAGAATCATGGTCTTGCTCTGTTGCTTAGGCTGGAGTGCAGTAGGGTGATATCATAGCTCACAGCAGCTCTAACTCCTGGGCTCAAGTGATCCTCCCACCTCAGCCTCCCGAGTAGCTGGAACCCAGGCGCTTACCACCATGCCCAGATATATATATGATGTTGGTTACATGGATGTATACATCTATCAGAATTCACCAAGATGTATACTTAAGATCCATGCATTTTACTCTAGGTAAACTTTACCCAAAAATATTTTTTTAAAGATGGCATTGTAATCACAGCTATGAAGGGAGCTGACAAACAAAGTTGTTCCACATAAGATGGGGGCATAACTAACTAGGCACAAGGCATAGAAGCAAAATTCATATTGGACTTAAAATCCAATAACTAAGTTATAGACTAGTGATACAGTATATCACTAGTGTATACTAGTATAGACTATACTAGTCTACGAGTGTGTATATATATACTTGTAGAGATGGAGTCTCACTATGTTGCCAGTCCGGTCTTGAACTCCCGGGCTCAAGCGATCCTCCCACCCCAGCCTTCCAAAGTACTGGGACTGCAGGTGTGCGCCACCTCGCCCAGCCTCATTTACATTTTTGTTTTTAAGAAGTCCCCTCAGCCTTTTCTTTAATCCTTGTAACTATCTGTCGTTTTACATTTCCTCATAGGATCTACTTTACATTGTTTTAGCTAATTTTCTTCTACTCTCTTCAATAGTCCTCTCAAAATATTAAAATCCAATTTAATCTAACATTCCACTGGGTTTAGCCTAGCTAGACTAAGTAAAACAAAATAATACATTTCCAGTTCTTCCATGTAATGCTTCCATTTAACATATTCAGGTCTTGTAGAGTAAAATCTACTCTATAACTTAGTCATTGGATTTTAAGTCCAATATGAATTTTGCTTCTATGCCTCGTGCCTAGTTAGTTATGTCCCCATCTTATGTGGAACAACTTTGTTAGCTCCCTTCATAGCTGTGATTACAATGGCATCTTTAAAAATATTTTTAGGTAAAATTTACATAGAGTAAAATGTATGCATCTTAAGTGTACATTTTGGTGAATTTTGATAAGTGTATATATCCATGTAACCAATATTCAGTCAAAATAAGAATATTTCTAGCACCCCAGAAAGTTCTCTTGTGTCCCCTTCCAATCAGCTCTCACTGCTCTTATTTCTATCACCATAGATCAGTTTTGCCTGTTCTGGTCTTGGTTCTGCTTCTATGTGACCACGTGTTTTCAGCAAATTTTTATCCCTGGAGGCTTTAGATTCCTGGTCAGTAAAATAAGGGGATTATTTTAATAGAACCTCTAAGACTCCTTTTCAGATCTAAGATTTTTTTTCTTTTTTTTTTTTTGAGACAGAGTCTCACTCTGCCATCCAGGCTAGACTGCAGTGGTGTGATCTTGGCTCACTGCAACCTCTGCCTCCTGGGTTCAAGAGATTCTTCTGCCTCAGCCTCCCGAGTAGCTGGGACTACAGGCGCACGCCACCACTCCTGGCTAATTTTTCTATTTTTAGTAGAGATGGAGTTCCACCATATTGGCCAGGCTGGTCTCGAACTCCTAACCTCGTAATCTGCCCGCCTCAGCCTCCCAAAGTACTGGGATTACAGGCATGAGCCACTGCACCCAGCCCAGGTCTAAGATTTTAAGAATTGCCACTCTGATCTGATCAAAATAGTCAAATGTTTAGGATAAAATGTTTCACATCCCCTTGCTGCACTCTAGCACTTAGGGAAGATGCTAGGGCTGTCAAAGTACTCTTCTATGCACTTGTAAAAAAATGACTAGAAAAGAAAAAATAAAAAAATAAAAATAGGCCAGGCGCGGTGGCTCACACCTGTAATCCCAGTACTTTGGGAGGCTGAGGTGGGCAGATCACCTGAGGTCAGGAGTTCAGGGCCAGCCTGACCAACATGGTGAAACCCTGTCTCTATTAAAAATAAAAAGTTAGCCAGGTGTGGTGGTGCATGCGTGTAATAATACCAGCTACTTGGGAGGCTGAGGCAGGAGAATCACTTGAACCTGGGAGGCGGAGGTTGTAGTGAGCTGAGATTCCACCATTGCACTCCAGCTTGGGCAACAAGAGCAAAACTCCATCTCAAAATAAATAAATAAATAAATAGATGATAATCTTTGATTTTTAAATATTAAAATTCTTTTACAATTTTTCTTATTACAAAGAGTAAAACATGATCTTTGTAGAGTATTTGGAAAATGAAGAAAAGGATAAATAAGAAAATCTAAATTCCACCACCCTGAGATAATCATCAAGATTTGGTTGCATTTTTTCAGTTCTTATATAATACTATATATAGTAGCACAAAGTTGGAATTGGAGAGTATTGGCATATATGAAGTTTTCATTTTTTTTTAACTTAACATTTATTTTATCATGGCAATTTGTACATCAGCATTCTTCAAAAATGTCTTTGCAGGGTGGATTGGAACAATTTGGAAAAAGAAAATGTTGGATCCCTACCTGACCCTTTACACAGCGGTTCTTGAGTCTGGTTGTACATCTCAAGTCACTTGCAGAAATTCAGAAACAATACAGTGACCACACCCCACCCTCAGAGATTCTCGACAAATTAGTCTGGGATGGAATCTAGGCATGAATATTTTTTTTCTCATGTGATTCTAATGCATAGCCTGGATAAGAACTATTGTTTTATATAAAAATAAATTCCAAGTAGATTAAAGATTGATTGTAACAATTGAAGCCATGGCATTAGTGTATACAGATGCCAGTGAAGATGGAATCTTGGGTACTGAAGAAAACCAAACGCAGGAACCCCAGAGGAAAATATTCACATACTTGATTATATGAAAGCTTTAAATTTCTGTATGCCAAAACAATCATATAAAAAACTGAAAAGCAAATCACAAAGCAGGAAAAATATTTTCAATATGCATTGTAGGCACAGTTCTTAGCAAGTGTAAAGAAAAAGATGAAGAACTAACAGAAAAGGCCAAGCATACGCAAATAACCCAGAAAAAAGTCATTATATATAAGGAGATAAAAAGCATTTCCTTTTCAAATAAAAAATAAGCTGATCTTCACTTCAGAATCTATTCCTCCTTTTCTGACTCCTCCTCCGCCACCACCTCCGCCCCCACCACTTATAACCCAGAGGCTGTACAGTAGTGTTTACATTCCTGCCCAGAAGCTCCCTAAAAAAAAAAAATCAAACTCAAGGCAGATATATTAAAACTAAAACATGAATATATAAAGAAGAAAGTCACACTGGACGCATAAAGATCTCATAAAACCAGAGGCAAAGGAACGTAGCATCATGTTATTACTGCCTGAGTCCAGCTTTGCACAGGTTCAACTTGCAATAAAAGGAAGTCTTTTCAATCTGCTCTAGTGACTTTACCCTTATTAGAATGCATACTCATTATTTTCTGATTACTCCTCTACATAAAACATATCATTTTGTACCTTGGTTTCCACACCCCTAGTATGGTATTTATATTTTATCTCTAAAGATTGTAATAAATCACTTCAAACACAATAACCCATTTAAGAATGGATTTCATAGGCAACAAGGTGCACCTTTAGTGATGTGATTGCAATCATCAGATGCTCCAATTCTCCTGAAGCATGTATTATACAGTGTGTACACAAATGCTGCAGCAGTGTAGAAGAGGCTATTACAGGCTGAGTGAGTCAACTCAACTCAGTATGTACTTCCTAGTTTCAGGATGTATCCATAGGAACCCTTTGAAATGTTTTGTTTTATTAATTTGGCTCCTTTCTAGTTTTCACTAGAGCCAATGTTTTCGAGATAATGCAGTTTAGACATGTCACAGCTGTTGAAATTCAGCATAAGCTTGAGCTGACAGTGGTGTATCATCAAGAATCAGAAAAACTAAAACAACATTATGATAAAGAGGAGAAGTATGAAAAATACGGAGAAGACAAAGGGCAGGAAATATTGCCTTACCGACTTAAAGCAGAGCCCTGGAGGGAAACATCTGGTTTGGAGCAAACAGTGATTCTTTTAGCACACTGAAGAGTTCTCACTGGATAGAGTGAGGAGTGGCTGGATCTGAGAGAGGGGTTCCTGGAAGCTGAAGAGCTGGCAGGAAATGTTGCTCTCTAGAAGGGAATTCATATTTTAAAAGGTGAAAGACCTATGACCTTAAAATCTAGATAGAAGCCATAATCTGTAATTTTTGCTATGTGTTTAAAACCCAACCTTCCTCTGCCAGGAATGTTTTCCATCTTGAATTCTCAGGTTAACTCTATGAACCACTCTACATTCTTTGAAGAACAATCAAAGATAGAATTCACAGGGATTTAAAAGCCTTGTTAGTTTGGAAATATTAAAATTTAACAACTACCAGGTATCATTTATTTCCACAAAAGCTGCTGTCTTTACAAAATGAAATAAAACATAGTCTACTAATTTGACGAGGAACATAAGTTAGATCAATCTGTGGTGTACCCAGAAAGAAACCACTTTGCACTGAAACAATCTGTCTCTTACTTACCCTGGCCCCCTCGCCAAAAAAAAAAAAAAAAAAAAAAAAAGCCTTTTACAAACATTGACTTCTGAGTAAGTCTTAAAAACTAATCTTCTGAAAGATCTATAAGGCTCACAGGCTAGGCAAGAGATTTAAAAGTTTATTTTGTGTGGGAGTAAGTTGGAATGCAGTCATGTGTGAATTAGAATCTTGAACATATCCCAAACACACCTAACTTTCTGTTCTAACCACATATGTATGATTATTTAAAACAAACATTTCATCTCATGCACATTTAAATATTATCTCCACGAACAGACAGATTAGGAAGAACATCAGGCTCGCTGAAAATTTTACACAAAACCTTCAGGTCTATAAACAATGAGCATTGCACTGAGTGGGAACAAGCACCATACATAATCTTTACAACAATTCCATGAGCTCCTAATATCAGAACTCATCTCTCAGATCTGGCCACTTCTCACTCTATCTTGTAGGACCTTTTCCTGTACTAAAAGAATGACTGTTTGCTCTGAAACAGATTACAAATAAGAAAATTGTTGAAAAATGGCACAGCCAAGATTTGAATTCAGGTCTGTCTTGCCACAAAGGCCATGCTCTTTTCCAGTATATCATAATACCTTCTAATTGTGAAAGGTTTCAACATCTTTTATACCTAACCAGCCATATTTTACAGCACCTAGTGGCAATAAATCTGAAATATAAGTGATGTATAAAGCAAAAATTCAAACAGTACAACTTGCCAGGTGTGGTGGCTCACGCCTGTAATCCCAGCACTTCGGGAGGCTGAGGTGGGTGGATCACTTGAGGTCGAGAATTTGAGACCAGCCTGGCCAACATGGTGAAACCCCGTCTCTACTAAAACTACAAAAATTAGCAGGGCGTGGTGGCGGGAGCCTATAATCCCAGCTACTCGGGAGGCTGAAGCAGGAGAATTGCTTGAAACCGGGAGGCAGAAGTTGCAGTGAGCTGAGATTGTGCCGCTGCACTCCAGCCTGGGCAACGGAGCAAGACTGTCTCAAAAAAAAAAAAAAAAACAAAAAAAAAAGAGCTGATTTTAAATAGACTTTTCAAAGCAAACAGATATGACTCGAGAGTGAATCTGAATGTTCTCATTCTTCATACTGCTAGAGATTATACCATATTAAGTATCCGGATTTTTTTTTTTTTTTTGAAACGGAGTCTTGCTCTGCCGCCCAGGCAGGAGTGCAGTGGCATGATCACGGCTCACTGCAACCTCTGCCTCCTGGGTTCGAGTGATTTTCCTGCCTCAGCCTCCCCAGTAACTGGAATTACAGCCACATGCCACCATGCCCAGCTAATTTTTGTATTTTTAGTAGAGACGGGGTTTCACCATGTTGGCCAGGCTGGTTTTGAACCCCTGACATCAAGTGATCCACCCGCCTCGGCCTCCCAAAGTGCTGGGATTACAGGTGAGAGCCAGCGTGTCTGGCCGTTTTTTTAAAAAAATCTCATCAGTTTGGGATGATAAAACTTTCCAAAATGTATTGAATGATGGTTCTACATCAGGAAATCTATTACTGCTGCTCACCATGTTGATAGAACAAAAGAGAATAATTATATCATCATATTCTTGGATGATGAAAAGGCATTAAACAACATTCATTTTTTATTTTATTTAAAAAAATCATGAGTGAACTCCCATTCACAATTGCTTCAAAGAGAATAAAATACCTAGGAATCCAACTTACAAGGGATGTGAAGGACCTCTTCAAGGAGAACTACAAACCACTGCTGAACAAAATAAAAGAGGACACAAACAAATGGAAGAATATTCCATGTTCATGGATAGGAAGAATCAATATTGGGAAAATGGCCATACTGCCCAAGGTAATTTATAGATTCAATGCCATCCCCATCAAGCTACCAATGACTTTCTTCACAGAATTGGAAAAAACTACTTTAAAGTTCATATGGAACCAAAAAAGAGCCCACAATGCCAAGACAATCCTAAGCCAAAAGAACAAAGCTGGAGGCATCATGCTACCTGACTTCAAACTATACTACAAGGCTACAGTAACCAAAACAGCATGGTACTGGTACCAAAACAGAGATATAGACCAATGGAACAGAACAGAGGCCTCAGAAATAATACCACACATCTACAACCATCTGATCTTTGACAAACCTGACAAAAACAAGAAATGGGGAAAGGATTCCCTATTTAATAAATGGTGCTGGGAAAACTGGCTAGCCATATGTAGAAAGCTGAAACTGGATCCCTACCTTACACCTTATACAAAAATTAATTCAAGATGGATTAAAGACTTAAATGTAAGACCTAAAACCATAAAAACCCTAAAAGAAAACCTAGGCAATACCATTCAGGACATAGGCATGGGCAAGGACTTCATGTCTAAAACACCAAAAGCAATGGCAACAAAAGCCAAAATTGACAAATGGGATCTAATTAAACTAAAGAGCTTCTGAGAGCAAAAGAAACTACCATCAGAGTGAACAGGCAACCTATAGAATGGGAGAACATTTTTGCAATCTACCATCTGACAAAGGACTAATATCCAGAATCTACAAAGAACTTAAACAAATTTACAAGAAAAAATAAAACAACCCCATCAAAAAGTGGGCAAAGGATATGAACAGACACTTCTCAAAAGGACATTTATGCAGCGAAAAGCCACATGAAAAAATGCTCATCATCACTGGCCATCAGAGAAATGCAAACCAAAACCACAATGAGACTCCATCTCACACCATTTAGAATGGTGATCATTAAAAAGTCAGGAAACAACAGGTGCTGGAGAGGATGTGGAGAAATAGGAACACTTTTACACCGTTGGTGGGACTGTAAACTAGTTCAACCATTGTGGAAGACAGTGTGGCGAATCCTCAAGGATCTAGAACTAGAAATACCATTTGACCCAGCCATCCCATTACTGGGTATATGCCCAAAGGATTATAAATCATGCTGATATAAAGACACATGCACACATGTTTATTACAGCACTATTCACAATAGCAAAGACTTGGAACCAACCCAAATGTCCATCAATGATAGATTGGATTAAGAAAATGTGGCACATATACACCATGGAATACTATGCAGCCATAAAAAAGGATGAGTTTGTGTCCTTCATAGGGACATGGATGAAGCTGGAAACCATCATTCTCAGCAAACTGCCTCAAGGACAGAAAACCAAACACCGCATGTTCTCACTCATAGGTGGAAATTGAACAATGAGAACACTTGGACACAGAAAGGGGAACATCACACACCGAGACCTGTCGTGAGGTAGGGGGAGGGGAGAGGGATAGCATTAGGAGATATATCTAATGTAAATGACGAGTTAATGGGTGCAGCACACCAACATGGCACATGTACACATATGTAACAAACCCGCACACTGTGCACATGTACCCTAGAACTTAAAGTACAATTAAAAAAATCATGATACAGTAAAATTGACTTCTTTAATATACAATTCTTTGAATTTTAACATACATCTAGACTGAGATAACCACTACACAGTCAAGATAAAGAAGAGTTCCATCACCTCCCTCAAAACTCCTTGGTGTTACCCCTTTGTAATCATACCCTGTCCTTACCTGTAATTCCTGGCAACCACTGATGTTTTCCCCATTACTGTAGCTTTGTCTATATGAGAATGCCATCTAAGTTGAATCATACAATAACATGTAACTTTTTAAGACTAGCTTCTTTCATCCAACATAAGGCCTTTGATTCTCATACAAGTTGTGTGAATCAAGTTTCCTTTTATTACTAATAATATTCCTTTGTAGGGATACATCATACTTTATCAATTCAGGACATCTGGGTCGTTGTTTTTTATAATTATGAATGGAGCTGCTATAAACAGTATGCACAGGTTTTTGTATGAGCCATTCATTTCTCTAGGGTTAATACCAAGGAGTGGAATTGCTGGGTCATATGGTAATTTAACTTTATAAGAAACTGCAAAACTGTTTTTCAGAATGGCTCTCCTATTTTGCATTCCCACAAGCAATGTAGGAGAGTTCCAGCTGCTCCACATCCTTTCCAGGACTTGGTAATTTCAGTATTTTTATTTTAGCTATTTTAATAGATGTGTAGTAGTATCTCTCCAACCTTTTAATTTGCATTTCCCTAATGACTAATTATAGTGAACATCTTCTCATGTGTTAATTTGCTAGCTGTATATTTATTCTTTGGTGAAATGTCTGTTCAAGATTTTGGCTCATTTTTTAATTGGGTTGCTTTCTCACTGTAGAGTTTTAAGAGTTTTTAATACATTCTTTATATGGAATCCTTTATTAAACTTTATCATATTTACAAATATTCTCCCAGACTATTGCCTGTCTATTCATTCTCTTGACAGTGTCTTTTGCAGAACAAAAGTTTTTCATTTTGAAATCAAATTTGCCATTTTTTATCTTCTGTGGATTATGTTTTAGGTGTCTAAGAATTCTTTGCATAACCTCATCATAAAGATTTTCTCCTGTGTTCTAAAAGTTTTCTAGTTTTATGTTTTACATTTAGATCTATGATTCCTTTTAATATTTGTATGAGGTGTGATATGATTTGGCTGTGTCCCCACCAAAATCTCATCTTGAATTGTAGCTCCCATAATTCCCACGTTGTGGGAGGGACCCAGTGGGAGATAACTGAATCATGAGGTGGTTTCCCTTATACTATCCTCCTGGTAGTGAATAGGTCTCACAAGAGCTGACGGTTTTATAAGGGGAATCCCCTTTCACTTCGCTCTCATTCTCCCATCTGCTGCCATGTAAGACATGCCTTTTGCCTTCTGCCATGATCGTGAGGCCTCCCCAGCCACATGGAACTGTAAGTCCGTTAAACCTCTTTTTCACTGGCCAGGCACAGTGGCTAATGCCTGTAATCCCAGCACTTTGGGAGGCCAAGGCGGGCAGATCACGAAGTCAAGAGATCGAGACTAACCTGGCCAACATGGTGAAACCCTATCTCTACTAAAAATACAAAAATTAGTTGGGCATGGTGGCACTGGCCTGTAGTCCCAGCTACTTGGGAGCCTGAGGCAGGAGAATCACTTGAACCCGGGAGGCGGAGGTTGCAGTGACCCAAGATCATGGCATTGCACTCCAGCCTGGGCGACAGAGCAAGAATCCATCTCAAACACATACACACACACACACACACACACACACCCCTCTTTTTCATTATAAATTACCCAGTCTCGGGTATCTTTATCAGCAGTGTGAAAACACACTAATACAAGGTGAGAGAATTAGGTTGAGGTTCATTTATTTTGCATATGGATGTCCATTAGTTTCAACATCATTTGTTGCAAAAGCATCAAAAGCATTCCTTTCTTCACAAACTTGCCTTTGCACCTTTCTCTCCCACCTCTTCTATTTTTCTGGAATAGATTGTGTAGAATCAGTGTTATTTCTTTAAATGTTTGGTGGAATTTACCCATGAAACCATCTGGGACTAGAGATTTCTATTTCAAAAGTTGTTTAAATAAGAATTCAATTCCTTTGATAGTTATAGGACTATTTTGGATATTTATTTCTTGAGTGGGTTTTGGTAGTTTGCGATGTTGGGAGAGGCAGTCCACCATCCTTTTGCATCCCTGCATGTTCCTAATGGGGAGACCAAGAACACGAGGCTCTAACTACTCTTTATCTAGGCCATGTCTCAAGGTTGTGTATATAGTGAGCAGGATGAGGAAATGTTTCCCCCTTGACAAAGAGCCAGTTATAAAGAAGATAAACTGTCTAGGTTCAGTGTTCCTTGGGTGCAACACAAATCCACTGCATGTGGAATATTCATGTAGTCCTGCCTGTATTGCCTCCATAAACTTCAGATATATGTATAACCAAGGTAAACCAACATGAAGCTCATGGTGCTTGCTGTAACAGGTTAGTTAGCTTGTAAGTATGTAAAATCTCAGACCTTTTATAGTTCTTGCCATATAGTCTTCAGAGAATTGGTTATTTCATCTAAATTGCCATATTTATGTTAGTAGAGAATGTTTTTTTGTTTGTTTGTTTGTACTATTTTCTTACTGTTCCGTTAATGTCTGCAGTCTGGTATCTCCTTTTATTCCTGATATTAGTAATTTGTGTCTTTTTTCTTTTGTCAGTCTTGCTAGAGGCTTGTAACTTTTACTAATCTTTTCAAAGAATGAGCTTTTGGTTTTGTTAATTTTTCTCTATAGTTTTTCCATAATCAAATTCATTGATACCTGCTCTTTATTATTTCCTTGTTTTTGCTTGCTTTGGAGTTTTCATTTTTAAGTTGAAGGAGCAACAATTAGAGGTAAAAAATTGAATAGAAAAGACAAAAATAATGATTATTTGCAGACAATACGGTTGTTTACCTAGAAAACACAAGAGAGCCAACCAGAAATTTATTACAACTGTTAGAAGAATTCAGTTAGGTGACTGGGAACAAAATTAGAATGCAGAAATCAATAGTTTTCATGCAGAAAACAAAAGCCATATGCAACATAATGAAAGAAAACATTAACATATTCATATCAAGAAATGTACAAGAGCTATATAAAGAAGTCTTTAAAAGGTGATTGAGAAACACATACTTCTGATTACTTAATATATAAGTATATATAATATGTACTATATATGTATACAAGTTTTAAAAAATCAGAAAGGCATTTCGTACTAGTTTCTTGGATCACTATGGGAAAACCTAGTTTCCGACAGTTGATAATATGCTTGGCTGAGGAGTCAATGTCATGCTACCACCTGTGGGTTTAACACTCAACACGTTAAGAAAGTCAAATTTCCCTAAATTGCTATGGAAATTTAATTCATTCCACTAAGAATACTAAACAGGATTTTTTTTCTTTTGAAAATCAGAAAAATTGATTTCAAAGTTTATATAAAAAATGAGCAAGACTAATTGGAAAATTATAAAAAACAAAAACACTTAACAGAAAATTATCCCTACCAAAGCGTACAGCAATTTTAAGACTACAATAATTGAAACAGTGTGGTACCAGATCAACAGTTCATCAGATAGCCTTAAAAGTCCAGAAACCAATTAGCAACGAATCAGTAAAGATGGATTATATAACACATGATATTGCAATAAGTCAACAACCATCTGAAAAAAATTAAGTTGGATCTCTAATTCATATTTTAACAGCAAAATAAATTCCAGGTGGATGAAAAAAACATACAAAATAAAACCATAAAACCACTAGATGAAAATACAGGGCATTTAAACATAATCTCAAAGAGCTAAGGCTTTTCTACCTGTGAAACAGGTAGAACACAGAAGAAAAAAATGAAAGACTGATAATTCCACCTGCATTAAAAAAACTACAAGAAAAAGACACCATTAAAAAAGTAAAGAGAAAAATCACAAATTGAGAAACACAGTTCAGACTCATATCACAAATGACCAATTTCTGTTATAAAGAGTTTTAACAAATCAATAAGAAAAAGACAACCAACCCAATAGAAAAGTGGGAAAAATATGTTAACAGATCGTAGAACTGGAAAGAAAATGGTTTTAAAACAAAAATTAATAAGAGAAATGCAAATTAAAACTATAATGAATAAAAGTTATTTATCAGATTGATATCTAGTACAATCCATGGAAAACAAAAACACTTAACCGAAAATTATCCGTACAGAGAGTACAACGTAATTTTCTGTTAAGTGTTTTTGTTTTGCACGGATCATCAGGATATTTGCAATGGCTTCTGACACCAACTGCCTGAAGTTAAGCCAAACTTCACAGATTAAGGGCCCAGTCCTCCATATGACTGCCCTCACTTCAGAAACTAGCAACTTTGGGCATTCCCAGGACCATCCTTACTTCTGACCAACTGGCTGCAAGTTCAGGGGTCCCCACAATACCTTCAGGTTCTATAATTAAATAGAACAACTCACAGAACTCAGCAAAGTGCTATGCGTACTATTACAGTTTATTATAGCAAAAGGATACAAATCAGAACAGCCAAAAGAAGACATACATAGAGCAAGGTGTAAGAGGATCCCAAACACAAAGTTTCTGTGCCCTCAGGGACATGTCACCCTCCTAGAACACACCAGAGTATTGCCAACCAGGGAAGTTCACTTGAGCATCACTGACCAGAGTTTCTCTCGGGGTTTCATGACAGGCATGATTAATTGACTCAATCTCTATATAAAGCTGAACTCCATCTCTAACCCCTCTCTCCACCTCAGAGGTTGGGCTAATATCATATGACTCAAAACTCCAACCCTCTAATCCAATGGTTGGTCTTCTGGTGTGGCTAGCCCCTATTTGAGTCATCTGGTTAGCGTAACTATCAGAGCTCACTATGAATAACAAAGATACTTCCATCACCTAGAAAATCCCAAGGATCTAGACCTGGAACCTGGAGTGGAGGCATTTTGGGAGGAGGGAAGGAAGTCTTGGCAAATTCTTGATTACTGTCTTAATTTCAGCCTTGTCTGTATTAGCAAGACTGAAAACCAACAACGTGCAGTAACAGAACTGATTCTTTGAAAAAATCAAAATACATCCATATAATGGAGTTCTATGCAATTGGTGAAAAAAATGGGACAATTCTAGGTAAGGCTACAGAATAAATTGCTGAATGTGCAAAAGTCTGTATGTTATGCTATAATTTGTGTTTCATATATGTTTATATGTGCATGGGGCCATTTCTAGAAAGATAACTGGTAACAGAGTTTGGATTCAGGGAAGGGAAATGAGTGAGAGAAGGACTTCTTTTCCCCACCTTTTTCAACTTTCTGATTTTTGTACAATGTGCATATATTACCTGTTTAACAAGAAGAAAACATTAGAAGGTTTTCGCATACTTCTTTGAGGCTACTGAACATAACTTATAACTTAATATTTTCTTGATTACCATCAGTCACTGTCATGAATACATTGAACAACAAATCTCTTAAGAGTCTACTGAGATACACAACACAGGGCTGCTTTCACCTACACTAAATGACCCCAGGCTGCTGCAATTTGAGTGTTATTGTCATTTCTAGTTTTCCCATCTTTTCCCAGCTGCTTCTGACTACTGTCAACATTCCCTCCTCTAGCTGACTAGAAACTTCTCTTTTAAATTGGTGCTTCTGGTTGTGGCAGGCCAGAAACCAGACACATGGTCCTATTACAGGACTACATAAAATAAAGAGAAACTGCCTCTGTGAGAATTTGAGAAATCCTCTCGTAACTGATGTTTTATGACAACTACTTGACTAGTCAAGATTTTTACACACTACCAAGTTCCATGCAATTGAACAAAGAATAGGCAAGGTATTATTGAAGTCACTACGGGTACTTCTATTACATAATTAATACTACACTGTTAAGTACAGATTTGGAACTTTTTCAGCATTGCCTTCATTCACTCAAAAATATTTTTGAGCATCTAGTATGCACCAGGGAGTGTCCTAGTATTAGGCATACAGCAATGAACAATAGAGACAAACTCACTTAAAATTTATATTCTAATTTGAGAGATGACAAAGATAAACCAGCTAAGTACAACAAACAAAAAAAGGGATAATATGATAGAACTAGGATGGGGGAATAGCATTAGGTAGGATGGTATGGTTAATCAGGGTCTGATCAGAAAAGAACCACTAGGATCTAATACACATACACATATCTTAATATTCAAAATAAGGGGCTTATTATAGGGATTATAGGAGGCGGTTTCTTTTGTGTCTGGCAGTTGGAAAGGGAAGACATGGGAAATGGGGGAAGCAAGGAACTTGCTAGGATGAGTAGAACCTGTGGGAACTGAGTGGAACTTGTGAGGATGGACTGGAAGCCATACAGGTCTCTCCCTGCCTCTAATCCTCCAGTGTGAATGATGGAGTTGTCCAGCAGAAGCTGGCACCCTTTGTCAGAGTAAAACGCACACCTGGCCCAGGAGCCAGAGAAGCTGAAGGAGCCATTCCGGCAGGAACTGGTGTTCCTGTGGGCCTGGCTGTTGTCCCACAGGCCAAGAGAAGCCAACAGATAAGCAATAATGTGGATAAGCTGCAACAGTGCCTTGTGCCTTGTGCCTTGTCTGGCCCTTCCTCTTACAAAAAGAATGCAGATCTGGCTGCTACTTTACTTCTGCCTTCTATATCTTGTATCAAACATTTCTTATGGCCTACATTGTCCTGAAATTATGCATGGAAGAGAATTCTGCAGAACCTATCTCCAGGTTGACTAAACTGCACCATATAAATCCACCACAGATGGTGAGTTCTCTAAAAGACATCTCAGCTGAGAACCTGAAGGATGAGGATTCAGCCTTCCAACCATGCTAAGATTTGGAAGAGAATGTCCCAGGCAGAGAAGATGGCTAGTGCCAAGTATCTGAGGGTGTGATATAAGCTAGATCTTTTTTTGATGAAGGACAATGAGGCTGGGATATGTGTGTGAGAGAGTGGTACAAATTAAGAGATAACCAGATCATATGGGCCTTGCAGAACATAGTAATGAGTGAGGACTTCTTTTCCTAAGTGCAATGAGAGGCACATGGAGGGTTTTTGTCAGGGAAGTAGTAGTTTGATCTGATTTATATGATTTTTAAACTTTTTGAAATAATTTCAAACTTACAAAAAAATTACAAGATTAGCACAAAGAATTTCTGTATGCTCATCATCCAGATGATTTCCATTTTTAAGAGATTGTTTTGGCTACACTGTGGAGAATGGCCCTAGTGGGCAGGATCACTTCTTTCCTCACCTCCAGGCTTCATGGCACTCCTACAGCACAACACATATGATGCCCCTGGAGCTGTGCAGAAGGCTGCCCAAGTGTGGACATGGTAATATTACTTAGAGAGCTATTGCAAGAAATCAAGCTACGGTGCTTCTACCACACTACTTTCAGATCACAGAGGAAAACCAATCTCATTATTTTAGTCTCAATTCACAAATACATGTTGGAATAAAAAACAGTATTACCTCTTCGTATCTGGCTACTTCTAACAATCATATCAATTCTCAAAACAAACAAAAAACAACCTCAATGATTTGATACCACAGAAGCTATTTAAGAAAATGTTTCACAGATAATTCCAAATTTCCAAATTCCAAAGAACGTGCAGTCTCCTAGAAGAAACATGCTGAAGGAGCCCATGTTCATGTTGATAGATAGGTTCTAGTCTCATTATTTTAGAGATGATCTCAGATTTGTGTATCTCCTATGTTCATCAGATGTGACTTTACTGGAGATAATAAATAATTACCCTAAAGCAAGCTCTTCTGCCTAGATTAACTCTCCTGCTAGTAATACTGTCTGGTTAAAAGCCAGGTTCAAATACTGAAGTGTGCTGAGGTCTTACAGATATTCAAGCGCATGTTCTGATTTTAGCACAATTCCAGTTTTAATGTTCAAATCAACAGCAAAAATTATGATGGATAGCAATTCATTCTCACTAAAACACAGCTAATACATGTTCCTTAAATCATGAAGGTAAAGTGGAAAAACTAAATAGTTTGATGACCTTAGAGAAATCATTTATTCTCTCTTATACTCAGTTAAATGGGAGCCTGGTTATCACAATAGAGATGAGTAATAATGAAGGTAAAATGCCTGGTAAAATGCATCACAGTAGGCACCCATCTTATTATACACATGTCAATAAAAATAAGCATCTATTTTTTAAGGGAAGAAAAGAAATGCTTCTTAATAAAGCTCTGGATGAACCATTTATCTTCTTTCAAAAAATGTAAAAACACATAAAAAAGCATTATCTGACAAAGAAAAGTAGAAAAGATTTTTATCTTTAATTAGAGTTTGTAGTATACACTTAACTTTCTGTAATCTGCAGTGATGAATCTCTATGTAAACATTCAGAAAAAGAGCGAATACTGTGTCATGACTTATGAACTATAAATTTTGTCCCTGATTACTAGTCAAGAACAGTTTTATACATTTATTAACAACTACTTTCCTCCACTTAACAACAGCTCTTAAATAACAAAATAAATTATCAGCATTTCCAACCATAAATTTAAGAATTAAAGTTTAAAAAACTGGTTAGTTTCATAAATGCAAGCAGAGTAATAAATTTCATATATGTTAATTGCAGTTACTTATGTTCTTTGAGTGAAGTAACACAAAGATTTTTCCCTTCCCCTTTTGGCAAGTTCACAAAATTCATGAAAAGTCTTCATCTTTTTCTTTTTTGCTTAATTTCTTTTTTGCATCTCAGCTGAACACAACAGACAATAGCTGGGGTTATTAGCGAGACATGATAAAAGAAAAGGTTATGACCACTCAGACGATCATGTATACCTAAAACATAACTCAGACTTTCTAGTCTTAACCTGTAGCTCTAATGTACTAAGTGATTTACAAAGAACTAATAGAGAGATGATTTAATGAGCAGGTTGAACTTGGTAACTTTGTCATTTTGGGTCACAAACACATATTCTGCCCTGAAAATGAGGCAGAATACTAGTCATTTCCAATGAGACTAGGTACAAAAGAAAAACAAAAACAAAGCCATAGATATTTTTAAGTTGCACTACATTATTTTAACTATTTAATTAAAAAATTTAACTACCAGATCAGTGCACTGTTGCTTGCTTAAACACACAGTAAATAGATAAAAAATATTTTTAAAATAAGCCAGAAGTAAAAAGGAAAAGGCCTGAACAGCTTGACAAACAGCAACAGAATAATTTCCAATCAGTGACTATTAATGGGAATACTCATTTTATACAGCGAGTATTGACAACCATTTAGCAATTCTTTAATCAGGCACTTGATATTTTTTAGCTAGCATACTCAATACTGGGGCATCACACACACACACAAAAGTATGGCTTTATTACAAAGGATTCAAGATGGCAACTACTTAGAATCCAGTGCCAACACGGATTATAACAAATCCAGTGAGTGTTTTGTTTTTCAATTATTCATAGAAAATTTAATCCTGATTAAGTATCCTTGGGCAGGAATTCATGGGTAGTTGATGACTGAAACCAACATTTATGTGAAATGCTTCTGTTAATTTAATCTGTGTATACGGCTTAATTATGATTGGGGATTCAACGTAAGAGAAATGAATTCTATTGGGATCAAAATTTCAGTACCATATCACATAGTACCTTTTCCCTTCTTTCTGTTTAAACACATAAACCTGCTTGTCCCTTCACCTAAGTGCTCAGATTTTAAAATCCTTTGTCCTTACAACCCGTGTAATGTATTTAAGTTTTATTTTTTCATAAACTGTTTGTCAAAAACCTTTGCTAATCAAGCTAAAACCTGAACTAGAGCCAAAAATGGCAGAAAAAATTGGAGAATAACTCCACCCACAAATAAACAAAAGCTTATTCATTTAACTGTGAACCTATTTTATATTCATTTCCTGAAGTAATTTCAATTCCTTTAAACTCAAATATGAAATACATTTTCCTTAAAGCATAAAAAGCAGCAGTTTTAAAAATCAATGTATTACACTGATTTCATAACTGGACTAGTTTAGATATTTATAAGCAAGTAATCATTTAACTGATTACTTTTTATAAGACTATTAAACCTGAGTTAGCTATTAAGATGAGGCATTATAAGTGGTGAATATTTTACCAAAATATCATAGTTATTTTTCACATTTATTTCCACATAGAAATCGCTTCAATAATTTTATAACAACACTTTCTTCAAAGTTTGTTGTTTAAGTATATTTCAAAACATTTCATTTATTACCTTTTTTTTCAGTCTTGGTACTGCTTAAATGCAGTTATATAAATAACATGCTCTGCTTTCGCTGTTCAAGTTTTCATACTAAATGTATGAAAAAAAAGTCACTGTATTTGGATCCTTATTGCACTCTTTTAACCAATTCACTTTTCCTCTCAACAAAAATCAAGTATCAGAAATGAGGGCGACTTTTGTGTCCAGATGATATGGTCAGTGGTAGTGTTACTGAAGAAAGTGAAGAAACTTCCCAGTATAGACTGTGAGACAGAAAGAGTCTGTAGAGAATAACCATGGAAACAGACTGGCAAAGGATAACACCTATTGTAATAACCTGAAAAGAAAAGGAAAGGAATGCTTTTACTACATGCAGAAATAGAGAAATAATATTCAATTTATTATGAATCTATATATGCTTTTTATATAAATACAATACTCTATCTTTCATCTTTACCATAGGTACATTTTATCAAAAAAATTTTCTGACTAATGCTCAGAACTCTAATTGTTTAAGGATAAAAATCCCTTTAACAGTTATTTTGTAGATGACAAAGTAAGGCACAAAAGAATAACTTGCTAAACCATTCTCTCCTAAGGGTATGCACTACAGACAAGTTTCAGTAAATAAGAAAAATCAGGTTCCTAGCTAATTTAGGAACAGGAATAAAGCACGCTCCTACCTGAACTTTAAAGAGTACTCTAAAAGCCCTTTCAAAAATTCTCAAGTTGCTTCTCTATTTTTGTAGACTACTGTCCTATCTATTCACCCTTTGTAAACACCTCAGGCTCAATAAACATTTGTGCATTCAGGCACATACTGCATTGCTTGTAAAGGGCTCCTGGCAGACCTCTATTTTGAAATGATGGAGCCATTCACCTAAGAAGGTAGGTATCAACACAATCAAAATGCATCATACTTGAGCATGGCACTCTGGTTTGTAGTCTGTTCAATAACTAGACTGATTTTTACAAATCTTGATTTTTGCTATTATGTAAGAAAAATTTTAATCATTTTTTAAAAGATGTATTATAAATTCTCTAATTTATAAAACAAAATTTCTATTTTAAAATTATCTATTGTAGTACAATCAAGAAAAGCTATTTCCACCATTTTGCTTATAAATATTTTAAAAATATTTTAAACTTCAAATTTATCTGCTTATTGGTTTACTATTTTGTTTCAAAGTTTTAAATAACCCAGAAAATGTCTTAAAAAATAAATAGGTCCCTCCTATTTAAATATTCTCCCAATTAAGACAATATTTTCATTAAGAAAACTACTTTGATCATGTATATTTCTTACCTTGTCTCTTTGGTAGTCGCTAAAAATGACAGAAATGCATGCAAGAACTGGATGGCATAAAAACCACAAGATACAGCCCTGAAACAAAGGAAAAAGTGAAATAAGTAGAACTGTGTAGCTTTTTTTCAGCATGTACCAGACAAAAAAATGTTACTAGCATTTTTAGGTTCTGATTAACCTCAACAGGCCTTTAGAGTACAGCCTGCAATAAAATGTAGAAATAAATTTACTGTTGCTGTGACATTAATATTTTGTTTCTAACCAAATGAGTATTTTTGGAGTATTTATAATCTTATGTTTATAAATCTGTTGCATACACATTTTGATACACTACAAATTATTAATATAAGTAACAAATTATTAAGTGACAAAAGCAAGGCACAAATGTGTAATATTCCTGTAAAAGAAAAAAGAATGTACATTCATATTTGCATGCTGATACACAAAGAAATCCTGTAAAAATACACAAAAAACATTAATAGTCGTTACCTGTTTGAGGGTTAGAACAGAGGAGGGGGAGCTGGGCAGGTAAGAATGGGTAACTGTTTATACTTTTCAAATATTTTTCTATTCTTCCTTGAACCTAGTAATGTATTCTCTTTTCCAAAATTAAATTTGAAATAAAAAATAAGTTAATAAATAGCTGTTGAAATGTTTGGTACATTAAAGATATAGGGAGAAAAAAACAAGATATAGAAAAATGTTTAGTATGTTACTATTTGTATAAAAATGAAAGGAAATATATATAGGCATATATACTTAAAACTCCAGAAGGATAAATTAAGAACTAATAGCAATTGTGTGAGGAGGTGAGAATAACTTTTTGCTACTCCTTAAATACTTTTAGATGTTTGATCCTATTTAGAAAGTTAAATTAAAACATGAAATACTTTAAATTTTGCACTGCTTTAAGCATAAAGCAAAACAAGAGGCTAGGCGCGGTGGCTCATGCCTGTAATCCCAACATTTTGGGAGGCCGAGGCGGGCGGATCACCTGAGGTCGGGAGTTCCAGAACAGCCTGACCAACATGGAGAAACCCCATCTCTACTGAAAATGCAGAAATTAGCCAGGTGTGGTAGCACATGCCAGAGACTGAAACAGGAGAATCGCTTGACCCCAGGAGATGGAAGTTGCAGTGAGCCGAAATCGCACCACTGCACTACAGCCTGGACAAGAGCGAAACTCCATCTTAAAAAAGAAAGGCTGGGTGCGGTGGCTCACGCCTGTAATCCCAGCACTTTGGGAGGCCAAGGCGGGCATATCACAAGGTCAGGAGGTCGAGAGCATCCTGGCTAACACGGTGAAACCCCGTCTCTACTAAAAATACAAAAACTTAGCCGGGCGTGGGCGCGAGTTACTCGGGAGGCTGAGGCAGGAGAATGGCATGAACCCGGAAGGCGGAGCTTGCAGTGAGCCGAGATCACGCCACTGCACTCCAGCCTGGGCGATAGAGCGAGACACCGTCTCAAAAACAACAACGAAAAAAGCAAAATAAGAAAACTTAATGCCTAAACACCTCAAATACATATTAACTTATCAAACAATAAGCACTACTGTCCCTCTGAAAAACTCAAAGGCAGGATGACATCTTCTTGTCTTGCGCTCAGAAGCCTGAAGTTGGTTCTTAGGGCTGCAGCAGCAGCAGCTTTGCAATGCTCAACACTAGGAATAAAGCAGGAATCTGGCTCTCCTTCCATAGCTGCCTCAGAATAACGGCCAATAACTCTGGACAAGGTGGGCTGCCTGAACAGAATCAGTCTGATCAGAATGCTGGTTCGCAGGGCTAAAATGAAGGGGTATGGATTCTCTCAATCTGACAGAAAAATGAAACCTTCTAGGGAGGGAAGGTTCTATAATGTTACTGCTCTAACCCTTCTCCTGTATAGAAAAAAAACTGAATTTGCTTTTAGATCTCACTAGCACAAGAAGGTCAAGAAAGGAGGAATAAAGTGACACGATCTCATGTGGATGGGGTGAGGCTGGCTGAAACACATGGACTCAGCCTCCTGGCTCCAGCTGCTTATGCTGAAGGATAGCTCCTAACTGTTATAAAACACTGCATAACTCTGAGAATAACAGTTTATAGTCAATTAATAACTGTTGAGAAATCCAAACCATATTTGATTTTAAAAATTTAAAATTCTGGTATTACAGAAAAAAATGTAAAATCCCTATTGATGAAACTATGAACCAGGCAAAACTGACCCGCAAAGAATATATGGAAAATACTGTCTCACAGGTCTTGTAAAATAGGGATAATACCTACATCACATAAGTTGCTAAGGTTAAATGAGTTGAACCACATAAAGAACTTATGGTAGTGTCTGTCACATAACAGAAGTTTTTTTTTTTTTTTTTTGAAAAAAAGAAGGTCTCGCCCTGTCACCCAGGCTGGAGTGCAGTGGCCCAATCTTGGCTCACTGAAGCCTTCAATGCACAGGCTCAAGCAATCCTCCCATCTCAGCCTCTTGAGTAGCTGAGACAACAGGTGCTCGCCACAAAGCGTGGCTAATTTTAATTTTTTGTAGAGATGGGGTCTATGTTGCCCAGGCTGGTTTCCAACTTGGGGGCTCAAGCAATCTGTCTGTCTTGGCCTTCCAAAGCACTGGGATTATAGGAGTGAGCCACTGTGCCCAACCCAGAAGTTTAATAAAAGTTAGCATGTAGTTGTTTATTAACTTCCCAAAGAAACCAGAACCAAGTGGATAATCAGAATAAACGATTTTCTTTCCAAACCCATACTTTGGCAAATGTGATGTAGAACTCCCTTTTGAGTGTACTTCTCTCCACTGTGATGATCTGATAGAGTCCACAGCCTAATGACAATGCTAGGCAAATTCTTAGAACAATTAGGAGGATCCCTGCTAAGTTGTGGTGTGAATGGTAGCTATGATGACTGATATCTTCAAACTGTTCCCAAAGTAGCAAAACACTCTGCAAAAGAAAAACAATATTACATTTAGGAAAAAAAAATATACCTCATTACAATATTTTTTTCAACTCTTTAATAAACATCCCTTTAAATGTTATATAAACATTCCTATCAGACCATAGAGGTTGTTAATTAATAAAGTACAGTCTTTTCATCACTCTAATACCCTAAGCTAGACAAAATGAATTTTTATCAAGTGAGACCACAGTTAAGAGATTTTTAAAAAATTCTATTGCTGCCGGGCACAGTGGCTCAGGCCTGTAATCCCAGCACTTTGGGAGGCCAAGGTGGGTGGATCACCTGAGGTCAGGAGTTCGAGACCAGCCTGGCCAACATGGTGAAACCCCACCTCTACTAAAAATACAAAAAATTAGCTGGGTGTGGTGGCGGGCACCTGTAATCTCAGCTACTTGGGAGGCTGAGGTAGGAGAATCACTTGAACCCAGGAGGTGGAGGTTCCTGATTTCTTAACCAACATTTCTGAACTTCACTTTTGCAATACAGAAGTGCTACCACAGAGCTACCACAGCCCATGGTTCATATTTTTACATATTCAAACTTCCCTGTTTTCATATACATATGCTAATATGTGATCTGTATAAAATACGTATGTATTTGTATAGTCTCTGACTGCCTGTCTGATCTGCCTTGTCTGGCTTGTTGAAGATCAGAGCTATATTTAATGTATTCTTCATAAATGTTCATATAAACTCTAGTGTAATATTATCTCAGTTCTCAATTCATATTTGTCTATGACAATAAATTAAAATTACAATGAAATAATAAAAATGAAATTTTTAAAAAGAAATAAAAAGTGAGAATTTAACCTGACATTGACACTACTCTCCATAAGTCCTGGCTCAAAAACATTAAGTTGGTAGAATCTCAACCTTATTTTAATCAATTCTTCTAATTCAATTATTTCTCATCATCCCCTTTCCTGGCACTACCTCCTTTCTAAATATCACCACCTGTGATATGGTCTCTCTCAAATCATTCATGTAAATTCAATACTCCTATTCCACTCAAAACCTACTATATTAAATACTAGGGATAGAAAGATGAATAAAGCACTGACCCCATCCTTCATTAATACATTTTTCAATTTATTTAATGCATTAAACTTACATTATAATGTCCTCTACAGAGCCTAAGTATATAATTCATTTTCATCTATAGCTAATGCTCATCAAAAACTCAGTACAAATTTTTTTCTTTATAACCTTTCTTCTTAATTTTTACAAATCCATTGAACATAGGCATATGGGTATCTTAGAATGTCAATACTATTAATATAGAGGAAAATAAAAAAAAAGGCATGCAGGACCTTTATAAAAGACTAGTTTTGTTTTTACATTTGCTTTCAAAAACAAGATCCCATTCTTTTTTAGTCTATATTTTGCCCTTTAATTAATCTTAGATAATCACCTGAATTCTTTTACGTACAAAGCAGCCAATCCTAAAGATTCTTGACAATGGATAAATCTCAAATTCATGGAATCACTCATTCAGTGTTAAGTACTTACCATGTGCTAGAGAAATATGAAAGAAAGCTATTATTAAGTAGGAAATAAGACTCTAACCTAGTATTAAACATACTGTGCTTAAATAAGCTGATAGGAGCTCAAATTCAGGTAAATTATAATTAAATTCTGCAGTCTACATATAGTAGCATCCAGATAATTAAGATTATTTGATCTAACACTCTTTAAATTCATACTTTAAATGACACAAATTGTAGAAGCTCAGAAATTTCAAGAAAAAAAAAATGACACAAATTCCTTATGGGTCCCAGGTTTCAATTCTGAAATGAGGTATGCTCAAGTTTGCATTTCTGAGGATTACTAAGCAGAAACACTGAGTATCAATACCCACCTGTGTCATGACAATGAATACTGCAATGCCAGTGGATGCAGGCGTAGAATCCCACTGGAGAGGTCTGCTTTGAGACTTCTTCATTCTGACTATTGTCCAACCCATGCATAGACTCAAAAGTAAGTATAACATCTGAATTTGGGAAGCGATGTCAAAAACTAATGGGACATGAAAACCAACGTCAACCAAGTTTTCACAATATAAAAAATTTAGTGCTTTTTGCATTGAGAACATCTTTTTTTTTTTTTAAGAAAAACCACAAAAAGCCATTTTCAAAGAGAAGCTAACGAAATTCATTAAGAGATATTCGCAGGTAATAATTCTAAAGATTTAAAAATTGCCATAAATTTTGTAATATATTTATTAAAATAGTTAAAACAGCAGCAATACTATTTAAAAATACATATATATGCCCATACCATATGTCCATTAAGTCCAACCTTAACTCTTTTCGTTTCCCATTTTTCTTAGCTTTTCTAACTACATAATCCTGTTCTCTATAACTCACTGCTTATTAAAGCAAATTCTAAATACGATTTCTGCAATATGGAGAATACTAGTACCTTCATTTCTGGGTGAATTTTTTTTGATGGCTGAACTATAATGTGAAGAGTATTTTCTAAAACTATTAACAAGAAACAATACAATGAAATGCATAGCTCCCATAACATCCAAACATTGGCTTTACTTTCAGAATCCTGAAGACAAATGAGAAGCTCCATGCATTAGTGTGATGTGCCACCAGGTGGCCATCACCTACACTGCAGGGGAAGCCTGCTACTTCAAACAGAAAAGATGTATCAAAACCACCTGTATCCAGGTTAACACTACAAGAAAACAACAGAAATCTATAAATGCTTCAAGTTTCATATATATATTTATTTTATGAGGTAGCATTTAATGATTTTTAAGAAAACTTATCACTTTTCTTCACAGCATATTTTGATGTGAGTTTTAGGCTTTGGGTCAGAAATAGAAAAGAGTCAGTTATAACAGAGAGTGGAATTATAATAGGAAGAAAAACTTCAGCTTTGAGGTAAGAAAATTTAGGTCTGAGTCTAGTCTCTACCACTCAATAGCTGACTGACATGTGGAAGTATGTTTCACATCACTGAGCCCAGATCCTTTATCTGCAAAATAAGGATATGCAGACCCCTTTTCTATTGAGGATAAGATGAGAGAATGTATATAAATATACCTAAAAACAATGAAAAGGCAGAGTGTGGAGACTCATGCCTGTAATTCCAGGACTTTGGGAGGCCAGGGTGGGTGGATCCCTCAAGCCCAAGAGTATAAGGCCAGCCTGGGCAACATAGTGAGACCCCATCTACAGAAAAGGAAATTTAAAAATCAGCCAGGCATGATGGTATGTGCCTGTAATCCCAGCTACTGGGAAGGCCTGAGGCAGGAGGATCACCTGAGCCTAGGAGTTTGAGGCTGCAGTGAGCCGTGACTGTGCCACTGCACTCCAGCCTGGGCTACGGAGTAAGAACCCTGTCTCAAACAAACAAACAAAAAAACAACGAGGAGCTGTACACATTACCTATTATTAAGAAGAAACTAAGTAAGACATATGGGAACTTAAACTGTAATCCTGTTCTCAGTCAAGCTGATTTCTAAACAATTTTCGACAGAAAATTTATACTATGACAAGAAATAAAAAAAAAGCAGATAGCGAGTGTAAAAGCTTTTTAAAAAATGCTCAGAAAGATACTCACATTCTGCCAAACTTCCCATAAATGGTACCCCTATTCCATCTTTGGAGTAACTGAGGAATTGAAGAAGAGTAGTGTAAATTACAAATGTGAAAAAAATTGTTTATAATCAAAGCAAGCATAATTTTGGTGGACTAATTAGGATTAATTAGATGTAATGATGAACACAGTTTTAGTGGTTTTGAGTTACCTGGAGAAATGAATGTAATTAGCTAAAGCTGAACCAGCTTGTAACAGCAATGCAGTTGTCAGAACCTTTAAAATCATGTGCATGGGTCCGCCTTTCTTAATAGCCTGCCACAATGATTGAGCATAAATGCAAGCAATCACAAAGTACACTAGGACTAGGAGGAAAAAGAACTCATGTAACCCTGTGAAGAGAAGAAAGGGAGTTTGCTTCAGTAAAACAAAGCCAGTTATCGTATTGGGCTGCTTTCAAATCTCCCTGTCAATATATTTCTAGAACTTGTTTTTTAACTGGAGTCATAGCATTCACCTTTGTAAGAGAAAAAAAATTATTAAAACTTAAACAATTTTGTACCTTGGGGCAAAATTTTAACTACAAGAAAGCAGAT
Source organism: Homo sapiens (assembly GCF_000001405.40). Taxonomy (NCBI): domain Eukaryota; kingdom Metazoa; phylum Chordata; class Mammalia; order Primates; family Hominidae; genus Homo; species Homo sapiens. The sequence goes on along the minus strand of NC_000013.11, from coordinate 94,618,945 downwards.
TAAACCAAACTAGTTAAGGTCAATCTGTAAGAAAGCATAATGGTCAGGGGAACCCAAAGACTCATCATAAAATCACAGTTTTGTTTGAAAACAGTAAATGAAAATAATGATTTCAGCATTCAGTTAGATATACATTTTACCCCCAAAGTGAATTTCTTTTGTAAAAAGTTTAGAAATAGATTACCTCAGTCAATAACAGTTTAATATGCCCTGACAATGCATCTCAAAGTGTGTTCTCTTGCCCAGCAGCATCACCAGGGAATTTGTTATAAACGCAAATTCTTGAGTGCCATCCAGTTTTTGATCTATTGAATCAGAAACTCTGAGTAGAGCCCAGTAATCTGTGCTTTAGTAAGCCCTAAGCATGATTCTGATATAGCTAACACATGAGGACCACAGCTCTGGAATGTCCCAATACCTTGAATTTCCATTTGGACAAACCTTCAAAATATCTGTCATGTCCAGAGATATCTTCTGAGATAAACTGTCTGCAGCTCTTGCCAAAAAAAAAAAAAAAAAAAAAAATCCTGTGCTGATCATGCGACTCCATGCCAGGATTGGCTGAAAATTGTCTAACACCTAACCAAATGGCTACCAATGCAAGGGGCCAACAACGTAACAATTCTGAAAGCTAAGTTAGGCTAATCATCTTCTCTTAGTAGATCAAACTATAAAGCAGAAAGGAAAGAGGCCATAGAAATTGAAGTTGAAAGGAGCTGATGTTGGGACAGGCCAGACGAATCAAACTGAGCCATGATAAAAACCAAAGTTTTGAGGGAGTAGAAATTACAAGTGAGGAAAGACAGATGGCTGGCAAAGAACAAAGAATGTGCAGACTTTGTATTAAAAATGGAACCAGTCATTAGAGCAGCCTCTAGTGCCTACTAGCAGCTTTTTAGTACAGTCTTCATGTAACCTTATTATGTCACTTTTTCTGTGTTCACGTGCAATCTTTTGACTGAGTCTCCATTTTTCAGAAATTTCAGAAAATTTTTATAATAAAGCAGCAGGCTAGCTTTCAGTTTAACAGCTAACATTTACTTGCTTACATGTCAAGACAGTCCCTAATATTAAGGCTTTTACATTCTATCTAACACCAGACTGCTCTAACAGTGGTGTGAATAGAGCTGTCTTAATTGAGTCTATGGATGAACTTTCATTCCAATAGCGAACACCAAGCCTGCTCTAGTTTCCCATTCGGGTAAACTCCAATTAACAGTCAGAGAAGAAAATATTTCTATTATGTGGAAAATAATTTTGTAAAAGCAATCAGAAGACACAAATTATAAGAATCAATAAATAGCTCAATCAGGCTTTTGGCCTCGTTAGGGGGAAAAAAGCAGCAAAAAGTATTTCTGCCACTGGGTGTCTCTCCTGCTCTATGAATATAAATGTGGACAGTTAACTTTTCTAGTGCAGGTGAAAAAGCATGTTTAGACTTCAGGAAGGGAAAAGAAAGAACATATTTTCTTTTTAAACACCTTACATAGAAAAGCATTCCAGCCTTAGAAATAATGGCAACATAATCCTGGGATTATTATAGTACCGGAACAAGACAGAAAATAAAAATGCTAAATATATTATAACAACTGTGGGTCAGTAAAGTTCCTTATGCTATCCTGTGTTTTGAATCTTAGTTTTTATCTTTCCTTCTTAGTATTAAAAAATTAAACATGGCATTCAATTTAAAGTTTTATTTATTTATAATATTTTACAGAATATCTTTAAAGTTTCTGACTTACAGGATAAAGTTTCTGACTCCATGAAGTTACAACTCTACCATGAAAAGAAAATCCTCAGGTTATTTACTGAGGAATGAGAATAATATAGAAGGAAGGGACTCTGGAAAATAAGATATATGTCACCAGCAAAAAATGTCTTAGGATTATTCAAAGTTAATAATCTTCCAGAAAAAGCTAACATTATAACGAACACAAAAATTATTTCATTGACATAACATATTAAACAAATTGAACTGGGTCTGTCCCACACTTTATTCACTGAATTTTAGATGATTCTTCCCTTAAAACTGTACATAAAATGCTTAAAAGATAAAATGCTAGCTCTGCACTCAGTGTTCTTTTAAACAAATCATCTCTTTAAAAAAGTCTGTTTTCTTCCTCTCTTCAGCTACCAATTTTTTGTTTTGCCACAAGCAAAAATTGTTTGTTCACTTTGAAATTAAACTCAATTTGTGTTCACTTTGTTCACTTTGAAATTAAAATCTAATTTTAAAACAGGTGGATACTAATTGTTAAATCTTATTATACTTAAGACTTAATAATACACATGAAAAAAGTATACACTGAAGAAGAAAAATACTCTTAATGAGCATACAACAGGTGGTGAACACTTGTAAGGAAATGTGTAAGGTTTAAGGCAAGCTTAAAGGAAGCAGCATTGGCAAAATAAAGTAGCAAGAAAACTTAGAGGCCAGCTTCAATAAATTTAGCCCCAGCTAAATGATGGTAAATGAGAAAGGAGGAGAGCCTAAGGGGAAAGGGTCCTTGGGTTCTGGGGCAGCACCTGGAACAGACATTCCCGCCTCCCCATGATCCTTGTCTCAGAGCCCCAGTGGTCTCCCACACTCACGTGTCTCAAGATATATCCTGATTAGTCTAAATCAATCAGAAATTCCCATACTCTTACCAGTAGGAGGTAAACCTAACCCTTTTGACATATTTGTCTACTTTTATCTTCTTTCTTTCATGTCAACTTACATTTCTCTTATGATGCTATGACCCAGTTCTGAAAAAGGAAATGTGATAGGAAGCTTCTGGGAAAGACTTCCTTCCTCCTAAAAAGTGATACTGAATATTGCAATCATCTAGACATGATGCTCAGAACTGCCACAGCTAACTTTGAACTTGAGGCAGCTAGCTTAAGAACAACACTGATAGTCTGAGGATAGCAGGGTAGAGAGATGCTAAATAAACCACCCTGGAGAAGCCGCAAAACTTCTTGTTATGTAAGATAATTCATTTCATTACAGTCTACACCACTTGCATTAGGGTTTTCTGTTACTTTAAGCCAAAAACATTCCAACATGTTACCAGCAACACATTACTGAAGCTAAATGGAAGATCCAACCCATTGTCTTTTGGGACATGGAGGAAAAAAGGGATAACACTAAAGAATGAACATAGCTGCTAGAATTTTAAAAACAGTGAGATGGCAGATGTGGCAGAGCCTGTAGTATTATTCCAGTGAAAACCAGTCTATATGCGCCTTTAGGTAATAACACTCTCAGGATTCTGGGTACTTCTTGGTCTCTAATTAGAGTACAAATACAGTTAACAAGGATTCTAATCTTTTAAAGAAGCAGTTTTATTTCATTGTACCTTAAAATATTATAATCCTATTTAGTACTTTGTCAATCGGCATCACACTTGCCTGACTTTGTTTAATCTAGACCAACTCTGTAAAATAGAGGATTAACCAAAGTCTGGTAGATATAAAATACATAATTGGTTTGAAAGAAAACAAATTATGAAATTTAACCAGAATAACCTGTAACATTAATTGCAACTATCTGCACCAGGTTACTCTAATTCAAACCTCTGAGACATGTGGTAATAGTCAATTTTCTGTAAAAAGCATAGCAAATCAATTTTTCCTACTTGTAGCAGATAATTAGGCAAACTAGCAGAAGTTTCTAAAATGAATTGAACATTTTCCCTGTAAACAAATTCCATACCTGAGGCTACAAAGTAGGAAGAATCCCTCTTAAGGCTGTATTTTAAAACACATTACTAAAACAATGTGAAATATGGACTTTTAGATCAGCGGTTCTGTACATAAGAATCAACTTTAGAGCTTTAACTGGCTTCCACTCCAAACCAAATCTATCTGAGTCTCTGGGTGTGAATATCTGAATTTTTGTTTTAACCCTCATAACCTTAAACCAGATGCATACAGTGATGGGTTAAGAACCACTCATTGATACTTCAATGTAGAGTTATTCACAAAAGCTTTTAAGCATTTTAATCAATAAAATGATGTGATGTTTAGAGGAAGCCACATAACAAGGCTGGACGCTTTTGGATACTTCTGGCACTTTCTAATGATTAATCCCCGAAGGTAAGCCTTGCATAGAATGTCATGCTTAATGAAAATACATACGATTATAGTGAGGTTTTGCCCCTTGTTTAAACATTGTTGCTGACATACTCAATGTAACTTCCCCATTGTAGTATAAGAAAGACAGCTTTTAGACACAAGAGTAAGCATAAAATCAAAATCAGTCACAAAAATCAGGAAAAGGTAGGTCAGAAGGAGACAAAACTAAGAACTGAATCATAACGGTTAGTATGCATCATAAAGAAAAGCTAGCCACAACTCAAGATGTTGAGGAAAACACTGGAAGACATAGGCAAGGTTCAGGACAAGGCAAGGTATGACTGGGATTCAGAGGTCCAAGCATGGCACAGGGCACAAATGTGATCACTTTATAGCCTGGGATAAAAGTTTACATGCCAAATTGGTGATGAAGAAAAAGACCAAAAATGGAAGCCTGGATAAGGAGGCAAGTAAAAGCATATCAGGATCCAGAAAAGTCTCATGGATCTACTCAATACATAAAACCACCTTTTGAGCCAAAGGACTACAGCCTGGAAGGCAGGAGAGGAAGTGCTAATTGATCTGTACTCCACTAGAGGCAGCAGGGTTTGCACATGCAACAACTGCAGCAGAACATTACTTCCTAGTGAGCCTTGACCAGTCCTAAAAATAAGGGTCATATGAAATAATGAAGTCTTACAGTTAAAAAGGACCTGAAGGCTGTGTGCGGTGGCTCACGCCTGTAATCCCAGCACTTTGGGAGACCAAGGCAGGCAGATCACCTGAGGTCAGGAGTTCTGGCCAACATGGTGGAACCTCGTCTCTACTAAAAATACAAAAATTAGCCAGGTGTAGTGGTGGGTGCCTGTAGTCCCAGCTACTCAGGAGGCTGAGGCGGGAGAATTGCTTGAACCCGGGAGGCAGAGGTTGCGGTGGGCCGAGACTGCACCATTGCACTCCAGGCTGGGCGACAGGGCAAGCCTCTGTCTCAAAAAATAAAATTAAAAAAAAAAAAAAAAGGACCTGAGGAGCAATTTAGTCCAACCATCCATTCAATGCTCTTAGTAGACCTGGGTTCCATCAATGCCTTTCCAAAATACAGAAAAAAGTTGGCATCTTTAAAAAGATTAAGGAAATGAAAGGACTAAATTAACTTCCAATAATGATCTATACTAGTCGAAAGTATCATTAATGAAATTTAACCTTTACATTCATCTGCATTCAGAAACAATTTGAGTAGCTTACACTATTTCATTTCTTTCACAGAAAGAACTTCAAATTAACCACTTTAAAACATTTAGGGCCAAGTGCAGCGGCTCACGCCTGTAATCCCAACACCTTGGGAGGCCAAGGTGGGAGGATTGCTTGAACCCAGTAGTTTGAGACAACCTGGGCAACATAGCGAGACCCCGTCTCTAAAAAATAAAAATAAAAAAAATTAGCACACCATTCTATCACTAGATATATGTTTTTTCCAAACAAAGGATATTTTTAAAAAGTTTATCCCTTAAAACATTATTTGTGACCTACTGTCACAATTCTCAAGTTGCTTTTTTAGCTGTGACAAATTTACACTTTGAACTAAACAATCAGTTTAAGCTAATGTGGCCTCACTCCTGCCTCACCTCCACCCACCCCACTCTATGGCCAATGGGATACAATGGAATTAAATTTTTCTCTTAAGCAGATTGACTCTTTCAAACAGCCAATGAACTCATGAAGAGGTAAACCCTTAATGCTTTTCTTTGACAGATGGCCTACAAATCCTTACTCCAATATGTTAATTTACAAATCAGTTATACTTCATAGCATGTTCATCATGATCATAAGAAGTCATTCATTTCTGCTGGGGGTGGAATCTTACCTCAGTAGGACAGAACATAGTTACCTAACATTTTGATGAAATATTTCATATGAGTACATCTGATTCTGAGAAGTATTATGGACTCTGATCATCCCTAAATTGTTGTAAGCTTCAATGAAGGCAATCCCTAAATCTGTTCAAACAAGCTAGTACAGAGTTACCCATACAAAGTAGCTGAGTTTCTAATCTCATTTAATCATTAACAATTTAAATTGTTTAATTTGTTACCATTTTTCTGTTTATAAAAATAATGCAAGGTTATCATAAAAACAAAAATGTTTAGAATGTATAAACTATAAACTACACAAGTTGTTTCCTGTCTGGAGCCAAAACAAACAAGCAAACAAACAAAACTATACAATTCTACCAACCCAGAGTATCAAAATAATCTATTAATATTTTTGTGCTTCTTTCTGTTTTATTCTTTGCAGGTTTTAATACACTCAAGTAATACTCTGCTTTTAAAAATTAATATGATGGCTATCAAAATGCTATAAGAAGATTAATTTAACCATTTCTCTAGTTTTGGAAACACAGGTTGCTTTCATTTTTGATTTTAAAAATACAACATGAATATATTTGTACATAAATCTTTTCCTGAATTTAGGATATATTCAAATACATATTCTTACCAGATTCTCCAGCACTAAAATGATCAAATGGATTCCCTTCGGCATCTGGGTTTAGTAACACCATTTCAAATGGGATATCTTCCACCTGAGAATTCTCCTTGTCATCTTGGCATGTATACTTGTCTGCATAAAACACATGCCACGTTTGTGGAGACGGAATCTGGGACACTGTCAGATTATGTTCGGTCTGGTTCATGGTCACTTTAAAGAGAAAGAAAACACCTTTTGTAACAAAATTCTCAAATGTGTTTCACTGTTTTAGTCATATAATCAATTTGAGGTTAGGACAATCTTTTAATTTTTATTGTCTCAGAAATCCAAGACCTTGTGTAGTATTTGGAATAAGTCTTGTAAACCAGATATTTATAGAATAAATCAGAATTTATCTGCAAAGGAGATAAAAATGATGTTTTTAACCAAGGAATCACTATAAAAGTATGACTATAAAACACCACAAGTAGAATGGCTTCACTGAAACTCTGAATTCTTTTTTTTTTTTTTCTTTTTGGTTTTCACATTCGTATTGGGAGCGATGGGAGGGGCCTCCTCTGTCAGTGGAGGTGCTCAGTTTCTTCAGCCACTCCAAGCTGGAGCTCTGGGGATCCTGGGGGTGGCCGGGCACATTGGTCATGTTCCCATCATTGCGGACGGGCAATGGGTAGTTGTAGGGCATGGTCTCGTAGATCATGATGAAGTACTTGGTGTAGGGGCTGAGTGGGGGCAGAATTACAGCTAGGCTACCAATGATGAAGGACACAACCAGCACTGGCTCCCTGGCCCAGGCATTCTTGAGGAAAGTGCCAAGTCTCGCCACCATCTTGGTCTCGGCGGCTGAAACTTTGAATTTTGATTTTCGATATTTTCACAGTTTCCGGGTTGGTTAATGACATTCAAAAAAATTATTGTGGTAAAATATACACAATGCTAAATGTATCATTTTAACCATTTTTAAGTGTACAGTCTATGGCATTAAGCACATCTACAATGCTGTGCAACAATCACAGTGACATTTTTGAAGATTACTCGAGTTAAATTTAAAATGGAGCATTCAACTTACAAAATCATTATATCTAAAAACTATGTATTTTCAAAAGATTTTCCAAAATCTTTTTCTGATTGGTTGTTCTTTAAAGGTGTACAAAAAGCAGAAAAAATAGAAATTACAGGAATGCAGAAGTTATTATACTGGATCAGGTCCACATGAAGTAGTATGATACAGTCAGGGGTGGGGGGTGTGTGGCATCATTCAGATGTATGTTTGAATCCTGGCTTCAATACTTACCTGTTGTGTGACCTTGGGTAAGTTACATAAGCAATGACACTCACTTTCTTCATCTGTAAAATGAAGATACTACCTACAGCAAAGGGCTGATATAAGCACTAAGTTATTTGAGTCACCTAGCATGGTAACTGTCACAGAGTAGTTGCTAAATGTCAATTCTGCTTTTCCTTTCTTTAAAACAAGGTAGTTATATTAGTAAGTGGTTCTCAATCCAGGGTAATCTCCTTTCCTCCAGGGCATCTGAAAATGTGAGGGGATAGTTTTTTGTCACAATAGCTGGTTAGATACTTGGAGGGGGGCTGTGTTGAACCTCATGCAAAGAATTATTCCCCCTAAAATGCCAACGGCACTCCCTTCTGAGAAACACAAAATGATGTCTAAGATTCCTTCTGGACCTAAAACTATTAGGTTGGTGCAAAAGTAATTGCGGTTTCTGAATCTGACCTGACCTAAGAGGCACTGACTAACACTAACACGAAGCTGCCTAGGAGAGGAGTGTCTCAAGTTCTGGGTGTAACAAAAAGAGTAGAGTTAGAAGAGCGAGTCTTGGCCTTGCGACTCAGCAAATAAATTTACAAACTCTCTAAATTTGTTTCTTCAATAGTCAAATAAAGATACCTGCCCTGCTAGTGCAGAGTTCTTGTGAGGGGCAAATGAAAAGTATATGGAAAGAGCATGATTCTACACAAAGTATTTTTAAAACAGTATTATGATGGACCCAATTCCCAACTCTAGATTGCACCCAAAACATGTCAATATTTAAGGACAAATTAGTCTTAATCTTTTTCTCAATTGTAGAAAAAAACATTTTTAATAAATAAAAGACATTTCTTGAGGTAACTAGAAATGTATGTATGGAATAGATTTCAGAGGACATTATAGAATTACTCATTTTCTTAGGTGTATGATAGTTAAACAGATGAATTTCTTTACTCTTAGAAGATGTATGCTTAGGTATGGTGGGGCAAACTGTGATACCTGCTGCTTATTTTCACATGGTTCAATTAAAACAAAAATCACATACATATAGACATAAAGCAAATTTAACAAAATATTAACAATTATTGAGTCTAAGCAGAGGATATATGGATGCTGGTTGTACTATAATTTCAACCTTTCTGTATGTTGGGAAATTTTCCTAGTGGAAAGTTGGAAAAATGTTATTTATAGGTTGTCTTTAGGAATGAGATACAGATGTAGTCAGGATTTGAATTTTGAGGACTTGGACTGTACAACTGGGAATTTCGTTCATTGGTGGTTAAATTGAACAAGAGGATCTGATTACCACCACCATGGCATTGCTTTTTGGCTACTATAAGTTAGCTGACATTTAAACTACCTTTAAAAAAAAAAAAACACACATACAGTTTCTGGAAAAATGTAGCAAAGACTCTAGTTTCTGTTAAATATTGGAAGACTTTTAGTAAGAATTTAATATATGATCAATAAATGATTCACAAATAAGACTGTTTAAATGTGCAATTTGCAATTATATAATCCGGACCTCATTATATAAAGGCTCTGCTGTGTTGCCATTTTTATCATTTGCCCTTTTTCTCTTAGATAAAATATAAAAAAAACCCACACTTTTACCAATATATTTTTGATGTTTCATTTTAAATTATGTGGATTTACTTCAAACAGAAATAAAAGTATGCTTCATAAAGTGATACCGGCCTTTAGTTTTTGTCTTGCTGTCTTTTCGGCAAGGCTGGGAAACAAGCCTCTTGACAAAACTGTGTGTTCATTGTTTCTGAGACAAAAGACTACAACACAGCATGCATATTCTATGCTGGTGTAATTAGTACCTCAAATATTAACAAAACTTGAACTGCTGAGAATGGTGTTGAATAGCTAATTATCCAATCATATTATAAAAGGATTTGAATACTGTTAACCAAAACACACAATAAAATACTAACACCTTTAAATGATTTATAAAATATACCAAACTACAAAAGGAATCATATGCATAATATGTAAAAAGACAACACTGAAATGTTTTATATACAATATTACATTTAGCTCTTGTAATCTGATAGAAAATTCCTCCGAATCTCCTCGTTAAGTTTTAGATAGAAATACATAAACTCATCATTTTCAGTGCTTTCAAATGTCTTGTTTGCTTGCTTTAAAAATCTACAAAATAGTTTTTAGTATTTTTTAAATCAGATTTTTATGACAGAACAAAGAGATGACTGAAAAATAATTTTTCAAACATTAATTTGGGAGAGTCAAGCAACATTCAACACTAAGATTTTTCTAATCTGCTAGTCTTTTCATAGTACACAGCAGCAGCAAGGTTTTACGTAGGAGCTGGGCAGAGTTACTGAGTTCATTACCAAATAGGTGAAAGGCTGTTAACTCTTAAGTCTCATTAATAGCTAAGAAAAGCACTTGCTATAAGGAACTATTCTTAAATATGTGTTACTATTACATCATGAATTTAAGGATATGCTTTTTGTTTAAATGTACCTAAGCTCCTAAATAACATACCATAAATATGACAATATATAAAAGTTAGAGACTTAAGATTTGGATTTTGTTATTGGAAAAAAAAATTGGTGAAGTACATATATGTAGAAATCAGTATTAAATTTATTTTAAGCCCCAAAATTTGACAAAACAACCTTCATTCCTCTAAAATTCCTGTTACCTGTTATCTTCCATTCCACAATTTCAAAATATACCTCTGCACTTAACAGAACAGGGAAAAGAAAGAGAAACTAGAAAAAGAAACAACAGCAGAAGGTTTTGTTAAGTTGTAGTCCTATACATAAGTAACTCCATCCTTAAGAGTTATAACGAGAATGGCAGCATTTTGGAACTATCATGAACCTTAGGGACACCTAGTCCAACTTGCTTGTTGTACAGATAAGTAAAATGAGGTTCAAAGATAACGAGTTCTTGTTATAAATCACTAGCAGTGATACTCAGTTTTATGGTCTTCCCATTGCACCACACTGTCTCCCTGTATACAGAAGTTCTGGGAATACAGGAATATGACTCATACGAAAATGAGGTTTTTAAGTGTATAAAGTATATAAATACTGACTATGTGATACAAGAGAACAAATCAATATTCCTATAGCTCAAAGCTTTAAACTGCCTAGTAAGTTTTTGTTGGAGATAGAAAAAGTCTTTGAGATGCCAAACACAAAAAGCTAACAACCAGCCAAACAACAAGCCCTTAAGCATGAAGGTCTACGACTATTCATTCTACAAATACTTAGTAAAAACTTAACTAAGCACCGGGGTATCATCAATTCTCATTCTCATAGTGCCATATAATTAGCATTCATAGTACTTATCAAAATTGCAATTTTACATTTATTCACATTCATCTGATTCATTCTGGTCACCTCCACCAGCCTTAAGGACATTTTGGTCACTGATCTATCAACAGTACCTAGCAGTACATGAAACAGTGGAAGCGCTCAGTGAATGAACACACCAGAAGAGCCCTACTGCTCTCATTGACTGATTTTATAACAAATAAATAAAATGTAAAGTGGTAACTATAGTAAGTGCTATGCAGGAAAGCAAGAGGCTATAAAAACTTAGGTGTTAACTTAATCGACGGAGGAGCCAGAGGGGAGGCTGAAGAGGAAAAAGCCTATGCAAAGGCTCAGAGTAGCACTGAAATAAAATGCAGTGAGTGGGGCAATGCCCTGAGATGAAACGGAGAGGTAAGCAGCAGCCAGTCTACAATGGCTTTGCTGGTCAGGTTAAGGAGGCCCGGTCAGGTTAAGGGAAACCATTTATTTTAAGGGTGTGGTAAAGAAGTGAATGTAACATGACCAAATCTGCTATTTAGAAAGATCTAGTTACAGAAGGGGGACCAGCATGGCTATAAAATAACCACGTAGGAGACTGTCGAAATAGCAAAGGCAAGATGAATTCAAGAGATATTTAAAAGTAAAACCTCAAGACTTAACTGATGTATGAGGGGGTAGAAAGGTCAAAGAGGGGAGTATTAGAAGACACCTTGGTTTCTCAACTGTTTACTGGATGGATGGTGGTGCCAATTCTTAAAACAGGGAACATCAGAAGAGGACCAGGTCTGGATGGGGAAGATGGTGAGTTCAGTTTAGACGCCAGAGGAATTGGGAACTGAAGGACATGACCTTTTACACATATGTGCAACACTTAGATGAGCAAACTGGCAGAGAAAGGAAGAGACAACCAATCAAGAGAATCTGCATGTATTTCCCAGATAAGTTTTGAATTCAGGGTCAAAGTAAATAATTGTATGTAATTGTCATTCATCTTTAGGATACTATCTTCTCACAATATCATCTCACAAATCTACATTAAAGATCCCCACAATGGGTGGCAAGGACTGGGGACCTCTGCTCTTTTCACTGATCTAGCTAGTTGCCTTATGAGGGAATCAGACAGCTGATAAGATAAAAGCCAGATGTTTAGAAATGAATGCTTCACTAGAATAGGCTAAGAGAAGAGACTACCATGTTCCATATATGGATGAGTCCCTGAATAATAAGAGGAAAAAGGGAAGAATAATTCCCATTTTTCCTCATGGATGCTTCAAATTTCTAATGTCTTCTACACCTAATTAACTTGCGAGGTGCAAAATGGAAACAATGGCACATGTTCTTCATTTCCGTATTTAAAAAAATTTTCACTCACTCTGGATGGCTAGCAACCTAATGCACAGGACAATGTTGATGAGAATGAATGGGATCACGGATTTAAGCCACTAGATTAGGATTTAAAAAGTACAGCCTCTCTAGAGGCAAATCCAGAAGTATACAAATGATGTGGTGGTGGTACATCTCAAAGTGACTTTTTTGAGACAAAGTCTCACTCTGTCGCCCAGGCTGGAGTACAGTGGTATGATCTTGGCTCACTGCAACCTCTGCCTCCCAGGTTCAAGCAATTCTCATGCCTCAGCCTGCCAAGTAGCTGGGATTACAGGCGCATGCCATCACACCTGTCTAATTTTTTTCTGTATTTTTAGTAGAGACGGGGTTTCACCATGTTGGCCAGGCTGGTCTCAAACTCCCAACCTCAGGTGATCCACCCACCTTGGCCTCCCCAAGTGCTGAGATTACAGGCCTGAGCCACTGCACCTGGCTGTCAAAGTGACATATTTTATACCATATAACTAAGTCTCATGTTCAAATGACATGTTGTGAAACAGCATCACTCAAGCTAAATTACCCAATTAACTAAGATAATACATTGGCATTTAGCTCAGTGCTGGCAGATAATTAGCATTCAACAAATGTTACCATTCATTCCATGCTGCCACTGGGTCAAAATATAGTTTCCATATTGGCATAAATTATGCAAACTGTAAAGAGTCAATGAAAGAAAGGACTCCTATATAAATTATCTGGATTTTTTTTTCAAAAACGATGAATGATAAAAAGGGAAAGGCACTGTTAAAACTCAGCTTAAAATGTACTAGACAAAGTGTCATCACAGTGGGATTATGCTGTCAGGAAACATAACATATGTACATATGGTACTATATTTCAACATTAGGAGGAAAAAAACTATATCTAATGATCAAAGAAAAAAGGATATACTCACTTGTCAACTGAGCTTTGGATAATTTTTCACTACAGCTATAACCATGACTGCTTTGCTGTAGCTTTAGCCATTCCTGGGCTTGGAACAGGTAGAGTTTAGCTTCTTTTCCAACAGCTACTGCTATGTTGTTGATTCTGACACACAGAAGAGCATGGTCACCTTGACATTAAAACAAAAATCATCAACTAGTTTGGTCTTACATGAAACTGAGACATGAGGACAACTCAACACCTCTACTTACCAAAATGGAAATTTAAAAAGCACAATTCTTCTTAAATCTCGCTTAACTAGGTAAATCACATCATAATGAACACAACATTCAGAAGCAAGAGATTATTCAAATGAACGTGTGGTATTTCCTTGAAATTCAGCTGATAACTGATATTTCACTCAATAAACCGCAATATCTGGGGTATTTGAACAATTCACTGTATTAAAATTTTTGCCTCACTTTACAACCACTTCACATTTTATATTTTATTCATAATCTATAGAAATGTCCCACCAAAGTTTCTGTTTTTTAATATGACATAGGTGTTAATATTTAATTATACTCTTAATATAAAAAATAAACATAGCTAATAGCAGGAAAGTTTAAATGTATGTGTTCTGGGGTAGACATATTATACCTAAAACAAAATTTGGTATCTACGACTTTTACAAAAGAACTTTCAGGGGCTGGGCACAGTGGCCACACCCGTAATCCCAGCACTTTAGAAGGCCAAGGTGGGTGGATTCCCAGCCCAAGAGTTTGAGACCAGCCTGGGAAACAAAGTGAGATCCTGTTGCTATTTAAAAAAAAAAAAAATTAGCTGGGCTTGGTGGCTGAGCCTGTAGTCTCAGCTATTCAGAAGGCTGAGATGGGAGGATGGCTTTAGCCTAGGAGTCTGAGGCTGCAGTCAGCTTTGATTACACCACTGCACTCCAGTCTGGGTGACAGAGCAAAACTCTTTTTTTTTTGAGACAGAGTGTTACTCTGTCACTCAGGCTGGAGTGCAGTGGCGCAATCTCGGCTCACTGCAACCTCCACCTCCCAGGTTCAAGCGATTCTCCTGATTCTCCTGCCTCAGCTTCCTGAGTAGGAGTAGCTGGGATTACAGGCATGCGCCTCCACACCCAGCATCACCACATCCAGCTAATTTTTGTATTTTTAGTAGAGACAGCGTTTCACCATGTTGGCCAGGTTGGTCTTTTTTTTTTTTTTTAATTTATTTTTGAGACATATTCTCGCCCTATTGCCCAGGCTGGAGTGCAATGGCACGATCTCAGCTAACTGCAACCTCCGCCTCCCCGGTTCAAGCGATTCTCCTGCCTCACCCTCCCAAAATAGCTGGGATTACAGGCACCTGCCATCATGCCTGGCTAATTTTTATATTTTTATAGAGACGGGGTTTCACCATGATGGCTAGGCTGGTCTTTAACTCCTGACCTCAGGTGATCCACCCACCTCAGCCTCCCAAAGTGCTGGGATTACAGGTGTGAGCCACCACGCCCAGCCACCAGGTTGGTATTGAACTCCTGACCTCAAGTGATCTGCCCACCTCTGCCTCCCAAAGTGGTGGGATTACAGGCAGGAGCCACCCAACGAGTCTGGCTTCCTTTTTAAAAAAAAAGAACTTTCAGAATAATATATGTTGTAAGATGAATACAGAATGAACCTGGTTGCACACACCAACTACATTTAAGGCCCAGAACAGAAATGGCAGTAAGTTATTGCCTCTAGGGAAAGGGATTCTGGGTGAAAGAGCTAAGACAGGAGACTGTTTTTCATTTTAAGATCTTCTATTCTCCTGGAAATTTTTTTTCTATGCTTTTATTACTATAATTACCACTTTGATTAAACATTTTAAATATATTTAAATATACAGTATATATATCAAAGAATGTGCAAGTCTCTTACATAAATTGATTACATATTTTGAAGTCTTACAAGTGACTCTGAGGCCCAATTGACACTGTAAATTGCATTCCGAGTTACAGTTCATTGTTTCAGTATAGTTTTTGTATTATTATTTTACTGAATTGGGATTCATGAAAATTGGTAATAACTATATGTGATTTTACACATATG
The DNA here is from genome assembly GCF_000001405.40 of Homo sapiens. Lineage (NCBI taxonomy): Eukaryota > Metazoa > Chordata > Mammalia > Primates > Hominidae > Homo > Homo sapiens. Next base: position 94,603,478 of record NC_000013.11, on the reverse strand, counting down.
AAACAGAATGAACGCACTTGAAACACCTTATCCCCAATCTGTCTTGAGAAATCTGAATTTAGTACATGTTTCTCCTCCACGTTTACCAGATGATCATCAGGAACTATGAGGTCGTCCAAGTCTCTCTGCTGGTCCTAAGTAATAACCCACGTCTTCTATACATCCCACATTTTCCAACACTGTCCACATTGTGCCATTTAAGACAGTGGCTGTCAATACTCAAAGTATGGTTACAGTCCGTTGAATGAGAAACTCAAAATGTTACAAAAAATAATAAAATTGTTTCTAGTGTTTCTTCTTCATTCACCCAAAATATATTCCACATTGGATTTTGAAAAACTGGGTTACTGAAACTCCTTTTCTTAGCTATCTTAAAAACTTCAAAAAAAAAAAAAATCAGGATCCCTTCCCTTTATTCTGTCAATTCTGTAATTTCCCAATACTTTAAATTCCTTTTCTCACCAAAGTAGTTCCGTTTCTATTATCTTCTCCTAACAATATTTTCTAGGCCAATATTCTGATGTTCATCGTTGCATCTTTTAATGCTAAAGACTGTACAAATCAAAGTTCCTAATGTCATCAAGGCAAATAATTATTTGAAATACAGCACTAGTCAAATTAAGAGTACCAAGAAAAACACTTAAATTGTGAGAGTGCAAATGAGACCAAAATTAGAATGAATTGCAAATGCATTTATTGAAGGAATAATTACTGATTTTTGAGGAAGACCAAAAGGTCTGAAATCAAACGCAACTCTGATTTCAGAAGAGCCACACAGAACACAAATTAGGGAGCTTCCAAGATGCTACTTAAATGCATTTTCATCAGCTTAATTCTAGGCCTTACTGCCCATAGTAAATCTACTGCCCTAGTAGCCAAGTAACCAAACTGCTCAATATAACAACTACATTATCAAGTGTTTTACTTGGTTTCCAAAACCACTCTGTTGCAAGTAGGTCTCAGGAAATTGGTCTTTAAAAAAAAAAAAAAAAAAAAGGAAATTTAAGTTTCTAGGGTTAAATTCTCCCGTCACAGTGTGGCCGAGACAGGAAGGAGCAAATATGCTTCTTTGCGGGAAGGATCTGGAAAGATGCGGCCGACCAGTCTTTTGCACATTGGCTTCCAAGGGGAGGGTTGGGGAAATGGAAACCAGCTTTCAGGTGCGGAACACGATCACTAGTGGCGAGAGGCCGCTGCCTGGGGCTGGAAAGCCGCACCAGCGGGGTTGGCAAGGAACGCATCCCACCATTCGCGGCAGCTGCTGCAACGCTGGAGGTCCAGGTGAGGCTGGGGAAGTCGCCGGCCTCGCCCAACGTGGCAGGGAGGGGCCGGGAGGAGCGGCCGGCGGACTCAGCCGGCGGGATGGGCCAGCGCGCCTTCATCCCCCTCCCCGCCCCCAGACCTACCATGGAACTCGAAGTGGCCGATGCGCTGGCCCTGGGCGTCCTGGGCCGCGGTGCTGCTGAAGCTGCCCCGCAGGGTCTTACCCTGGCTGCCCTGCGGCCACCAGCAGCACGTGAGGGCCACAGCCAGCAGCCGCAGCCCCCCCATGCCCGTCTCCAGGTCTGCACCGACGCCTCGGCTCCCAGCCGCCGGCGGCTGCCCGCCCCACGTCGGCAGCTGGGGGAGGCGGGGTGGGCGCCGGAGACCTGCTGCTCTGGAGCCTGAGAGCCAATGAGGCGGGCTCCTCTGCCATAAGCCGAAGACATTCACCAGTCAGAGGCCGAAATGGGCGGGACGCGCAGATCCTAGCGTCCCATCAGTCCCCGGCTTTTGACTAGTTCCCGCCTTTTTCTTTAATGAGGAATCAGGAGGATGTTGCTTCAGGTTACGGAAAACTCATCTCCCTCCTCATTGCCTAGCACGTCTTGCTACTGAGCATGCGCGGGCGCGCTGGCACGAGTCCGCGGGGCCTTCGAAGGGCTTGTGGGATTCGGAAAAAACTTAAGAAATGCAGGACAGGACTGTTTCTGGCCGAGAGAGTTAAACTCCCGCAAAGAAAAAACTGTGTTCTTATGCAGATTTTCTTCCTTGGCGCCTGTATAACCTACAGGACGTGTCCGATTTAATGTCTCAAAGACACTTAGCTCCGCATGACCACAATTTAACGCATGCCTTCTCTTGGCATCTCCAGCCGATTTTTCCCTCCTAGGTTCTCTGGCTTCTCGAATTACATTACCCCCACCCCCACCCCCGCCCGCAGACCAGACCGCTGGGAATTGTAGGCCCCCCCCCCCCCGCAATTCAATCAATTCAATAACAAGTGTGGATTAGCCCTTCTTCTGGTGAGGGTGGGAAGCAGCGGCCACAGTCCTACTCAGTTCATCACTTTGTTGGCCTATGGCAAAGACCGTCTCTACAGTCTTCATTCTAATTGGCTACAATCCATCTCTACCCTACAGCCACAGAAAGCTGTAGGAAACAATTTGCTGCACTTGCCTTGAAAGGTTCTCAATTGCCTTTAGCACACAACCCAAACTCTAGAATATGGCTCTTCAACTCTCAAATGTCTGTTTTTTCTCATCTCCATCCTTACCGCCGTTGGTTTCCTGAACACTCCCAAGTTCTCCCTTCTAGGCCTATATCACTCCCTGATCCCTCTGGCTAGAATACTTCTGCTTATTCCAACACTGGACCTCCTCACCTTCCTTTTCCTCCTTTACTCCTCCTTCCCAAGGCACTTTAAGAAGCCTTTCTCAAACCCCTAAGTCTGTAGTAGATGCCCCTGGAACCAGAATCCCTTACTTCCCTACCAGAGCACTCACGCACTGTACTGTAAGTATCCATTCATGTGTCTGAAATCTCCGCCTCTATTGTCAGCTCCAGCTGGTCAGTGACTACACTTTTTTTTTTTTTGAGACGGAGTTTCACTCTTGTTGCTCAGACTGGAGTGCAATGGCGCGATCTCGGCTCACCTCAACCTCTGCCTCCCGGATTCAAGCGATTATCCCACCTCAGCCTCCCGAGAAGCTGGGACTGCAGGCATGCGCCACCATGCCCGACTAATTTTTTATTTTTAGTAGAGATGGGATTTCTCCATGTTGATCAGACTGGTCCCAAACTCCCGACCTCAGGTGATCTGCCCGCCTTGGCCTCCCAAAGTGCTGGGATTACAGGCGTAAGCCACCTTGCTGGCTATACCTGTCTTAATGAAAGTGAGGCAGGAGAATAGGGCCTGGGGTGAGGGAACCTAAGGCGTTTTTACACCGACTTTCTAGAACTATTAAAGGAAAACCCTAACTTTCCACCCTAAGTAACAAAAGGACCAGAGGCTATGCCCTTTGCAAATCCCCACCTTTTCTGTGAGGCAGATAAGAAATTGGCTGTCCCTACCCAGTCAGACTGATTGCCAGCTGAGTCTTCGTTTGCATAGAAGTGCAACTTTGTAACTCTGTAACATTGCTTTTTGCAACCAATCAGATGTTTGCACAGGAGTGTGACCTTTGTAACTCCACTTCAGCCTCTGATTCATTGCTTTCCCCAAGAATCAGACCTATTGGGGGCCACCACTTCATTTATATGAGGTGAGCTCCAAGTGGCCAATGGGAAACTTCTAGGGAGTATTTGGACCCAAGATGATTATGTGTCCAGGCCCTTCTGCGCTGTGTAGTTGCATTTTCTTTTTTTGAGACAGAGTATCACTCTGTCACTCAGGCTGGAGTGCAGTGGCACAATCTCGGCTCACTGCAACCTCCGCCTCCCAGGTTCAAGTGATTCTCCTGCCTCAGCTTCCAGCTGGAATTACAGGTGCACACCACCACACCTGGCTAATTTTGGATTTTTAGCAGAGACGGGGTTTCACTATGTCGACCAGGCTGGTCTCGAACTCCTGACCTCAAGAGATCCACCCACCTTGGCCTCCCAAAGTGCTGGGATTACAGGTGTGAGCCATCACGCCCGGCCATGTACTTTCATTTTCAATAAATCCCTGCTTTCGTTCTTTCGTTGCTTCATTCTTTTGTTGCTTCATTCTTGCCTTGCTTTGCTGTGCATTTTGTCCAATTCTTTGTTCAAAATGCCAAGAAACTGGACAACTTGCAGTCAAGACCCTCCACTGGTAACAAAAGTAGGAGCTCAAAATTATTTCATGAATAAATGTATATAAATTATTTTCATTTAACAACAAGCTTCTATAACATATAAGGAAGTTCTCATAACAGACCTCATCATTTAGAAAAAAAAAATATTGAGGAACCACCTCCTACCATATACACAGCATTTTCAGTATTTCTGGCTGACCAGGAATATGCTGGAAGTATTAATATTTTCGGATTTTTTAAAAAAAAACTGCGGCCGGGCGCGGTGGCTCACGCCTGTAATCCCAGCACTTTGGGAGGCCAAGGCGGGTGGATCATGAGGTCAGGAGATCGAGACCATCCTGGCTAACAAGGTGAAACCCCGTCTCTACTAAAAATACAAAAAATTAGCCGGGCGCGGTGGCGGGCGCCTGTAGTCCCAGCTACTGGGGAGGCTGAGGCAGGAGAATGGCGTGAACCCGGGAAGCGGAGCTTGCAGTGAGCCGAGATTGCGCCACTGCAGTCCGCAGTCCGGCCTGGGCGACAGAGCGAGACTCCGTCTCAAAAAAAAAAAAAAAAAAAAAAAAAAAAACTGCAAGGATTCTTTATTATGCAAGTAATCCATGTGTCTCAGAAAAAAATTCACAGTCAAAAGTATATAAAGTGGGCTGGGCGCAGTGGCTCACGTCTGTAATCCCAGCACTTTGGGAAGTGAGGTGGGTGGATCACCTGAGGTCAGGAGTTCAAGACCAGCCTGGCCAACATGGTGAAAACTCATCTCTACTAAAAATACAAAAACTAGCCAGGTGTGGTAGCATGCGCCTGTAATCCCAGCTACTTGGAGGCTGAGATGGGAGAATCGCTTGAACCTGGGAAGCAGAGGTTGCAGTGAGTCAAGATTGTGGCACTGCACTCCAGGCTGGGCAACAGAGCGAGACTGTCTCAAAAAAACAAAAGTATATAAAGTAAAAATTAAACTCCCCATTTCCTCCTTTCCCTGCCCATATCTCATCCCTAAAGGTAACTTATTTTAAGAGTTTAGGGTCAATCCTTTCAAGTAAGCCACAAATACCACAAATATATGTGGTATTACAAATACCACAAATATATGTGGTATTTGTAAACCAAGGACAGGAATAAAACTGGTCCTGAAGAGAAATCATAACACAGGCCTTGAATGTTAGGCCTTTCCTATCTTTTCTTTCTTCTCAATCAACTTTGTTTTTCTCACTGTGAAGACAGGCTTTCTGGCTCCTCACTTTGAAAGAACATGGCCACCAAAAAGTTCCAGCTTTGTAGGACCTCAGAGTTCAAGTAGAGTAACCAGACTATACTAGCACCTTAGTCGAATTCTAAATCCCAAGAAGAGGCTTCAGTTGGCCTAGAGTCAGCCAGATTTCATTCTGTGGCCTGCCTGGGTCAACTTGGGGAGATCATAAAGGACAGTGGGGGGAGGAGTCTGGTCAGAAAAAAACTGTACGTATCGACTGCAATATATTTTGGTCTTCATTCCATGTTGGTATATTCTTTTTAAAGGCTATATAGCAGTTTACTGCATTTTAAAAGTTAGAAGACATTATACACATTTAGATTATTTCCAGTGTTTCATTATTGCAAGCAATACAGCAATGAACAATTATCTATATTATACATCATGGAATTTGAGGGGGTCATAGAATATGAACATTTGAAATTTTCATATGTTTTACCACTTTGCCTTGTAAAAAGGTTGTGGTATGATTCTTCCACATATACACCTGTACTGGATGTTTCCATTCGTTTTCAGCTTTGCCAAACATTATGGTGGGGAAAAAAAGATATTTATCTATTCGACAATATTTAATGGTCATTTATTCTGTGCCAAGTCTCTAAGGACATGCGATTACAGCAGAAAACAAAACAAAGCCCCTGACCTCATGGAACACTAAACAGAGGGCAGTGACATCAATGTAAATGTTGAGTGCTAGGAAGAAAAATAAAGAAGGATAAGATGATTCGGCAGGGTTGGGCAGAGCTCGCTATTTTAATTGTGGTGGTCAATAGGATGCCATTCAAGCTGAAAACGGAAGTAAGGGTAAAAACTAGGCAGACATCTGGGGAAAGACAATCAAGGTCCCGGGGAAGTAGCATGCCTGGCACATTGAATGAAGAGCAAGGAGGGTGGGGAGGCTGGGGCGGAGTGAGCAAAGGAGAGAATAGAATAAGACATCAGCGTAGGACCTAGGGAATATCTTTATCATGATTGCAAGCCTTCTGCGCTGTCTGTAATAATAATATTATTATTTTTTGAGACGGAGTTTTGCTGTTGTTGCCCAGGCTGGAGTGCGATGGTGCGGTCTCGGCTCACTGCAACCTCTGCCTTCCGGGTTCAAGCAATTCTCCTGCCTCGGCCTCCCAAGTAGCTGGGATTACAGGCGCCCGCCACCACGCCCGGCTAATTTTTGTATTTTTAGTAGAGACAGGGTTTCACCATGTTGGCCAAGCTGGTCTCGAATCCTGACCTCAGGTGATCCGCCCACCTCGGCCTCCCAAAGTCCTGGGATTACAGGCGTAAGCCACGGCGCCCGGCCTGAAATAATATTAACAACAGCAAAAGATCATTTTGCAGGCCAGGCACGGTGCTCACGCCTGTAATCCCAGGACCTTGGGAGGCTGAGGCGGGAGGTTGGCTAGATCCCAGGAGTTCGAGACCAGCCTGGACAACAGGGCGAAACCCATCTCTACCAAAAATTAGGCGGGCGTGGTGGCGCACGACTGTATTCCTAGCTACTCAGGAGGCTGAGGTGGGAGGATTGCTTGAGCCCCATTGGTCGACGCTGCAGTGAGCCGTGATCGCACCACTGCACTCCAGCCTGGGTAACAGAGGGAGACCCTGTCCCCGCCCCACTAAAAAAAAAAATCATTTTTAAATTGCAACCTCCCATCTCCATCTGCAACAACTCCCCGTTCTCAGCTCAACTGATAGGTAACCTCTAGAGATGGCTGTAGTACAAGAATGAAAAAAGGTACTCATTCATAAATCTGATCCATAGTGGTGGCATTTCCGGGAAAAACGTTCCATACCCCTACCATCCGGGCGACCCCAATTGCACCTGGCGGACCAGGCAAGGGCGGAAAGGAGCAGCGCCTGCGCGTGGTGAGCGCGGCCCCGCCCAGCCCGCTAGTGGGCGGGCAGAAACTGGCCACAGAGCAGTCTCCGGAAGCTGCCTCTGGCTGCTCTGTTAACGTGTCCCGCGAGCGAGGCGCGTCGCAAAAGGTCGCGGCGGAACTTCCCTGCGCTTTTCAGACCATACTCTTTACGGTACTAGGCACTGCTGAGCTGGGAGATGTCGGCGGCGTGTTGGGAGGAACCGTGGGGTCTTCCCGGCGGCTTTGCGAAGCGGGTCCTGGTGACCGGCGGTGCTGGTTTCATGTAGGTAATGGCGCCGCTAGCCAAGCAGTGGCTCCCCAGAAACCCCTACCTTTTCCCGCAGCTCTGCTTGCCCTAGGTAATTTGGGTCCAGCTTTGAGGGGTCCTTATTCTGATATGGGGAGGGTCCTAATGCACGACCTGGACCAGCTTTTCTCTCTCTGGCCTGCAAAGAAGTGGTTCCTTTGAAACTGACTTCTTTAAAACGCCTCTTCCAAAGCTGCGTTACTCTCCGCCCTTCTGTGGCCGGAGGTGCTCACCATGTCACTCCTTGAGTGCGTGCAAGTTACCCTAAGCTGCTCACCGACTGCTTCCCACCTCCAGCCTAGAGCACCCACACCCCACGATGGGCCCTGTACATATAGGCACCCCCAAAACGATTTAAGGACTATAATAGGACATCTATGTAATCAGCAAACTTTTACAAATCCACTGTTGACACCCTTTTCTTCCTCAGACCCACATTCGAGCAGCAAGTCCTCTCTACTTCCAAAGTATATCCTTACGGCGACCACTTCTCACCAGTTTCCCGTTTCCACCCTAGCCCATGTTTACTGTCATCTTTTGCCTCGACTGCTGCTGTAGCCTCTTGGTTGGCCATAACTGCGTCCACTCATGTTCCTTTAAAGCCTGTTGCTCACATACAAGTCAGTGTTTCTTAAGTCAATCAGATCATGGTAGAAGCAGGATTTTACTTCAGTGGTTCCTGCCACACTTAAGAATAAAGCCCAAACTCTACCATATCTAGAAAACTCAAGTGCCCAAGCCCTACTTTTGCAACCTGATCTGCTTTTCTGTACCTGCCATGCTTCCCCTCTTAGTTCTTGGAACACACCAAGATACACACTTCTGTCTTGAGGCCTTTGCACTTGCTTCCCCTTTCCTTAGGCTGTTTGCACCACTCAATTCTGGTTTTTATTCAGATAGCACCTCAGAGAGTTCTTACCTGACCACCATATCTAAAATAGCCCCTCTCCCAACTAGCACACTTAACCTCTACCTGAAATTATATTGCGGATTTGTGTCTGCTTGTTTATTGCTTGTATCCCCACTCTAAAATGCAAACTCGGTAAGGACAGAGACTACTGTTCATTCAGCACCTGGAAGAATGCCTGGCCCATTCTATATAAGTCTTTAGTAATTGTGGAATGGATGAATGCAAGAGTAATAAACAGGAAACTCTCCTATCCTCCCCTCAAGGAACTCAGTGGCTAGTGGAAGAAGTGGGAATGTGAGGATTCCTGTTTATGGCCATTTGCACATTAAATCACCCCTTCTAATCCGACAAGTCATTTGGGGGAGAGCATCAGGCTGGCAAGTTTCACTTAATGAGAAAGAGGACTATGGACATGAAAGGGTGATACTTGTGTGAGAGTGCGGGTCCAGGAAGGGTGCGACTTAGAAAGTGCTGTGAAAGGAATGCCGAATACAAACTTCAAGTTCATAATTTGGTCAAGGGCTCCCCTCTCCTGGGAGCCCAACATTTTAAGTATACATGGTAAATCTGGTAGATCATTTCACTGAGATATGCCTGTGATTCCCCTTTAGGGTCCTCTGAAGCCCAGGACCCACTGTGGATATCCAACTCAGAATGGTTTCAGCTGTTATTAGCCTGGGAATCCTGGGTTTAGTCTAGAAGCCTCCTGAGGATTCTGGTTTAACATTACCAAAATCTTATACCAAGAAATAGCAATTGCAGAAGTTACTATTAAATATAGACAACTGACTATACTCATAGTAATTTCATTTTTACATACTTATATCTGCAGTTCCTGAAAAGGCATGCTATAGGCATGTACAGTTGTGCTGACTAGCTCCCATTTATTGTTCCACTTTACTCGATACTTGTACCTGTATGGATGGCATCGTTTGGTTAAACTGACTTTTTTCCCTATACCCAGAACCAGTACATTCTCTCTTCTGCATAGTCTAAATGGAATGTAAAACTTTTGTTTATAGATACTGTTGAGAAGTTTGGTAAAAAGTTTGCATGTGTGTATATTTAGTGTAGTTATGTTTTCTGTTATCTTAGAAAAAATTAAAGTTATCTTTGAGTATTTTCCTAGTACTCAACACCTTAGGAAAATATTCAAGAGTTTAGGGAAGTTAAAGTTTTTCACTAACAAGATATACTTTTTTTCCATAGTGCATCACATATGATTGTCTCTTTAGTGGAAGATTATCCAAACTATATGATCATAAATCTAGACAAGGTGAGTTTTATAAAAATGAGCATCATGCACTGAAATTACATTTCAATTTATGTTTTCTAAAAGTACTAGAATCTTGTCATGCTGATATTTAAATTTTTTATTTAGTCATTTTAGCAATTCAGAGGCTCTGTATAGTAATGTGCTCATGCTGTATTTAATCTTATATAAAAGTTTTTGAAACCTGCATTTCTTATGTTGGTCCACAAAATAAAGTTTTTGTTTTATTTTGTTTTTTTCAGTTGCTACTTTGCAAATGGACTTTTTGGATTTTCATTCAAAAAAACTATAAGAAAAATTCATAAGGCAATTTGGTGATTATAAGCCTTAATTGGATTTTTTTTCTATTTTTTAATTGACATATCTTAGTTGTACTTGTTATGGGGCATATGGTGATGTTTTGATACATGTATACAATGTGTAATGATCAAATCAGGGTAATTGGGACATCCATCATAAGAAGAACCCTTAACTCTTATGAAGCTTTGCCTGACTTGCTATTATGGACAGGAATTTTTTCTGTATCACCAATATACCAACAGTTTGAGGAATAGGTATAATGAATTATAATATGTATAACACAGGTGTAATTATTTTCAATCACTAATTCCTTTTCTGTAAGAAATGGTAAACTTTTCTAGCCACCAGTGGCTACAGGCAAATTTTGGCATGAACATTTTTTTTTTTCTTTGAAATGGACTCTCACTCTGTTGCCAGGCTGGAGTGCAGTGGCACAATCTCAGCTCACTGCAACCTCCACCTCCTGGGTTCAAGCGATTCTCCTGCCCCAGCCTCCTGAGTAGCTGGGATTACAGGCACATGCCACCAAGCCCAGCTAAATTTTGTATTTTTAGTAGAGATGGGGTTTCACGATGTTGGCCAGGATGGTCTCAATCTCTTCACCTGTGGTCCGCCCTCCTCAGTCTCCCAAAGTGCTGGGATTACAGGCATGAGCCACCACCCCCAGCTAGGAACATTTTTTAAAGTAGAGATTTATGAAAAGGTTTTTGTTTTGTTTTGTTTTTTGGTACTTTGAAAAGGTAACAATTACTTGTTTTTTACTTTTAAGATGTCAGAAACTTAAAATGTGTAAAAACAGGCTGGGCTCACGCTTGTAATCCCAGCACTTTGGGAGGCTGAGGCAGGCGGATCACAAGGTCAGGAGGTCAAAACCATCCTGGCTAACATGGTGAAACCCTGCCTCTACTACAAAATACAAAAAATTAGCCGGTCCATGGTGGCGGGTGCCTGTAGTCCCAGGTACTTGGGAGGCTGAGGCAGGAGAATGGCGTGAACCTGGGAGGCGGAGCTTGTGCTGAGCAGAGATTGCGCCACTGCACTACAGCCTGGGCAACAGAGTGAGACTCCGTCTCAAAAAAAAAGTAGTGTAAAGACAGGGAGCAAACACACTTTAAGAGGACATGTTCTTGTATTGTAACCAGTAACATCTGTAGTCTTTAAAATAAATTGGTATTTGATTGGAAAAGCTAATGTCACTTTTTGTGTTGCCCCTTCTGTGCTCTCTTCTTTCAAGCTGGATTACTGTGCAAGCTTGAAGAATCTTGAAACCATTTCTAACAAACAGAACTACAAATTTATACAGGTATGAACATTTTCTTGTAACTGTACCGTGCCTCTTTAGTCATGCAGAGATTATAGTATCTTTGTACTTTACAAACTTGTGTAATGTGGGCTTGAAAAGAACACTAATTAAAGACCTTTTAAAAGATCAGGTAGTTAATTTCCAAAAGTACCATGTGCTCTAGAGGATACTACTTTTGATTGACAACACATAAAAAGCTACATGTGATTTTTGGTACCTTTGAGATCTACCAGTAGCTGACTGAATTCACATGGTTTGTATTTTAGTTCCTCCCTAGTCTTTCCCTATGAAGGTTGATTGACTCTGGAAGTCTCACTTTTAGACAAGTCCAAAGTATAAGCCACAGGACCAGTTCATTAATTTGCAAAGGGAAATGTTATTGTCAAATGAAACTATTTAACTTATGTATTTTTTAAAGTTATTCTATAAACTCTCTTTTTAACTACAAAACTTAAAGAATATACTAACAACCATTTCATAATTCTATTCTGTGTGAAAGTGTTTTCTTCAGCTACTGAAGAATTGTCGAGAATACATATTTTTAGAATAATTAAATGTACATATAAACATTAGAAGTACCATAATTTTACTTAATTGTGATAAAATGTGTTTTCAAAATATCATTCCAGTTGTTACAGTATATTTTTTCGAGACAGAGTCTGCTCTGTCACCCAGGCTGGAGTGCAGTGGCGTGATCTCAGCTCACTGCGACCCCTGCCTCCGGGGTTCAAGCAATTCTCCTGCTTCAGCCTCCCGACTAGCTGGGATTACAGGCGCCTGCTACCATGCCCAGCTAATTTTCATATTTTTAGTAGAGATGGAGTTTCACCATGTTGGCCAGGCTGGTCACAAACTCTGGAGCTCAAGTGATCTGCCCGCCTCAACTTGCACCTCACTTTGGTGCAGGGATTACAGGCGTGAGCCACCACACCCAGCCTAAGATATATTTTAATAATGGTTATCTGAAAGGTTTTTTAAAAAGTGCTAAAAAAAGTTTTGTATTAATATAGTGGCCTTGGGTTGGCAAAAATGTTGCGGACAACACTAGCATGGTACTTAGTAGTTGTTGGTGCTCATTAAAATATTATTTGGAAAAATAGTTTGAATTGAATATCTAATATCCTAAGATGCTGGAGAAATACATCATTGGTATCCTTGTTTGAGCACTTAGTTGAATTTTCAAGGCATTCTCTATTAAACAGGGAGGTGGGAGGTAGGGGGATGCTATAGTAAAAATGGTTATGAATGAGAGTGCTGTATGAAACCTAGGCCCTTTCATGTTTGCTTTTTCATATAGGGTGACATATGTGATTCTCACTTTGTGAAACTGCTTTTTGAAACAGAGAAAATAGATATAGTACTACATTTTGCCGCACAAACACATGTAGGTAAGCATTGTTTTATGTTACAGTTATGATTGGCAGTTCTCTCCCCGCCCTCGCCCCCCTAATACTTATATTTGAAAGAGGATATATCATACTGTACTAGAAAAACAAGCCCACGGTGACTGTGTTATCCATAAACTCAGCACTTTTTAGATACTTTTATTAGCATTGCAAGGCTATATTAGTGAAATACAACCTTGACTGCTGTCTGAAAACTTGAGTTTAACCAATTCAGGATAGTGAAGGGGAGCAACGGGGAGATGGGCCGTCAACTGTATTTTTTATGTTGTTTTTCTTAAATTTTGTTGTGGGTATGCAGATGGACATTATTTATATCATTTTATGAATTTTAGATATTTTCTAATAATTTGACAGTTTTATTATGAAATATAACATATTCAAAAGCATTTAGAAATAGTTAAATAATGATAATGGAGTACCCATGTATCTGTCACCTGAACAAAAGACAGAATGTTGCTGAATCCTCTTCAGTAGTAAATATTACTGCTGCCTATTACCAGATTTAAAGTTATAATTTCCTTTGCTTTTGTCTACACTTTTGTTGTCTGTATATTTATCCCTAAACAATACAGCTTAACTTAGGGTGTTTTTAAATATATGTATATTTAATATTATATATATAAATATACTTAATATATGTTAAATATATATTTTATATATATATATAATGATATGTAGAGTTTTTTTTGTTTTTTCAAAATCGATGTAGATTAATCCATGGAGTTGGATATAGATACAGTTTGTTTGTTTTCAGTGTCATAATATTCCAGTCTAAAAATACATATATACACATACACTGTAGTAGTTTACTTAATATACTTTATTCTTGATGGCCATTTGGGTTCTTTACACTTTGGAGCAATTTTGAGCACTACTACCTTGAACATGTATCATGATACATAAGTATACATTACATTTGGCTATATAACAGATCATAAGATCTGCATACTTCACGTTGAGATAATGTCAAAACATGTTCCAAAGTAATTATACCAACTTCCACTCCTCCAGAAGTGTGTGACTTCCTGTTGCTCCAGATATCACCAAATCTTAGTTTTGTCAGTCTTTCCATTTTTGCCAATTTCAGTGCTGTGTAGTGGTTTCTCATGTTTCTAATTTGTATTTTCCCTGATTACTAATAAGATTAAGTACTTTTCATATGATTTTTTGTAATTTGGATTTCTCCTTTATGAAATGCTGTTGAAATCTTTTGTCCATTTTGGCCGGGAGCGGTGGCTCACGCCTGTAATCCCAGAACTTTGGGAGGCTGAGGCGGGTGGATCACGAGGTCAGGAAATCGAGACCATCCTGGCTAACACGGTGAAACCCCTTCTCCACTAAAAGTACAAAAAATTAGCCGGGCGTGGTGACAGGCGCCTGTAGTCCCAACTACTCGGGAGGCTGAGGCAGGAGAATGGCGTGAACCCGGGAGACAGAGCTTGCAGTGAGCTGAGGTTGCACCACTGCACTCCAGCCTGGGTGACAGAGAGACTCCATCTTAAAAAAAAAAAAAAAGAAATCTTTTGTCCATTTTAAAATGGGATTGTTTACCTTTTTCTCATTGAAAGAGAAGTTTCAATGAGAAAAAATGGCAAGTAGAGTTTTTATATATTCAGGACACTAGTTCTTTATCATTACATATGTTACAGAGCCTTCTCTGTATGGCCTATCTTCTCACTTTTTTGACAGTGTGTTTTGATGAACAGATGTTTTCAATGTATGTTTTTTCCTTTATGCTTAATGCTTTTTCAGTTCTTAAATTCTCTCCTACCCCAAGGTCACGAAGATGTATTTTTGTATATTATCTTTTCAAAGCTTTATAATTTTGTCTTTTATGTTTAGATTTGTAATCCATCTGAAATTAATTCTTATATAACCCCAATTTCATGTTTTTCCATGTGAATACCAATTGTTCCTGTACCATTTATTGAAAAGTTCACCAGTTTCTGCCCTCCGTCATATCAAGTTTATTTTTGTATCTCTGTCTCTCTTCATTTATTTGTCTCTGCCTGTCTGATTACGCACTATATTGACGAATACAATGATTTCATGTCTGTTAAAGCAAGTCCTTCTACTTGGTTAATGATAAAAGCAGTTGTGCACTTCTACCAGCAATTTATGAGATGCTTGCCAACACTTGCTGTGTCAATTTTGTGGTTTTATTTTTCCCTGATGAAGTTAAAAACCTTTCCATTTGTTTATTGGACTATTCTCCCTCTCTTTGTTAGTATATCCTCTTTGGAAAATTTCCATTTAAGTTTCGTGACCATTTCCTATTAGGTTGTCAGTTTTTTCCTTATAGATTTTTATAAGTCCTTTATGTATTTTGGATCCAAGCCTTTTGCAGCTACCTTTTTTTCAGTCTGCTTTGCCTTTTTGCATTCTTTTTTTTTTTTTTTTTTTTTTTTTTTTTGAGACAGAGTCTCGCTGATTGCCCAGGCTGGAGTGCAATGGCATGATCTCAGCTCACTGCAACCTCCGCCTCCCAGATTCAAGCGATTCTCCTGCCTCAGCCTCCTGAGTAGCTAGGATTACAGGCATGCGCCACCACGCCCAGCTAATTTTGTATTTTTGATAGAGATGGGGTTTCACCATGTTGGCCAGGCTGGTCTTGAACTCCCAACCTCAGACGAGCCACCCTCCTCAGGTGATCCACCCGTCTCAGCCTCCCAAAGTGCTGGGATTACAGGCGTGAGCCACCACGCCCAGCCTTTTCCCGTTTTCAATGGTGTCTTATTATTAGTGAAAGTTCTTAATTACAATGTGGGTTAATTTATCTTTACCTTTTTCTTTAGGGGTAGTGCTCTTTCTGTCTCTTTTTTTTTTTTTTTTTTTTGAGATGGAGTGTCTTGCTCTGTCACCCAGGCTGGAGTGCAGTGGCGCAATCTCGGCTCACTGCAAGCTCTGCCTCCTGGGTTCATGCCATTCTCCTGCCTCAGCCTCCCGAGTAGCTGGGACTACAGGCGCCCGCCACCACACCCGGCTAATTTTTTGTATTTTTAATAGAGACGGGGTTTCACCGTGTTAGCCAGGACGGTCTCGATCTCCTGACCTCGTGATCCACCCGCCTCAGCCTCCCAAAGTTCTGGGATTACAGGCGTGAGCCACCGCACCCGGCTCTGTCTTGATTAAGAACTCATTTCCCACCTCCAAGGTCATGGACATGTTGTCTTATAATTCTTTTCTTAAAAGTTATTGTTTTTCCTTTTACATTTAGATTTCTTCCCCATACCCATATCAATTTGACTCAAAATCATTTATTGAAAAGACTTGACTTTTCCTCATTGTCAGTTTTGTCATGGGTCAAATGTTTATATACGTATGCTTTTGTTTCTCGGCTCTATTCAATTCTGTTGGTCTTTGTCTGTGCTTATACTATTATCACACTGTCTTAATTACTGTAGCTTTATAATAATTCTTTATACCAGCAAAGCAAACCTCCCACCCTGTTGTTCCAAAAAACAACATTTGACATTTGACATTGTTGTTCCAAAAAAACAATCTTTGACATTGTTGATCTTTTCTTATGCGTGTTTGTTTTCTATATAATGAATTTCTGGTCTTACCTTTATTATTTCATTATTTCTACTTTGTTTAGGCTTACTTTCTATTCTTTTTTCTAATCTTTGTGATATATTTAGCTTATTAATTTTCACGTTTTCTCTAATGTATGCATTTTAGACTATAAATTTACTTCTAAATACTGGTTTATCTGAATCCTACAGGTTTTCATATGTATTTTTTCATTATCTTTTAAGAGTTTGATTTCTTGCTGGGTGCAGTGGCTAACACCTGTAATCCTAGCACTTTGAGAGGCCAAGGCAGGCGAATCACTTGAGCCCAGGAGTTCCAGACCAGCCTGGGCAACATGGTGAGACCCTGTCTGTACAAAAAATAATAATAAAAAATAAAGCCAGGCATGATGGCATGTGCCTGTAGTCCCAGCTACTTGGGAGGCTGAGGTGAGAGGATCACTTGAGCCCAAGAGGTGGCGGTTGCAGTGAGCTGAGATCGCACCCCTGCACTCCAGCCCGGGCAATAGAATGAGACCTTGTCTCAAAAAAAAAAAAAAAAAAAAAAAAATAATTTGATTTCTTCTCTCATCCGTGGGTTACTTAGACACGTATGTCTTAATTTCCAAACATGTATGGGTTTTCTTGTTCTTATGGAATTCTAGCTTAATTGTATGTGATTAGATAACGTACTCTATGATTGTAGTCCTTTATGCTACGACTTGCTTTTTGGTTCAGTATATGGTCACTTTCCGTAAATCGTGTGTGTATTGAAAAGAATGTTAACTTGCAAACATTGGGTCCATTGTTCTTTACACATCCATTAGGTTAAGTTGGTTAATGATGTTCTTTAAATCTCTTGTATATTTCTGGTGAATTGAACCTTTTATACTTATGAAGTGATCTTTTTTCCCCGGTGATGTGTACTGCTTTAAAATCTATTTTGTTTGACATTAATATAGCTGTGTTACTTCCTTTTTGGTTAGTATTTTCATGATACTTTTTCCATCTTTTTATTTCCAAACTTTCTCTAGTTTTATGGGTTAGCTGCATGTCTTGTAAACAACATGTATTTGGATTTTGATTTTTTTAAACCCATTCTGACCCTCCTCGGCATTTGCCCTCAGTGTTTAGTTTGTTGCTGTATTTGGATTTATTTCTACCATCTTACTGTACGCTTTCTTTTCCCACCTGTTCTGTTTCCTTGGTTGCTGCTTACTTTTTTTAAAAAAAAGAATTATTCCTTTGTAAAAAATTGTTTATTTTAAAAAACTGCTTGCTTGCTTTTTTTAAGGATTTGACTGAGGAATTTTTCTTATTCTCTTTTTCTCCCTCTACTAGTTTGGAAATTATATGTTCTGTTTGTACTCTTGGAGTGGTTACTCTACAAATTACAGATGTGTAATTAGCTTATCAAAGTGTAAAGTTCATCAAAACCTTTGCCCTCTTCCTATTTAATTTCCAACTCCATTTTTAGCTATTTTTAACTCAGTTTTTATCTGGATTTTTTTTTTTTTTTTTTTGAGACAGAGTCTTGTTCTGTCACCTAGGCCAGAGTGCAGTGTTGTGATCTCGGCTTACTGCAACCTCTGCCTCCCAGGTTCAAGCAGTTCTCGTGCTTCAGCCTACCAAGTAGCTGGGATTACAGGCGTGTGCCACCACGCCCGGTTTATTTTTTTGTATTTTGAGTAGAGACGGGGTTTTGCCATGTTGGCCATACTAGTCTCAAACTCCTGACCTCAGGTGATCCACCCACCTGGGCCTCCCAAAGTGCTGGGATTACGGGCATTAGCCACCATGTCCTGCCTGGAATTTTAAATTGATCTTATTTTATTTTGTTTTTTTATTTCCACTAGATGACATTATTACTATTTTATATAGTCAGTAGTCATTATATTAGGGGTTTACAAAATGATATCCTAATTATGTCATTCTTCATTTATACCTGGAATATCTACATAAAAAGAAGTTTTCCAGCCAGGCGCAGTGGCTCACGCCTGTAATCCCAACACTTTGGGAGGCTGAGGTAGGTGGATCACCTGAGGTCAGGCGTTCAAGACCAGCCTCGCCAACATGGTGAAACCCCATCTCTAAAATACAAAAAAGTTAGCTGGGCGTGGTAGTGGGCACCTGTAACCCCAGCTACTCGGGAGGCTGAGACACAAGAATGGCTTGAATCTGGGAGGCAGAGGTGGCAGTGAACTGAGATTGCGCCACTACACTCCAGCCTGGGCAACAGAGAGAGAGAGAAAAAAAAAAAGTTTTCCTTATACATTATTTGGTTACCTTGAGATTTAATTGTTATGGAAAAGCCAGGTTAAGTGCCTGATTATTTTTATTTATTTAGTAGATTTTACTATAATGAGTTGGTTTCCAAGCATCCTCATTTTTCTTTTTTCTTAATATTGCTATGAATTTGTAGATTTTAACACATTTGATTTTGTTTGTTTTAATCATTTGCAGTTATTTTTCTTATTTATGTTCAAAATGACTCACCATTAGCCATTGAGAGGCTCTTCTAGTTGCTTCCTGAGTCCTTTTTGACATGACCTTAGCAGTCTTTGACAACCATCTAACTTTCTGGTTTGATAGGATGTTTCAGTTTTATCTTCAATGTTTTTCCCCCTAGATCTGGAATCAGCCCTTTCTGTCAGGAGCCATTGTTCCTTTTGGTGGGAAATGGTGTTTAGAGGCCACAGTCTGGGCACTGGGAGTGCTTATTAACTGATTGGACATTGTGTCAAGGCTTTTTCAGTTAACAAAACTAGGGAATATTATTTGCCTATTTACTTAAGATTAAATATGACATGGGTTTATACTGAAATGTCCAATCCGCATTGAGATTTTTTGTTTAAGTTCTTCAGTCTTTCATTTATATCATCTTTTCCATACCCTGAACACCTTGGTTCTCAACAGCACCATCCTAATTACTCATTTACTTTATTCCAAAACACACAGTGAGTCCACATTTCTTCTTTTAAGGACACCAGGTAGATCGGATTAGGACCCATCCTAAAGACCTGATTTTCACTTAATCACCTCCTTAAGAGCCCTATCTCCAAATATAGTCACATTCTGAGGTTCTGGGGGAAGGGGTTAGGCCTTAAGATGAATTATGGGGAGAACACAGTTTAGCCCATAACTCTGGGTTAGAGGGAAATGCCTATGTAATTTGACTAGATATTTCCAAGTTTCCTTCCTTAGGGAATTGTAAACATTTTACATCATCATTGTCAGTGTACAAAGTGTCTTTTGCCTAACAGCCTCAACAACTAAGTGATTTGTCAACTTTTTGAATTTTTGCCAGTCTGGTAAGTAAGAAGTGGTATCTCTGAGTTTTTAATTTGGGTTTTTCTTACTGTAAGTGACATTGATCATCGTAATCTTAAGGACCCATTTATATTTCTTCATCTAAACTGTTTATGTCTCCTACCTGTTTTACTATAGGATTGTTCTTAATTTATTTAAAGTTCTTTATAAATTGACGATACTAACCCTTTATCTCTGTAATTTCACATGGTTTTTCCCAGTTTGTCATTTTTGTCTTTTTAATTTGTTTTTAGTTTTTTAACCATGCAAAATTTTTATATGGTCAAATTTATCATCCTCTTCCATTATTGCTTCTGGATTGTGATTCATCATTAAGGAAGTTCCTTCCGTTTCCTGGTTATAGAGGTTCAATTCTTGTAAGGTGAATTTATGTTTAAATAACTCATTCAGCATTTATTGCTTTCAGCAGTAACAGATTGATCTTAAAAAGCCTATCCCTGTAATTCATAATTTTTTTTAATTTAAAAACATTTTAAATTTTCATGTATTATTTTTAAATTTTCTTCCTTATAGAATAAAAAACTTTCCTGCAAATTTAACATTAGTTTTCTGGGTTCTGAGAATTTACATGTACTATGTAATTTAGG
Source organism: Homo sapiens (assembly GCF_000001405.40). Lineage (NCBI taxonomy): Eukaryota > Metazoa > Chordata > Mammalia > Primates > Hominidae > Homo > Homo sapiens. Next base: position 94,583,405 of record NC_000013.11, on the reverse strand, counting down.
TTTAAAGAAATCATAAATATGACTGCCTGTGTATGTTATTATTATAACTCTTGCAGCTGTGGTAAATGAAGAACAGTGACTAGTACTCTCCTTAAACCTGAGTCCATCATTTGGCATTTGTTTTATCCGTTGGGTAGACTTGTTTTAGCTTTTCACTCTTTTCTTTTAGATCTTTCATTCGTACGTGCCTTTGAGTTTACCTATGTTAATGTTTATGGCACTCACGTTTTGGTAAGTGCTGCTCATGAAGCCAGAGTGGAGAAGTTTATTTATGTCAGCACAGATGAAGTATATGGTGGCAGTCTTGATAAGGTGAGCTTAGAAAATGTATATTTTACCTACTTAACCATGTACCATGATACAGTTTTATTAAACCTACACTGGGCTTTTTTCATCCTCAAATTATATACACTTGTGGCACTCTTCAGAGTGTATTAGGGTTCTCTAGAGGGACACAACTAATAGAATAGATATATAAAGGGGAATTTATTAAGTATTAACTCACACGATCACAAGGTCTCACAATAGGCCATCTGCCAGCTGAGGAGCAAGGAGAGCCAGTCTGAGTCCCAGAATTGAAGAATTTGGAGTCAGATGTTCGAGGGCAGGAAGCATCCAGCATGGGAGAAAGATGTAGGCTGGGAGGCTAGGCCAGTCTAGTCTATTCATGTTTTTCTGCCTGCTTTATATTCTAGCCACTCTGGCAGCTGATTAGATGGTGCATACTCAGATTGAGGGTGGCTCTGCCTTTCCCAGCCCACTAACTCAAATGTTAATCTCCCTTGACAACACCCTCACAGACACACCTAGGATCAATACTTTGTATCCTTCAATCCCGTCAAGTTGACACTTAGTGTTAACCGTCATAGAATATTATTCTATTGTCTCCTCTGTTCAGATCAAGTGATACCTCCCCAAATGGGGAACAACAGCCTAGTCTTGGTAGAGACTTATTCATTTATTTTTTCATGCCCCAGAATTCTCTTTAGGTACAGATTTATTTGTAATTTTGCAAGAGAATTGCAAATCTCACCTTTTTGTCCCACTCTTACAAATATGGTGAATGTCATTCCATGGACCAAAGCATAAGTTAGGCTGCAGCATACTACCTGTTCATCTTTCCCTTTCAGTCAGGAAAACATATTGGAATTTCAAGGAGACAGTGTAAAATTCTTGTAAAAACCAAAATCTATTTTTTTTTTTTTTGAGATGGGAGTTTCGCTCTTATTGCCCAGCCTGGAGTGCAATGGTTCAATCTTGACTAGCCACAACCTCCGCCTCCCAGGTTCAAGCAATTCTCCTGCCTCAGCCTCCCGAGTAGCTGGGATTGCAGGCATGCACCACCATGCCCAGCTAATTTTGTAGTTTAGTAGAGATGGGGTTTCTCCATGTTGGTCAGGCTGGTCTCGAACTCCTGACCTCAGGTGATCCGCCTGCCTCGGCCTCCCAAAGTGCTGGGATTATAGGTATGAGCCACTGTGTCCAGCCTTAGAATCTATTTTTTAAAATAAATCATGCATAAATATTACACTTTTTAGGCAAAGAAGACTCCATTGTCTAATCTATAATTTTTATAATTGGTGTCTGCAGTGATCTCATTCTGTTTATTTTATTATTTATGAATTTACTTATTTTACCAAGACACATACATAGTGAAAATCAAATAGTCTGAAAAGACTTACAGTGAGAAAAAGTAAACCTTGACCACTTCTCAATTTTCAATTCTGCTTCCAAGAAGTAACCATTTTTCAATTCTCTGCAATTTTTATCAGGTAAACTTCTTTCTTCATGCACCCTGCCACCCTACATCAGATCCAACACAGTAGCCAGAGTGATTTTTAAAATGTAAGTCAGACCTGGCATTACTCTGCTCAAAATCAGTCATTGTTTTACGGTGGCCTTCAAGGGTATGGCCTTCCTCTAGCTTTCTGACCTCCTCTCCCACTGTCTCTCGCCTCACATCAGCCTTCCTGCAATTCCTTTGGACATGCTTCTGTCTCAGGGCCCTTACACTTGCTGTTCTCTCTCTCTGCTATATAGGATTGTTGTGCACGTTAAAGAAGTTACCACATGTCCTTGGGAAAACACCAGGCACATAGGATTTAAGAAGTGGCTTTTAAAATTTGGTGATTGACATTTGAAGTGTTAACATATGCTCTGATTTCTATACTTAAAATATGCATAACACTTTTTTAAATATATATTTTTAAAAATAGGAATTTGATGAATCTTCACCCAAACAACCTACAAATCCTTATGCATCATCTAAAGCAGCTGCTGAATGTTTTGTACAGTCTTACTGGGAACAATATAAGGTAAGAACTGATTGCAGAAACTCTTGAAACATTTTCCTTTGGACTTAAGTGTTAAAACTCCAAGTCAGCTTTTTTTTTTCTTTTTTTCAAAATATTTTTAAGTTTTCTATTTATTGTTCGGAGACAGTCGCAATCTGACACTCAGGCTGGTCTCGAACTCCTGACCTCAAGTGATCTGCCCACCTCGGCCTCCCAGAGTGCTAGGATTACAGGCGTGAGCCACGCCCAGCCCAAGTCAGCTTTTAGCAGCATGCTTAGAGTAGAAGGCATAGATTGAGAAAATTTACATATTATGGAATTTTAAAAACTAATTTCCTCTATTGTGTGGACAAATTAGGGCCGACCTCTTCGTATTCAGTTCATCATTAAAGGAATAACTTGAATCTTGAATATACATTTTTTTTTCTATTTCAGTAGTAGGTAGAGTGTTACAGCTATAGTCAGAGTGAGGTTGGAGTCCTATGAGTGGAGGAAGACAGAGGGAAGACAGATCCCCTTTCTGCCATGTGCTTCTGTCTGCATGATTTGGCTTTTGTGGCTCCTCATGAGTGGGAAGTAGACTTGCCCCTGGTGGCTCTGACAGTGTCAGTATGGGAGCCTTACCCCATATGAATCCTCACCTTGAATCTCCTACATTTGGCTTCCCACTGCTCTTTGTGAGTTTTTAGGGACTGGGTCAGAGAGGCAAGCCTTGGAATTCCTAAAGATTCCCTCACCATTTGAGTTCTGGTGGCATCAGTCCTTTTCACTTTCATAGTAGCTCTTTTTATTTGTAGGGATTGGTACAATGAAGAGAGCCAACTTAAGAGTCCTTGAGGTGGTCTTTAAAATAATCCGCTGGAAAGTTCTTCCGTGTTTTGCTATCAGTCAGACTTATAAACCTGTGCCATCTGTGTTTATCTTCTTGTACTAATAAAAGAATATTCCTCTTCTTTCTTTTGGAACCTCTGCCTTTATCTGAATCCTATTCTCTCCTTTTTAGAAACCTTACGTTAGAAAAAAATCTCTTCCCTTTGACCTTAAGGTGTGTGGAATTATTTAGGCAAAGGTGCCCATATTTTGAAATTCTGCTTATCTTTAAAATAATCATTATTATTAGACCTTTTTAAAAGCCTTAATGTTGGATATTCTTTTAAGTTTCCAGTTGTCATCACAAGAAGCAGTAATGTTTATGGACCACATCAATATCCAGAAAAGGTAAATTTTACTTCTTAATTCATGGTGTTTTTCAGTGATTGTAACTTCTCATTGTTTGAAATAACCTCTTTTCAGTTATTTGTCTAAAATAATATGTTGTAAATTATACATAATTTTATATGCTGTATAACACCACTTGCAGATTCCTTCAGACTTAGAGTTTGAAAACTTGAGTTTTAAGTCTCAAGCTGGCTGACACTCACCAGCTGGCTTCACCACTTAGCAGGGATTTTGAAAGATCCAATGAGAATGATATATGTGAAAATACCTTGTACTTCTAAAGACTCTAAAGCACTATAGAATACTTCTACCTCTACTGTCACGCTGCAGTTGACTCCCTGTTTGCAGTCAGACCAGTATGTCAGCGTATACAGAAAGTCAAAAGCTAGCTAGATAGTGATGCAAGAAGCTTGTATACATTAACTGTCTTAGTGTCAGCTGGCTAACTGTGCCTCAACTCATCTTTATTGTGTAGGCACGAATATCTTCCAGAAAGTACTACAAGTAATGAATAAAAAATGTAGTTTAGAGGCTGAAAATGCCTGTGCAATTGGCTCTATATCATCAAGCCTGATTTTATATAACTTTGGCTACTCTGCCTAAATTTGGAGACTGGGTTTTCTTGCTTCCCAGCTGGTTGCATTGATCTGTTTGCCCAAAGGAAAGGGCCATGTCATGACCTGCAGGTATTAATATTTACTTTGCTTAATTTAAGTTTTCTTTGAATCCAAGAGCACTGGAATTTACTTTCTATAAATTCCTGAAGCACTTAATGCATAGGTGCTATATGTAAAGCAATAAGTAAGATACAAATATCTGCCCTTATGAAGTCAGCACACAGGTGAGCTTTATGATGAGACCAACTGTCTGATGAAGACTTTTTCTGCATTTTTCCCCTATTTAGATCATTTTATCTTCAAGTAACCTGTCTTTATGAAATAGCAAACTAGGAGTTCTTTTACATATCAAATACTATAGTAGGTTTTTTAATAAACTGATAAAAATAATTAGAAGCAATCCATATGCATATTTCTTAATAATCTTTTAATTTTGGTATGAGTTCAGATTCATACTAATGAGTAAATATCCAGTCTGAAATGATATTTAAATATTCTTTTAGGTTATTCCAAAATTTATATCTTTGCTACAGCACAACAGGAAATGGTATGTTATTATTACCTTTTTACCCATATGCTTTTCTGGTATGTTAGAGTATTTGGTGACACTTTCTTAAATATCATAAAGTCTTAAAGGCCATAGAATTGAATGCCCCACTAAATTTAAGAATCATTTCTCCAGTGTAATAGTTTTTAAAATAATCTGTATCTTATTTTTATAATTGTTGAGATAATTTCAGATCTTAATGACCTATCATAGAACTTTGAATTATAGCATTAAAATTTGAAATCTATTTTTATATAATTTTACTTTCTCAAAGGACTTATTTAATTCATAGAACTGTAGATATTTCTTTAAAATGAACTTATGACATAAAATTGAATACACATTTCACAGGGGTCACTTTCCTACTGAGTCCCCTCAGAAGGTTTGGAGATTAAGAAATATGAACAAAATTTAGAAAAGCTACGAGAATTTGTATTTTCAGTAAAGATTCTGGGATCCCCATGGGAATTAGCTTCTCTGGAGTTGTAGTACCCAGTCAATGCTTTAGGAGAGTTTACCTTTTTACACTTTATGATTTCACTTCGTTTAATCTCTTTAGTTGCATTCATGGGTCAGGGCTTCAAACAAGAAACTTCCTTTATGCTACTGATGTTGTAGAAGCATTTCTCACTGTCCTCAAAAAAGGGAAACCAGGTGAAATTTATAACATCGGAACCAATTTTGAAATGTCAGTTGTCCAGCTTGCCAAAGAACTAATACAACTGGTATGTATCTGTTTTAAAAGGTTGGTATTTTCAAAATTGTTAGTGGCAGTGACCATTAGTCAAAATCAGAAGCATACAGCTTACTTAATTTAAAAGTAAGCAAGTAGAAAATGAAATTAATGATTTTGTGTACCATATGTGTCTTAAATTAAGTTGGATCACCTATTTAGTAACAGCTTTTCAGGAAAAAATAATTCACTAAATGTGCATTCCCTAATTATATTTCTGCATAAGTCATTTGCAGAAATATAAAATTGTCTTAAAACAAGTAACAGTGATATATAAAATAATTACATTAGTAGTTATGAATGTCCATGTATATTAGGGGACATCAATTTTAAATCTTAGTTTAATAGAAAGAGGAACTGAATAATAACCAAAATCCAATGTGTATATCTGAGCTTCAGATGGAATTTAGGTTATAAAGTATAGAAAGTGTTACTAAAATGATGTTCATTTTAGCTGTCTTCCCTGCTATGAGGCAGTTGTTTTCTTTTTAATCAGCCATTAAATACTATTGTTATTCTCTGATCTCATTTTATAATTTGACTCAAAAGCTTTTTCCATTTTGACAGATCAAAGAGACCAATTCAGAGTCTGAAATGGAAAATTGGGTTGATTATGTTAATGATAGGTGAGTAACAAGTTAAAACCTTGGGGAAAGGTTGTGAAATCTTAGGTACTTATAAAATTATAAAATATGTGGACTTGACCAATAACTAGTTTATCTGTTTTGAATTTTCTGGTAAAACATTTTTTTCATAATCGTAAGTACCATACAAATTAAGTATAGCATTATTACTTACTAGCTATGTGACTTAAAAAACTATTGACCCTTTCTAAGTCTGAAGTTTCAAACCTCCAGTGTGAAATAGGGATAATAACATCTTTTTTTTTTTTTTTGGAGACAGAATCTCGCTCTGTTGCCAGGCTGGAGTGCAGTGGCGCAATCTCGGCTCACTGCAATCTCTGCCTTCCCAGGTTCAAGCAGTTCTCCTGCCTCAGCCTCCCGAGTAGCTGGGACTACAGGCACACGCCACTACACCCAGCTAATTTTCGTATTTTTAGTAGAGACGGGTTTGCACCATGTTGGCCAGGATTGTCTCGATCTCTTAACCTCGTGATCCGCCCTCCTTGGCCTCTGAAAGTGCTGGGATTACAGGCATGAGCCACCTTGCCTGGCCAATAATAACATCTTTCTTATAAAAGTATTCTAACACTTATTTATAATGTGTATGAAATACCTGACCCACAGCCTGGCATATGAGTTCTAATAAGTTTTTGTGTATTTGTTTATTTAGTCATTGAACATTTGTTGAGTTTTTTGGATGTGTCAGGTACTTCACTTATATCTAGATCGTGGCTGAAACAAGAAGACAAGACACAGAGAGGGTTAGGCACCTGGCATTATGGGTGACTTTTTTTTTTTAAATATATACTTGATTTTACAGACTTTCTGCAGAAAACCTATTGGGAATTTTTGTAAAGAGAAAAGTTGGGTTGTGGTAAAAATGCATAAACACATATCTCCTAATATCTAAATTTGTAAATATATATCTACAATATTATTTTAAATCTGTTTTGTTTTCCAAGACCCACCAATGACATGAGATACCCAATGAAGTCAGAAAAAATACATGGCTTAGGATGGAGACCTAAAGTGCCTTGGAAAGAAGGAATAAAGAAAACAAGTATGTTTTGAATTAATCATTTTGGGGGCAAGTCAGAAAAATTTAAAGGAAAAATAACTTATTTCCAGAACATTATACAAACCAGTGGAATATTGTGTTGAATCATTCGTACTTTTCAAATTGCCACATTTCATATATTTCTAGTAGCAGTCCTGTGTTTCCTAAGCATCTTGAATTTTATAAACCAACCTCTGATCAATCTTCCCATATCTTGTTAGCATTAATCAAATACCTGTATTATTTATTCTGAGGTACATATTTTTTCACTTTCTTCACACTCCTAAAAGGTATGTATTTTTATAATCACTGGTGTCTTATAATTATTATTGTAGCTTTTTTCTTTTTTACATGTATGTAAAATAATGATCCATCAGTGGCATCTTAGAGTTGGTGAAATATAGATGCAGTCTTTTTTGTGTCTTGAGGCTTTTTATATTGAAACCAACAGAGGAAATAAATTTAGTATGTGCAGAAAAATCTATTAAAATAAGTGCATATAAAGTCTGTGTATACATGTTAAAGCTGTATTTAGAAATGTATTCATGAGAAAAGCTCTACCCAGATGTAGAAAAAAAAGTTTTGATTCAGAGCTTGAAATACAAATACTTAAGTCAAATATTAAGAAACAAAAAATAATTTAAAACTATCAGATTTCTTTAAACTAAAAAAGCTTTTACTGATAGTATAGCAATATAAAATAATTTCACATATTAATAGAAGGAAGGTGCTGGGCATAGTGGCTCACATCTGTAATCCCAGCACTTTGGAGACCAAAGTGGGAGGATCACTTGAGGTCAGGAGTTCAGGACCAGCCTGGGAAATATAGCGAGACCCTGTCTCTACAAAAAGTAAAAAAATCAGCGGGGCATGGTGGCACATGCCTGTAGTCCTAGCTATTTAGGAGGGTGAGGTAGGAGGATCTCTTGAGCCCAGGAGTTTGGGCCTATAGTGAACTACGATTGCACCACTACACTCTAGTCTGGGTGACAGCGAGACCCCATCTCTTTAAAAAAAAAAAAAAAAAAAAAGCAAGGAAGTTCACATCAACTCATTGTGCCTCTCATGCAGTGTTACCATATTTATACGACTAAACACTGTATTATACTTTTTTATATAAAATAACCTTAAAACCAGGGCAGATGACTTATTTCCCACACCCCAAATTCCTTAAAATCAGAATCTTAAATATTTATACCAAGTTCAGTATTGAATGACTTTAGAAGTTAAGAAGAAAAAAATAGTTGATTTTTAATCATAAATTTTTTAGGTGATTTAAATGTCTTCTGATTGACTTCATTGTTAAGTTCAAAATCAAATTGTTTACATCATTAGTCAGCCCTTGTCTGCTGCTTAGCTGATGGGCAAGACTTAGCTAGCAGGAACTCAGTAAAGGTTGGTTAACTGATGTTTAGTTTTTCTTTCTTTTCTTTTTTTTTTTTGTCTTTTGTTTTTTCCTATTAGTTGAATGGTACAGAGAGAATTTTCACAACTGGAAGAATGTGGAAAAGGCATTAGAACCCTTTCCGGTATAATCACCATTTATATAGTCGAGACAGTTGTCAAAGAAGAAAGTTATCCTACCTCGCCAAGTGGTATGAAATTAAGTGACCAAATGAAGTGCACTCTTTTCTTTTGGAATTAGATTCATGACTTTCTGTATAAAATTCAAATGCAGAATGCCTCAATCTTTGGGAGAGTTTCAGTACTGGCATAGAATTTAAATGTCAAAATTCTTTCTGAAACCCTTTCTCCTAGAAACTAGGAAATAATAGGTGTAGAAGACTCTCCCTAAGGGTAGCCAGGAAGAAGTCTCCTGATTCGGACAACCATGAGGGGTAGTGGTGCTAGGGAGAAGGCAACCTTCACTGGTTTTGAACTCAGTGCCTAAGAAAGTCTCTGAAATGTTCGTTTTTAGGCAATATAGGATGTCTTAGGCCCTAATTCACCATTTCTTTTTTAAGATCTGATATGCTATCATTGCCTTAATAATGGAACAAAATAGAAGCATATCTAACACTTTTTAAATTGATAATTTTGTAAAATTGATTACGTTGAATGCTTTTTAAGAGAAGTGTGTAAAGTTTTTATATTTTCACAATTAACGTATGTAAAACCTTGTATCAGAAATTTATCATGTTTACTGTTTAAAATGATTGTATTTATAAAATTGTCAATATCTTAATGTATTTAATGTAGAATATTGCTTTTTAAAATAATGTTTTTATTTTGCTGTAGAAAAATAAAAAAAAATTTGATTATATATTTTTAATCCTTCTTTGCCCTAAAGACTTTAAGAAGACTTGAAAAAGTAACTGATTGGCTATTGGGTTGAGAAAGGGAAAAGAAACTGGGTGGCCCTCTATTAAGAATGCAGATTTTGGTATGGAGGCATCATAATTCCTCATTAGAAAGTCTTATACTTTAAAAATACCCTTAAATACCAGCCTCCCACTGTGCTTAGGGATCCCTGAGTCCATACCTCTTCTATTCAATTTCTCCAATTTCCCCTTTCTGGAGAGAAAGAGAGGGAAGACAGGTGTGTCAGTTGAGTCTTACAGGAAGCAGATGCAGAGAGAAAGTAATGACTATAACGATAAAAGAAGGAGGAAGCAAAATTGGGCAGGCTGTGCGGGCAGAAAGGCAAACCCAACCCATGTGGAGAAAATGTCTATTGTGAGAATCAGCTACTAGCCCTTTCACAGTGGAAAGGGCCCAATGGAGTTCATGTCCCACCAGGTAGCTGGTGGGTTTCCTTGAAGAATAGTGCCATATTGGGGGCTCAGTATTTGTCTCTATTGCCAGCAGGTTGGATATTCACAGGTGACAATAGCTACATTGGCTGTGGTAAGTGAGAATTCATGCTGTGGGTCCCAAGAGTAGGGACCATCTGTACAGTGAGGCCTATTCCATTCAGGTGCCCATCATGGTAGTTCTGGGGTGGCTGATGATGAAAGCTGGCTAAAGTTAACTGACCAAGTCATTTTATCTACTGGGTGGTTCAGTGCCTCTTGCTATGGTGGTTGCTTTCTAGTGAGTGTTAACATGGAATACACAGATCTTCACACTCCCCACCCTCTCCCATAGATAGGCCTATCCACGCTTCTCCAACCTTTACTTCCTTGTTTCCTGCTCCTCTAGACTTTTTCCTTCTAAGCCCCAAAGTAGCTAGCCAGGCTACTGGTCATGACTAAATGTATATTCTCACCACAGGTCACTACTATACATAGTGCATGAGCAGGGATACTACTCGAAGCTTTTTTCTTGGAAAGGTTTTCTCTTTCCACATTCTTTTTAAGGCCACCCCTGCATGGTTTTCAGGCAACCACCCTCCATTTTTGGCTTGCACCCACAGAACAGGCCAATCCATCTATAAACTAAGATCAACTTTTTTTCTCCTTTCAGTTGGTTGTATGGGACCCTCTATATGGCCACAGGTATAAAGAACTAAGGTGGTGACATGGGAGTCTGGCCTACCTGCTCTTACAACTTACCTGTGCTCTCCCATTCTGCTCATGCTCGATCCCAGATGTGCCATTTCCATCTTCCAGTGGACTGCTGCTGGCTCCACCTGACTCTGAGTGGGTGGGCACATTACTCTGCTAGAACTGCCATAACAGAATATCAGAGACTGGGTAGCTTCTACAACATAAATTAATTTTCTCACAGATCTGGAAGCTAGAAGTCCAAGGTCAGGATCAAGGTGTTGGCAGGGATGGTTTCTTCCGAGGCCTCTCTTGGCTTGCAGGTGGCCATCATCTGTCCTTATGTGATCTTTACTCTGTGTCTAAATTTTCTCTTCTTATAAAGACACCAGTCATACTGGATTAGAGTGTATTTTAAAGATCTCATTTTAATATACCTCTTTAAAAACTTTGTTTCTAAGTATAGTCACTTTCTGAGGTACCAGGGGTTAGTACTTCAACATAAGAATTTGGGGGAGACACATTTCAGCCCTTAACAGTGGGTCCAAGTGAACTTAGTACATATGGGCAGTTCTAGATGCATGGTCATTTGGTGTCTTGTCGTCAAGTATTCTGGGTCTACCATGGCACAGTAATTTATTTTCCAAAGGCATGATTCTCCACTGAGCCTGAAATGGTCTTTCCCAGGTGTAACCATGGGACCTGCATAGTTATTCTCCACTGGGGCTCACCATAAAACCCACACTACATCTGTCTCTACCACTGACACCACCAACACCATAGGGTTTACCACATCATATAGCCCAAGTGGCAGGAATGCTTACACCCCAGCTTGGACCTGCTGCAGACCTCTTTCCCGCCCCAGACCCCTCAAAGCTGGCAGCCTTTTCTGTCGCTCAGTATATAAGCTGGAGCAGTATCCCTAAGTGTGGAATGTGTTCCCTCCAGAACCCAAAGCCACACTCTGTGTTTCCTTCTCTGAGGAAGGGGATATAAGATAAAGCAGTTTGACTTTTACTTGGAGGGCATGTCCTGGCACACCTTGATTGTTTGACTCCTAAAAACTTTACTGAAATCACAAGTCCTTGAATCTTCATCAGATTTTATCTCCCACCTTCTGGGGTGAATGTGAATTACCAAAGCCATCAGGGTGCTAGCCACCTTTGCTAATTCTGCCTGATCAGCATGACACCATCAATGTGATAGATCACTGTGACATTCTACAGGATGTTCAGGACACCCAAGTCTCTTAGGAGAGCAGAACTTACATAGCCCTAAGGTGAAACTGCAAATGCTCCTGGTTTCTGATCATCATGGTTGAGATGGAAAAGAACACATACAGCAAATCAGTGGCTGGATACTATGTTCCAGGGTCCTTCTAATCCACTTCAGCAAAGAAGATGCCACATAAGCACAGCAGCTGCCATCAGAACCTGGTATATAAGTTTGGATATTTGTCCCCGTGCAAATCTCATGTTGCATTGTAATCCCTAGTGCTGCAGGTAGGGCCTGGTGGGGGGTGTTTGGGTCATGGAGGAGAATCCCTCATGCTTGACATTGTCTTCAAGATAGTAAGTCCTTGTGAGATCTGGTTGTTTAAAAGTGTGAGACACCTACCCTCCATCCCCGCTACTGCCTCTCTCTCTTGCTCCTGCTTTCACTGTGTAATGTGCCTGCTCCCAATTTGCCTTCCGGCATGGGTAAAAGCTCCCTGAGGCCTCCCCAGAAGCCAAGGGATGTCAGCGCCATGATTGTACAGCCTGCAGAACCGTGAGCCAATTAAACCTCTTTTCTTATAAATTACCCAGTCGCAGGTATTTCTTTACAGCAGAGCTGCTCCTTAATTGAGCTGGCCTTGACTGCAGTCATTTCACCAGGATCTACCCAGTTCTAGCAGTGGCCAGACTGGTGAATTAAACGGAGCTTTGGTGGGGGCCTCTCTGTAACCTTGAGATCCTCAAGGGTGGCATCATCTTCACCTCCTCCAAGGTGTGATTTTGTGTTTTAAATTGAGACGAGGGTCTCACTATGTTGCCCAGGCTGGTCTCGAACTCCTGCACCCAAGTGATCCTCCTGCCTTGGTTCTAAAGTATTGGGTCATGGCGGCGAATCCCTCTTGGCTTCTTGACACTGTCTTCGCGATAGTAAGTTCTCATGCGATCACTGCTCCCAGCTGTGATTTTGTTTTTGATTTACTATCTCAGCCAGGCCAGAGGCCCAGCTGAGGTAGGTTTGTTAAGTTTGCTTCAGCCAAGGTTAGGGTGCTGGTTGGGAAAATCTAGGACCCTGACACAAAGATGAGACTGTCTGAGTGGATTCCTTTAAAGATGTCTGCAGCTTTTAAACTATTAAATACTGAGTTTGGTCTTGGGCTTCTTCTATTCTCCTACCTCATGATAAGGCCCTCACACTTAGTTGTCACTTATTTCTTGTTCTTAGCTTTTCATTACCCTTCTGGAGGACATCAGTACAACTTATTAAAGACCAACAATTCCACTGCCCTTGTAAGACGTGTTCTCCTGAGCTTTTCAAGTGCCTGAATTATTGCAGTAAGCAGGGCAGGGTGGTCCCCTTCCAAAGAACATTCCCCCCAAGTCACCAACATGAAAGTTTTAGCAACTGCATCACTACCTTATGCTAGGGACTGTGTATGCCCCCTGCCTCACCCAGGATGGTATTCTTATGACCAGACAGGCAGAAAGTGATCCAGTCTAAACCCATCTTATCAACTGTTTTGTTAGACCACTCTTAGAAGTGACTGTGTCATTTGGGTCCTCTGGGAAGTAGTGGCTGAGGCCAAATTAGAGGTGCTAGCAGTTTATTAATAGGATAGGGAGTTAATGCTTGTGAAAGATACAAAAGGGAGGATGCATAATTGGGCAGAAGAAATCTTCAGGCTGCAGCGTAGATCAGACATCTGTGAAAAGGAAGGGGTGAGGAAGAGGGTTGGCAGAGTGGGCTTCAGAATCTCATCCAGCTCAACAGGGATCTGCAGAGCAAAATCTCCTGAAAAAAAAGCCCCACCTGGGCAGAAATGGCTGGGTTCCCTATTGTGCTCAGCCATTGGCCAGGGGCTACTTAGAAACGACCAGGTGGATCCCGAAGGCATTGCAAGTGGAAGCTGCTGGCTAACTGCACTCTTGCCAGCTGAATGGCAAGCTTTTTCTTAAAGGGAAATCCAAATGGTAGACCTTGATAATTGCCATTTGTAGGGGAGGAGGGGGTCTTGGAGTTTAATTGCTCTCTATACAGACTTTCAACCAAACCACTTGGTTTTGTTTGTTTGTTAGATAGAGTCTCACTCCATCACCCAGGCTGGAGTGCCGTGGTGCAATCTTGGCTCACTGCAACCTCAGCCTCCCAAGTAGCTGGGACTACAGGCACGTACCACCACGCCCAGCTAATGTTTTGTATTTTTAGTAGAGATGGGGGTTTCGCTGTGTTAGCCAGGATGCTCGCGATCTCTTGACCTCGTGATCCGCCCACCTCCCAAAGTGCTGGGATTACAGGCGTGAGCCATCGCGCCCAGCTGCGCCACTTGCTTTTTATCCAATGCCTTACCCTCGCCTACCTCCCTTACCTCCGCCTTCCACTGCCCCAGTTGCTTCCAGGTTCTGTGAGGTCAGCTTACCCAATCTGGAGGTTCCTAGAAGGCTCATTGGAGATGACATTTGAGCTGTGACTTAATGAATGGGAGTTAGTGAGGAAACAGGATGATTCCAGGCAGAGGGATCATCAGAGTGAAAGCACCAAGTTTTAAATAGTGCTGTGTGTTCAGGAAACAATACGCCATCAGTTTTACTCTAGCATAGTCATTCTCAAAACGTGTCTCCATTTCATTAAGGAAATCAAAACTATAATGAGATATCACCTGACACTCATCAGGATGGCTATTATTTTTTAAAACAACACCCTGTCAATGAGGATGTAGAGAAATTGGGACCGTGGTGCATTGCTGCCGGGAATGTGAAATGACGCAGCCTCTGGAAAACAATATGGTGGTTCCTCAGAAAGTTAAACATAGAGTTATAATATGATCCAGCAATTCCACTTCTAGGGGTATATCCAAAAGAATTGAAGGCAGAGGCTAATATACCTGCACACCAATGCTCATGGCAGTAGTATTCGCAATAGCCAGAAGGTGGAAACAACACAAATGTCCATCAACAGATAAATGGATAAAACAAAATGGCTTATGCAGTGGAATATTATTCAGCCTGAAAAAGGAGTGGAATTCTGACACATGCTGCAACATGGATAACCCTTGAAGACACAAAAGGACAAAAGTGGTATGGTTCCACTCAAATGAGGTTCCTGGAGTAGGCAAATTGACACAGTATCAGAGGTTTACCAGTGGCTTGAGGGAGGAGGGAGGGAGGAGGTATTGTTTAATGTGTACAGAGTTTCTGTTTAGATGATGAAAAAAGTCCTGAAACCAGATAATGGTGATGGCTGTACAACATTGAGTCTACCTAATGCCCCTGAATTGTACGCTTAAAAATGGTTGAACATGGCTTTTACATTATGTATATTTTGCCATAATAATGATTTTTTTAAATGTGGCCCTGGACAGACAGCATTCACATCACCTGGGACCTTGTTAGAAATACAAATTCCCAGACTTACAGAATCAGAAGCCCTGAGAGTGGGGCCCAGTAATTCAGAAGCCCCCTAATGTTTGAAAGCCACTGTTCCATAATGTGAGATGGGGAGGTGAGGCTGGAGAGGAATGTGGTAGCCAGGTCATGGAGGGCCTTGTCTGCCATGGTAAGATGCTTGGACTTTATCCTACCAGCCAAGAGCTAATTCTGGATTTTAAGGAAGAAATTGACATGGTTAGATTTACAGGATTTATCTTTTTCCTAGTTTCAAAAATAATATGCTTATTATAGAAAACTTGGAAAACTAATCAATAAAAGAAAATCACCCATAATCTAACACTGGAAGATAATTCCTGTTAATATTTTGATGTATGTAATTTAATTTTTTGTGCATATATACATACATTTTAAAAACCAAGTAGAGGATCATAATGGACATACTGTTGTGGAGCCTGGTTTTTTTCATGCAGCAGTATATCATGAATGTTTTTGCATATTATGAGATCTTTTGCCATTTTTATTGACTGCAGAATTATGTTTTTGATAGCTTTTTCTGGCAATAGCATGGAAGACGAATTTAAGGAAGACAAGAATGAGTTCCTGCAGGGATTGAAGTTATGAAGCTGTTGCAGTAAATCAGGCTGGCGATGATAAGGCCTAAAGCACAGCACCGCAAACAGGGAAGGGAAAGTCTGGGACAGACATGAGAACGTTTTAGATTTAAAAACTTACTGATTGATGATACATTGGAGGAGCTGTTTTTTGACATGAGTGGTATTTTAAGGTTTTCAGTGTTGAATTGGAAAGAGTGGAGAATGGTGGATTACAATTAGGAGATGTTGAGCTTGGAGAGATGTTGAGCTTTAAGGGTCTGTGGAACATGTTAAGTGGAGATACCTGGTGAACAGGCAAGTATGTGAATCTGAAGCTCAGATTGGTGGTCAGGGCTCAAGATCTAGACATACATATTTGGGAGTTAAATGACTGTTAACATCTGAAAGTAGATTAAATCCCCCCCCCCCCAAGGAAAGTATACAAAATGACAGTGTTGATGGTGGGTGGAATGATTTACAGACAAGCCATGAGAAACACTAATATGTAAGTTGCAGGCAAGCAGCCCAAGGAAATTAGGAAGGAATGGTTAAAAAACAAAATTATGGGCCAGGTGCGGTGGCTCATGCCTGTAATCCCAGCACTTTGGAAGGCTGAGGTGGGCAGATCACCTGAGGTCAGGGGTTTGAGACCGGCCTGACCAACATAGAGAGACCCTGTCTCTACTAAAAAAAATACAAAAATTAGCTGGGCGTGGTGGCACATGCCTGTAATCCCAGCTACTTGGGAGGCTGAGGCAGGAGAATTGCTTGAACCCAGGAGCGGGAGGTTGCAGTGAGCCGAGATCGTGCCATTGGACTCCAGCCTGAGCAACAAGAGCGAAACTCTGACTCAAAAAAAAAAAAAAATTACTCCCACTGCTTCACTTGACTAGCCTTAAAAATCAATCCATCAATCAATCAATTTTGAAATAAAAAAGAAGGAATGGGCGGGGAGCGATGGCTCACGCCTGTAATCCCAGCACTTTGGGAGGCCAAGGCGGGTGGATCATGAGGTCAGCAGTTTGAGACCAGCCTGGCCAACATGGTGAAACCCTGTCTCTGCTAAAAATACAAAAAAAATAGCTGGGTGTAGTGTTGGGCACCTGTAATCCCAGCTACTCAGGAGGCTGAGGCAGGAGAATTGTGTGAACCCGGGAGGCAGAGGTTGCAGTGAGCCAAGATTGCGCCATTGCACTCCAGCCTGGGCAACAAGGTGAGACTCTGCCTCAAAAAAAAAAAAAAAAAAAGGAATAGTCAGAGGAGTGGAAGAAAGGAAGAAATAACGCCACCAAAGCAAAAGGGAGAGACATTCAATAACCAGCAGATGGCCAGCTGAAGTTCAGTAAGGCAAAGACTAAGAAGTGTCCACTGGTTTTTGGCAATGTGCAGGCAAATTTTCTAGTGTGGGGAGAGGGAGAGAACCTCTGGATTATGAAGATTGAGTAGTAATTAGGAATCAAGGGATGGAAAAATGGAATTTAGCCTTTCAATGAGCTGAGAAGAGTCAAGATAGGGCCAGCCCTAAGGAAGGCACAGGCTTAAGGAAAGGTCTTCAGAAGCTGCTTTGTTTTGTTTTTAGCACAGAAAGGACTTCTGTATAATTATAAGCTGAAGAGATGAGCAATAAATGAAGAAAGATAAATGATATTCAGGAGTGCATAATGAATGGAGTACAGTGTCCATGGAGATGGGCTCCCTAGGGAAAGACTCACTTTGGGATAGGGTTGATCTCATCTTTCTGGATTAGTAATGACAGGAGCTGAGATGAGATTGGATACAGTGACTTTTGGGGAGGGACGAGAGGGAATTCACTGTGGCCTCAATTTTCTTCCTGAAAGTCGGGAAGGCAACAGGAGAGAAGTGAGTTTTGTAGTGTCTCAGAGGAAAATGAGAGCAGCAGCTCTACCACCGCCCAGTGAAGGTGCAGCCATGTTTGAAGGCCATGAATTTATACTGTTACAACTATTGAAAAAATGCTGCATTGACCATCTCAATATACACCTGCGTGTACACAGGAGCGTGTATTTCTGAAGGATTAATGCCTAGATTTGGTATATCTGGGTCCAAAAGCACATGCACTTAAAATTTGAAAGATAGAGATGAAATTCCTGCACTCTAGCAAGCCATGGGTATTAATAGACCTTTAATTTTTGCCAGTACGAAAGATGCAAAAATTGTTTTATTGCACTTCTAGAATCTTTAGCTAGCTTGAGCCTCTCTTTGACCTCACCTGCAGATGTTGAAGTTCTGCCATCTATATTACCATCACACTGTACTCATACAATTTGTTTATAGGTGTGTGTGTTCCACTAAACACGGAGCTCCTGGGGGTGTAATCACCTCCCTGGACACTCAGCATCTCTATTCATTTGCAGGTTTTTTAAAGAGCAGAGTCTTTGCCACTGTCTGTCTGTCTCTCAATTTCTCTCTCCCTCTCTCTCCCCCTTCCTCCTCACACACACATTTCCCCCTCCCTCCTCACCCCAGGCAGAATCTCTTGCATTTTTACGATTTGTAGTCAAACACCATTTGACTACATAAAGCTCACTTTCTTGCTCAAATCTCACACTTTAAGAAAGAGGTGAACCAGTTTTGCAAGTCTTATATCTGATTTCACTTATATTTTGTTGTTGTTTAGAAAGACTGATCTTTAATTCTCACTTTGGTGCTTCTTTATAGAAACTTCTAACCTTGAATGATTTTTCTAGGATCCGTCCTTAGCTTTAATAGTATTTTTAATACTGTTGTGTTTTATAGCTAAACCCACTATGTTTTAATTGGCATACTCTTAAAAATAGTGTTACCGGGTGATGGAAAATGTTATATTTTACCAATGTAACCATTCTATCCCAAATTTAGGAAGTCGAAGCCCCCTTGTGTTTTCTCTACTTAAGTCGATTTTGAAGAGCAAAAGAAGCAATTCTAGGTCTTCATCTTTTTCTCTTGGCTCCAAACGACAGGCATATCTCATTTTATTGTGCTTCACGTTATTGTGCTTCGCAGATAATTATATTTTGTATAAATTCAAGATTTGTGGCAACTCTGAGTCGAGCAAGTCTATCGGTGGCATTTTTCCAACTGCATGTGCTTACTTCTTATCTCTGTTACATTTTGGCAATTCTTATAACATTTCAAACTTTTTCATTATTATATCTGTTATGGTGGTCTGTGATCAGTGACCTTTGATGTTACTAGTATAATTGTTTGGGGGCACCGCATATCATGCCCATGTAAGATGGCCAACTTAATTGATAAATGTTGTATGTTATGTCTGCTCCACTGCTAGGCCTTTCTCCCATCTCTCTCCCTCTTTCGGGGCCTTTGTATCCCCTGAGACAATATTGAAATTAGTCCAGTTAATAACCGTACAATGAGCTGGGCACGGTGGCTCACACCTGTAATCCCAGCACTTTGGGAGGCCAAGGCAGATGGATCACCTGAGGTCAGGAGTTCGAGACCAGCCTGGCCAACATGGTGAAACCCCATCTCTACTCAAAATACAAAAATTAGCTGGGCATGGTGGCAGGTGCCTGTAATCCTAGCTACTTGGGAGGCTGAGGCAGGAGAATCGCTTGTACCCGGGAGACGGAGGTTGCAGTGAGCCGAGATCATGTCACTGCCCTCCAGCCTGGGTGACAAGAGCAAAAACTCCATCTCAAGAAAAAAAAAAAATTAGCCAGGAGTGATGGCGCGCCTGTAATTCCAGCTACTTGGGAGGCTGAGGCACAAGAGTTGCTTGAACCCAAGAGGCAGAGGTTGCAATGAGCCGAGATGGCGCCACTACACTTCAGCCTGGGCGACAGAGCAAGACTCTTTCTCTGAAAAACAAACAAACAAAAACTCTACAATGGCCTCTAAGTGTTCAAATAAAGAGTTACACATCTCTCACTTTAAATCAAAAGCTAGAAATGATTGAGCTTAGTGTGGAAGTCATTTTAAAAGTTGAGAAAGACCAAAAGCTAAGCCTCTTGTACCTGTTAGCCAAGTTGTAAATGCAAAGGAAAAGTTCTTGAAGGAAATTAACAGAGATGCTCTAGTGAATACATGAATGATAGGAAAGTGAAACAGCCCTATTGCTAATGTGAAGAAAATTTGAATTTTCTGGATAGAAGATCAAACCATCCATATTTCTTTTTTTTTCTTTTGTAGATGGAGTTTCGTTCTGTCACCCAGGCTGGAGTGCAGTGGCATGATCGCCTCCCAGATTCAAGCAATTCTCCTGCCTCAGCCTCCCCAGTAGCTGGGATTACAGGCATCTGCCACCACGCCCAGCTAATTTTTGTATTTTTGGTAAAGATGGGGTTTCACCAGGAGAGACCAGGAGTTAGGCTGGTCTCTAACCACTGACCTCAAGTGATCCATCTGCCTCAGCCTCCCAAAGTGCTGGAATTACAGGCGTGAGCCACCGCGCCTGCCCCACAACATTTCTTTAAGTCAAAGCCTGATCCAGAGCCAGGTCCAACTCTTCAATCCTGTGAAAGCTGAGAGAGGTGAGGAAGCTGCAGAAGAAAAGTTGGAAGCTAGCAGAGATTGGTTCATGAGACTCAAGGAAAGAAACTGTTTCTATAACGTAAGTGCATGGTGAGCAGCAAGGGCTGGTGGAGAAGTTGTGGCACATTATCCAGAAGATCTAGCTAAGGTCACTGATGAGAGTAGCTACACTAAACAAAAGATTTTCAATGTAGACCATACAGCCTTCTGTTAGAAGATGCCATCTAGGTTGGGTGCAGTGGCTCGCGCCTGTAATACCAGCACTTTGGGAGGCTAAGGTGGGTGGTTCAGCTGTCAGGAGTTTGAGACCAGCCTGGCCATCATAGTGAAACCCTGCCTCTACTAAAAATACAAAAAATTAGCTGGGCGTGGTGGCGGGCACCTGTAATCCCAGCTACTCGGGAGGCTGAGGCAGGAGAATCGCCTAAACCCAAGAGGCAGAGGTTGCAGTGAGCCGAGATCACGCCATTGCACTCCAGCCTCGGCAATAAGAGCGAAACTCCATCTCAAAGAAAAAAAAAAAAAAAAAAGAGGAAGATGTCATCTAGGACTTTCATAGTTAAGAGAAGAGAAGTCAATGTCTGACTTCAGAGTTTCAGAGGACTCTCTTAATGGGGTCTAATGCAGCTGGTGACTGTAAGTTGAAGCCAACACTCATTGACCATTCTGAAAATCCTAAGGCCCTTAAGAATTATGCTAAATCTACTCGGCCTGTGCTCTAGAAATTATACAACAAAGCCTAGATGACTGAAAGATTTCTTTCAAAATATTGTTGCTCATTGACAAGGCACCTAGTTACCCAAGAAGTCTGATATAGATGTACAAGGATATTAATGTTTTCATGCCTGGCAACACAACTTCCATTCTGTACCTCGTGGGTCAAGGAGTAATTTTGACATTCAAGCCTTATTATTTAAGAAGTAAATTTCGTAAGGAATAGCTGCCATAGATAGCGATTCCTCTGAAGGATCTGGGCAAAGTGAGTTGAAAACCTTCTGAAAAGAGTTCACCATTCTAAATGTCATTAAGAACATTCATGATTCGTGGGAGAAGGTCAAAATATATTAACAGGAGTTTGAAAGAAGTGGATTCCAACCCTCATGGATGACTTTGAGGGGTTCAGGACTTCAGTGGAGGAAGTAAGTAACTGCAGATGTGGTGGAAATAGCAAGAGAACTAGATTTAGAAGTGGAGCCTGAGGATGTGACTGAATTGCTGCAATCTCATGATCAAACTTCAATGGATGAGTAGTTGCTTTTTATGGATGAGCAAAAAAAAAAAAAAAAAAAGTAGTTTCTTGAGATGGAACCTACTCCTGGTGAAAATGCTGTGAGCGTTGCTGAAATGACAAAGGATTTAGAATATTACATGAACTTACTTGATAAAATAGCAGCAGGGTTTGAGAGTATTGACTCTAATTTTGAAAGAAGTTCTACTGTGGGTAAATGCAATCAAACAGCACGGCCTGCCATGGAGAAATTTTTCACAAAAGAGAGTCAATGCAGCAAACTTCATTGTTGTCTTATTTTAAGACATTACCACAGCCACCTCAGTCTTCAGCAACCACTGATAAATCAGCAGCCATCAGCATCAAGGCCAGACCTTCCACTATGACTTACTAAAGGCTCAGATGATTGCTAGCATTTTTTAGCAATAAAATATTTTAATTAAGATATGTACATTGAGTTTTTAGACATAATGCTATTGCACACTTAATAGACTACAGTATCATGTAAACATAACTTAAATGTACTGGGAAACTAAAATATTTCTGTGACTCCCTTTATTGCAATATTCACCTTATTGCAGTGGTCTGGAACTGAACCCACAATATCTCCAAGGTACGCCTGTTCTGGAAAGCTCTCCAGTTGCATGTCTAGTAACAGCTCTATACTTTGCCTAGTACCTCATCTATTGACTTGGAATGAAAACATTGCTCTCTTAATGAAGATTGTTGTGAGAATTAACTGTAGGCGTAGGAGAGGAGGGAAAGCATGTTTTTAGGTTATAAGGCTGAATGGAAATTACAGAGATGAGAAATCGTACCTAAACTAAGCCAAATAAGCTCTTGAAAAAAAAATTTATATTTCCAGAAAATTTTAAAAATGTAATGGCTCTGGAGCTCTGCCCTTCACATTTTTTAATTGAATAAACTTAAGGGAAAATATAAAGCAATATTTCTCTGCCCAGAAGAAAAATTTCTAAAGGAAAGTGGTCATTTTAGCTATTTGGATAGTAGATGTCAAATGAAAGCTCCATGTGTTAACATTTAGAAAATGCACATTTCTCTTAAATTGATTTGCTGCTCTGCGGGATTTTCTTTCGCTCTTGTAATATTCTAAATAAGTATGCTACCTCTGACTTATTCTGCAGATATTTCAGCAATCATAAAAAGGGAATAGTGTACCACATAGCTCAAATTAAATCGGCTTAAATTTCTCAGGAGTTGAAATTGTGGTTGCTTAAGTTAATGGACTAATCAAACCATAGTTTTAGATGATGTTACTATAGTATTCTAATTACTGCAATCTGACTTTCCTTAGTAATTGTGAAGGTCAAAACTCAAAGCCTGATTCAAAAAGGAAATTAAAAGTTAAAAATAAAAGACAAGGAAGACATTTTTATCCTCACATACATTATGGTAGATTATTAAGCTGACCTTGTAAAGTTAAAGATTTTGCTGTAAATCACATCGGAGTTGACTACAAGACATGGAAACTGTATATTTGAAATCCTTGAAACAGTGTAATTTCATTTATGTGATTTTTAAATAAAGATGATTCATTGTTAAACAAATAAAAATTATATCTACAAATGTTTTGATTTGTATGCTTTTGTAAGGCTTTCATATGAGTAAAAGCAGAAGCAAGAAAAAAAATCTTTTGCCAGACCACATATCCTGACTTGAGAATTAAAAGTATGATCTTGGTATGTACAAGACAAGCCTTAGCAATAAAGAGATAAAGAGGCTACTTAGGCCGTTTGTGGTCTTGGGGAAGGGTCTGTTCATTTTCACAAAATGTATCTTTAATCACCTTTCCATGCCTAAAATCCTATTGATAAGAAGGAAAGTTGTTCAGTCTTTAATGGAAAATAGGATTGAAATCCAAAAATTTCTAGGATGTGTAAGACAAGACTAATTTTTTAAAATTTTTATGAAAAATTTAAAACATACAGAAAAATTGAAAGATGTATTTCTCTACCTGAATTTAACAATTGTTAACATTTGCCATATTGATTTTTGTGTGTGTATGTATGTGGAAATTTGTGTGTTTGAAAATAAGTTGATGTCATGACACTTCACTTCTAAATACTTTAGCACAAATATTCTGAAACCAATAGTATACTCCTACCTAATGACCATATTATTTTTATACTTAAGAGAATGGAGTCATATATTTTATTCCCTAATATCTAATATACGTATTCTAATTTCTCCATGTCCCCCCAAAATTATCTTATTTACAGCTTTTTTTTTTCCATAGCAGGATTCAGTAAAGGTTCACATATTACTTTTGGTAATGTATTTTCAGTCTGTTAAACATGCAGCTGTCTCTCTTTTTGATGTGGGTTTTTTTTGTCTTCATGGCACTGACATTTTTGAAAACAGCCGCAGGCTAGATGTCTTAGAGAATGCCTCATATTCTAGATGTACCTGGTTATTTCTTCATGGTGTCATCTAACTCGTTTCTCCATTTTCTCAGTTTCGTATAAACTGGAAGTTAGGTCTACCTGGAGGCTTAAGTAGTTTCAGATCAAACATTTTTAGCAAGAAACCTTCATAGGTAATGCTATGCGTATTACTGTATAGTGTATCAAAAGACCCACCCAAAGATGGGTGGGAAGACCTCTGTTTACACTGAAGTATAAATGATTCCTAGCATGTCCTTTTCTGGGCCCCAGATTTTTAATTGAAAGTAATCAGGCCTCAAGATTCTCAAAACAAGTGTTAACAGTGGAGGGTGTCCAGGTTCTTGACGTCTTGAACAAAGAATTGGACAAAACGCACAAAGTAAGAAAGGAAGAAACAAATGTAGAGATTTATTGAAAACAAAAGTTCACTCCACAGGGTGGGAGCCCGCGATGACAGAATTTTTTGGGATTTAAATACCCTCTAGAGGTTTCCCATTGGTTACTTTGTGTACGCCCTATGTAAATAAAGTAGTGGTCTGTGATCAGTCTGATTGGTTGCAAGAAGGGACCAATCAGAGGATGAGGCAAAGTTACAAAGTTACACCCTATGCAAACTTCTGACTGGTTGTGGAAAGTGACCTATCAGAGGCTAAAGTGAAGTTACAACGTTATATTCCTATGCAAATGAAGACTTGGCCTGCGACCAGCCTGATTGGTTGCGGGAGAGGACGAATCAAAAGTACTTTCAGTTTTTCATCTGCCACGCAGAAAAGTGGGGGTTGCAAAGGAAGTAGCCTCTGTTCCTTTTGTTACTTGGAAGTGGAAGATTGGGGTTTTCCTTTTGATTTATTTCTAAGAAGTCAGTGTGAATGGCCTATGTTCCCTGCCTTCAGAGCCTATTCTCCTACCTCACAAGGTTGGCATAGAAATTCTTCATGGGCTCAGGGAATGCGCCAGTTTAGTGTAAGCAGCAAGATTCAACACTGAGTAAAGCCAGGAAGATCATTTGCCACGAAACTTAATATCCGCAAAGTGTATGTTATCATAAATTTAAGCAAACTTCTATTCTGATAAGGTTGGTCTTATACAGGGACAAACAAACATAAACAAGTATAACAACTCTGACCTGGGATCTGAGACCTAAGTTCTAGTCCTACCTCTGTCACCAGATAACTGGGTCACGCTAGCAGTCATTAACCTCTCTGGTCTTTCATTGATTCATACATGGGGTAGAGGCATTGTCCCTTACATTTTGTAAATATTACACAAGCACCAATATGATTGAATATCCTTGTATATTTCTTATTAGGACAAAGAACAGCACTTGGATTTTATTTCTTGCATTTTTTGTGGGGGAAGCATCAGTCATTGCCAAATTGAAGCATTTCTCCTTATCCAACTATTTAGGTAATTATTGTCATGAGGGTAAAATGTGCTGTCTGAATAGGGATCTTTGGCCTGTGGTTTGATAGATTCCTTCCTGCCTGTCGGGAAAGAATCAGGCATCAATGGGAAAGACATGTCGAATGAGAGGGTTGGGTTGCAGTTTTATTCCCTTCTGAATTGTATGTAAACTTTTGTGGTTGGGAAAATCGGAGTCAACTTTTCCAATTGCAAATGAGGAGAATAGGCTAGGGAGCTGAGTGGTAGAATCTGGGGCTAGGGCCCTGCTTTCTATCCCACTAATTGGAAGAGTCGTGGACATGTGCCCTGACCATTCCAACCACAGAAGGACTGAGGACAGTGGGTTCAGTGAGGCTTCCCTTAGAGTCCTGCCTGAGCCCTGACCACAGAGAGCAGCAAAACTCCACTATCCCCTCCTGTCACCCTCTCCTGCCCATACGCTAAAGTCCTCTAGAAAAACCCTGGCCTGTGTGTGCAATGAAGATAGGCAGAAAGGGTGGAGAAGAGCTGCCTTGTCTCCAAGACTTTTATACTAAACACACTACATTTCTGAGTAAAAGTGAGGGGTGTGGGTCGGGCACAGTGGCTCACGCCTGTAATCTGAGCACTTTGGGAAGCCGAGGCGAGTGGATCACCTGAGGTCAGGAGTTCGAGACCAGCCTGGCCAACATGGTGAAACCCCATCTCTACTCAAAATACAAAAATTAGCTGGGCGTGGTGGTGGCTTTCTATAATCCCAGCTATTCGGGAGGCTGAGGCAGGAGAATCGCTTGAACCCAGGAGGTGGAGGTTGCAGTGAGCTGAAATCGCGCCATTGCACTCCAGCCTGGACCACAAGAGAGAAACTCCATCTCAAAAAAAAAAAAAAAAAAAGTGAGGGGTGTGAGGAGTAGGCCAGTGGGAGGAGATGGAGTTAAGGGATACAAATAAATAAATAAACAGGACTAGAGAAATGGATGAAAGCAATGGAAAGTGTTGGAAAGATTTCCCCTTTGCCTTTAGGGTTCAGTGGGTGGCGGGAGGGGCTGTGAATTAACTAAAAACAGACAGATTAATGGGAGAAAAATTTTAACTCACACGCATGTGGGAACATTCAAATGAAGAGGCTGGCTGAACAGCTAGGGATAAGGGTTTATATACCTGCTTAAGAGGGGGAAAGAGGGAGAGAGAGGACTTCTGTGGGAAATAAATGAGCTTTTAGGAGAGACAGATGGCTTTAGGGAAACAAACGGAAGGTAGGACAGTTTGTCATAATGTTTGTTTATGCAGTTTCATATCCCAGTGCTAATAGTCTCCTTCCTTGCTGGAAATTCCCCCAGAGACAGAGAGGACCTATGGCAGCTTCCTTCTTGGAAGGCTGTGCCTTTCCTCAGATAAGAGAAGCTCAGAAAAGGCTTCTTGCTTCATCTGTTGTATCTCAAATGTCTTCAGTTTAATCTTTATACCATTTTGGCGAGTTGCAAGTCCCTACAAAAGTCAAGAATGTGAAGCCCCTGGGAGGCTGAAAGGAAAACAGGACCAAAGTGCACAGGCATCTCTGAGTCGTGGCCTCCTTTTCTGAGCCCCCGGTCATTGGACATCAGCTGTGTACCTCACTGGGTTAACAGAAGAGACTGGTTGATTTATGCTTTCTGACATTTCTTTTTTGAATTATTAAGGGATTTAGGAAACTGTTGTGTTAAATTTATTTCATTTGATTTCTCTAGGTGAATAATCAGGCCTTATCCTTCATGGTTGAATAAGGGTAGGGTGGGAAGATGAGGAGATGGGGACAGAAATGCAGTTGGGAGTCTGGCCCACTTCATCAAAAGGCAGAGACAAGCAATTAAGCTAAGAAGTATTTAAAAAGCATCCAAGCCTCTGAAACTCAGGTTCTAGAATCCAAGTTTTCTGGCCTGTAGGGTATTGTGCAAAGTCCACATGATTAGCTAGGCGTTTGCTTGATGGATGTGGGAGGATTGGATTAGAACATATGAAAAGCTTGGTAGGTTGTTTCTGAGTATAATTTACTTAATTGTTTCTGGCCTGGTAAGTATACCCAGAGGCTTGATATTGATGTCTGTGATTCAACAAAAACAAAAAACAATAAGGTCTTTATGGACTTGTGGTTTAATGGCTTTAAATAAATTAACTTCTTTTGGATCAATTCAGCACACTGATGATCTTTGCAAGCTATTAATTTTTTTAAATACTTCTCCCCTAAGTTACAACTTTAATATATAACTTTGGAGGAATCGCTTTGTATCCATCAAGCAACTTCGTTCAAAAAGCATATACATGCCCATAAAAAAGCATCTGCAGGAGAAAACTGGGCCCTAGCCCTAGATTCAAGTTTGGGTTTTTTATTCTCATGCCAATTTTTCATTGAAACAGTCTTTATGAAAAATATTAAGAGTATTTGGTGCAAGGTAAGGAATATGCTCTATGGGTCAGCAGTCAGCGCTGTATCAGTTTGTGTAATTGCTGTGGACTAAAAAATATGTCCCCCCAAAATTAATATGTTGACACCCTAACCCCGATGTGACTGTATTTGGATGTAGCGTTTTTGGGAGGTAATGAAGGCTAAAGAGGTTGTAAGCGTGGGTTTCTAATCTGATAGGACTGATGGCCTTGTGAGATGTGGAAGCCTTCTCTCTCCACACGCATACACACACGGAGGAAAGGTCATGTGGGCACACAGAGAGGGTGGCCTCGGCAAGCCAGGAAGAGAGCCCTCACCAGGAACCCAATCCTCCAAAGCCTTGATCTTGGACTTCCCAGCTTCCAAAATGTGAAAAAATAAATTTCTGTTGTTTAAGTCACCCAGTCTACGGTATTTTGTTATGGCAGCCCGAGAAGACTGATACGGTAATCTCAAGCAAGTTACTTATTAGTGTCTCCGGAGCATTAGCGTAAAATTTGTGGTCAGGCGAAATAAATGCTAAATTCTCTTCCAGCTCTTAGCTATAGTATGATTCTAACTGAAATTGTCTTGGCTCAAGAAGACCGCCAAACATTATTTATTTATTTTTTTTATTTT
Organism: Homo sapiens; assembly: GCF_000001405.40. NCBI lineage: Eukaryota > Metazoa > Chordata > Mammalia > Primates > Hominidae > Homo > Homo sapiens. The sequence goes on along the minus strand of NC_000013.11, from coordinate 94,555,150 downwards.
AAAAACAAATCTGAGGGTATTTTTTTTTTTTTTTGACAGGGTCTCACTGTGTTACACAGGCTGGAGTGCATGGCATGATCACAGCTCACTGTAGCTTCTCCCTCCCAGGCTCAAGCGATTCTCCTGCCTTAGCCATTCAAGTCAAGTAGCTAGGACCACAAGTGTGTACCACCACACCTGTCTAATTTTTTAATTTTTTTTTTTAAGACAGAGTCTCTGTTCCCCAGGCTGGAATGCAGTGGCGTGATCTCAGCTCACTGCAACCTCTGCCTCCTGGGTTCAAGCGATTCTTTTGCCTCAGCCTCATGAGTAGCTGAGATTACAGGTGCCACGCCACCATACCTGCCTAATTTTTGTATTTTTAGTAGAGATGGGGTTTCACCATGTTGGCCAGGTTGGTCTTGAACTCCTGACCTCATGTGACCCACCTGCCTTGGTCTCCCAAAGTTCTGGGATTACAGGCCTGAGCCACCTCCCCCGGCCTAATTTGTTTTTTTTTTTTTTTGTAGAGACAGAGTTTCCCTATTGTTGCCCAGTCTGGCCTCAAACTCCTTGGCTCAAACGATCCTCTGGTCTCGGCCTCCCAAAATGTTAGGATTATAGGTGTGAGTCACCATGCTTGGTCTGAGTTTCAAATTTTTAGAAAAGTTATAAAATGATACAGAAGAATTCCATATACCTTTTACTCAGATACGCCAAATTTTAATATTTGTTTCTATTTTTTAATATTATCTTCATATATACACATGCATGTGTGTATATGTTTACATATATAATAATATGTATGCATACTATTATTTATTTTCAGAATCTATTTGAGAGTGGATTGTCTCTCATCCCTTAATAGTTCAGTATGTACTTCCTGAAACAAGGATATTTCTTACCTAACTATGGTTGCCAACTTCAGGAAATTTAGCACTGATAAAACACACTCATCTAATCTGCAGCTCATGTTCCAATTTCATTAGTTGTCCCAATAGCACCCTTTAAAGCATTTTCTCCTCCAGAATAGGAACCAGTCTGGGATTACACATTGCACTGAGTTGTGTTTCTTTCACCTCCTTGCATATGGAACAGTTCCTCAGCTTTTCTTTGCTTTCGTGACCTTAACAGTTTTGAATAATACAGGCCATTTATTTACTAGGATGACCTTTACTTGGGGTTTGTATAATGCTGCTCCATGATTAAAGTTAGGTTCTGCTTCCCTGCCTGGAGCACTGTGTGTGTTGTGTCTTTTACAGGGCATCACAATAGAAGGCATGTGATGACCGAATGTCCTACATTGGTGATGCTAATTTTGATGACCGGATCATGGCATTGTCCGTTTTCTCCACTGTGCAGTTTAAGCAATCTGTGGAGAAATACTTTGAGGCCATGCAATGATCCTGCTCCTCGTTTAACTGTCCCCCCTTAGACTTAACATCCATTGATGATTCTTGACTGAATCAATCTTTACTATGATGTTTGGAAAATGGTGATATCCCGTGCTACCACTACCTCCAAATTTGTCAGTCTGCACACTTCATTCAGCTATAAGAATCCTCAATTCCTCCCCTGCATCCACCACACAATTATTGTACTAAAGGACTTTTATTTTATTCAAAGGGTAAATAATCCATTAATATTCTTATTTATTTTGATGCTCAGATTGTCCCAGTTTTGGCCAGTAGGAGCCCCTTCAAACTGGTTCCTAGGTCCTTTTGACATACCCCCATCATTTTTAAAATACTTTAAAGAAATATTGATTAAAATCAGAGGCCCCCAAAAATGTGTGTGTGTGTGTGCATGTGTGTGTGTGTGTATGCATGTGCACTGCAGAATCCCAAGGAGCAAACTGAAGGAGAGATTAATTAACAGCCATTTAAATTTTTATCAGAAGTGGGGCACAGTTGTGTGTGTCTGTAATCCCAGCTACCTGGGAAGATCCCTTGAGCCCAGGAGTTCGAGACCAGCCTGGGCAATAAATGGAGCAAGACTCCCATCTCAAAACAAACAAAAAAACCCACAAAAATTTATTAGCTGTTATAACTATATGCAACATACTCTCTTCAGTTTTATTATTCTCAGATCTGCTAGTTAGTTCTCGTAATTAGCTGGTTTTTTTAATCATAGGTAATTAGACTGGAGTTGGCCAAAATCCGCGAGCTCATTTGGAAAACAGGACTGCAGCTTACACAGTTTCTTTCCAACACAGAGTCTTCTTCAACATCTTTATCCTCATTTTGAATGCCAACTTCTTTATCACCTGTCTCTTCTTACTATGATGTGTGTGCACAGATTTTCACTTCACTTTATTTAGCCTGTGGCGCTTGGTCTCCTTGGATGTTCTGACAGTTCTTCTTTGCGCTGCAATCTTGCTGAGTAAAGCAAGGTTTTTCCCAAACTCATAATAATTGTTTTTCGCTTTCTCTGTTCACAGGCAGCTCTTACTGTCTCAGTAATTTTTTCCAATGCCCCCAGGCCAAAAGAAATGCCGAACAATTCCTTTTATTAAGTACTCAGGTCCAAATAACTTAATAAGGATTTATGTCCAACAACTTCGTAGCCACTTGAAAAAAATTATACATATAAATTGAAAGAAAAGTTACACTTTTATTTCATTCTTTTTTTTTTTTTCAAGGGCAGCCTCCCAAGCCAGAGTAGGCTCAGAGACTCCCTAATTTCATTCTCACCACAGTTAACTTACTGGTGGGATGTGTGTATCCTGGACAGTGTACAATTTCTCAAGCTTGGAAACAGATTGGACATCTCAACCCTAATTTCATATTCCCCATTGATTCATGGGTACTTTTTATCATGCTGAAAGAGATGACATCACTGATAGAAATGTAATCTCTTGCCAAAACAATGAACTACTGGGTAGTTTGCATAGCGTCCCACAGATGCCAAGCATCGCTGTGTTTCTCTCAAAAATGTGAAATATTCTTCAGTGCCCCAGGTGGCTGCAGTTTCGGGACCGTGGCACTAAGTCCCAGAAACTTTCGGTCTCCTTTGTAAAACAGCAACAATAAATATTGGGTTGATGTTGAAGATCTTTTCACTAACAGGAAAACCTAGGGAGAAACCCGGAGAGCATCAAGCTGAGGCTTTCACAAAGTTAATAAAGTAGGTGATCACATTGTTTATTTATCTTCCAGTCATTCCAAAACACTTCTAACTGTTTTTTGTTGTTGTTGTTTTGTTTTGAGACAGAAAGTCTCGCTCGGTCACCCAGGCTGGAGTGCAGTGGCACAATCTCCGCTCACTGCAACCTCCGCCTCCCAGGTTCAATTGATTCTCCTGCCTCAGCCTCCCGAGTAGCTGGGATTACAGGTGCACGCCACCATGCCCGGCTAATTTTTGTATTTTTAGTAGAGATGGAATTTCACCATGTTAACCAGGCTGGTCTTGAACTCCTAACGTCAAGTGATCCACCTGCCTTGGCCTCCCAAAGTGCTGGGATTACAGGCATGAGCCACCGCGTCCAGCCTTACTTTTAACTGTTTAACAGTGAAGAGGCTACTACCATGGAGAGTTCCGGGACAACATATATAAACAAGGACTTTCCTGGATACCCAGCTTATCCAAGACATCTCTCACAACACTTACTTTCTAAAATCAACTTTTACTAAACAAATGATCACTATGACAATGTAGTGTCTATTATCTCACAATTTGCCAAGGGTTCTCATCGCATTAAATCACAAAGCAATGTTTCTTGGTTGCACTCTTCCTTCTCCTCTCTCTCTTATCCTGTTCCTCCATTTTCCATTAGATCCTGCTTGGACCTTTGCTACCCATCCCCACCCCCAGCCTAAATCCCATCAAAACTTACCTGCCACTTTCCTAGTTACCTAGGATTTCATTTCCCAGGTGACAATGCACGAAGCAGCTGGTTTGCAGGTGTGACTACGAGACCAAGAAAGAGAGACACTAACACCATGTCCCAGCCCGTACATGTGTTATCCCATCACTCTCTAACATATATTTTGAGACTTCCCAGATTTGATTTTTAACCTAAAGACACAACTTTTGTAAAATTTAAGAAGCTGAGCTATCTCATGATTGAATCCAGTAAGGAACAGCCGGCCAGCAGCCCAAGAGTTGTTGAAAATAATTCGTCTTGCCTGCAGTGTTTTGAGGAGAATGGGAAAGGTAGCTACATTCATAACATACATGAAAGCCTGTTAAAGGTCTCTTTCCCCATCTCTTTTTAGATGTACGATCCTCACAGGGTGGCTGCCCAAAATTTCTCCCTCTTCCACTCCAAGCTCCCCAAACCCTTCTCTGAACTCTGCCCAGCCCCAAGCTCTCTTTGGTCTCTCTCTCATCCTTAGCTGCTGACTTCTGTTAAATCTCAAGCTCTTTGGTTTCTTTGGATTTAAAAGGCAGCTATGCTAACCACTATACCATCAACGCCTCGGCTCTTTTTTGGATTTGGCACAATAAAGGAACCCAGAAAGAAACTCTCTTTCTTATAAGGGAGGAGGCTTGGCGGAGAAAATAGAGATTGCAAAAATTTCTAATTTTGTATTTTTTTCTCTTTCGCATTTGAAGTCAGCCATCCATCCATCCATCCAACCATCCATCCATCCATCCAACCATCCATCCATCCATCCTATCCATCCATCCGTCCAAATTGGCTGCGAAGTTTCCACTTAAATGCAAAGCTCTAAAGAGCCGGGTAAGATCCCTGCCTTGACAGATTACAATTTAATTGGCGACAAAAATTAAAAAATGGAAAAAGTAAGACGTTTGGGAAGTAAAGAATGAGCCTGGCACGTAGTGGGTGCTTCGGAAACATTTGTTGACTCGTGTGGGAAATAGCATTGACTGAATAATCATCGTTAGTGAGCTCACCCAGCATTTATTTGCCAGTCAGGCTCCATGCAAAGAGGTGATGATTAAGGTGGACATTTCCCGGGCCCGGAGCACGGAGAGGCTGCAAACTCCTCTCCAGAGGCCAGTCTGACGATTCCTGCCCCGTACACTCCTTCATCCAATCGTATTGGGCCTACACGGCTCCTCACCTGGGGCCTGGAACTTTTCGGGGAGCAAGGTGACGAATGTGGATAGTCACAGGCAGGGGCAGATCGAAGGGAAGGGGCTACCAGGCCTGGGCAGGAGCTCCCCGAGGCGACCCCGCTGCTTCGGATCTCGCGGGGACCGGCCCTGGGAGGACGGAACCAGCATCCCGAGGAGCCGCCATCGGGGGCCTGGACCCAGCTCCTGGACCGTGCGGGCTGCGCGCGCCGAGAGCAATCTAAGAAAGTAAGGCGCGTGTGCAGCGCCCAGTGGCAGCGTAGAAGGAGGGAGGTGGAAGAATTCCGACGACACCGTTTAACAGGACAAGGAAGAAATGCTGTACATGATCACCAGGAAAAGACAAGCAAGCCAGTTGGACGCAAAGCGCTCAGTGATAGTTTACTCAGGAGACAACCCAGAACGTGCCGAAATAGCTCAGTTGGGAGAGCGTTAGACTGAAGATCTAAAGGTCCCTGGTTCGATCCCGGGTTTCGGCAGCTACTTTTAAATTCTGACCTCAAAAACTCAAATTTTGTAAGACTCTCCGTCCACGATACCCTGGCCCATTCCTTCAAGCCCAAGCAAAAACTGAGATTTGAAGGGTGAAGGAGGAAATGAAACAGTCGTTCCTAACCACCCCCAGGAGCGAGGCCGCGCCGCATAGCCCTTCTGGGCCGTCTCCTGGCGGGGCTAGAAGAAGCTGCCGCGCGTGCGCGCCACGGAGCCTGGTGCTGGGACCCAGAGGCACCCTCGGCGCCGGAAGACGCGAACGACCCGGGCCGCGGTGGCGAGACGGGGCCGCGCGCCGCCTGGGGGGCTGGTGTGAGACCCGAGGCTCCGATGGGAGGAGGTCTGGTCTGTCCACGGGGCCAGCAAAACACCTTCATCCCAATTTCATCGCATTCCTTCTAAGTATCCGAATTTGAAGAAAAAGCAAAACTGTTGAGTGGTCAGATGGCCCCCACCTGGCGTTGCCGGTGAGCGGAACCCAGTGCTGGTTATTTCTGGCTAGAGGCGCACCGAGGCCGGCCCTGGGTCTGGCCCTGGGGTGGCGCCACCAGGTTACTTGCCCACCGGTGAAGGATGGCAGCTTTACAGCTCCCCGACGCATCAGACTAAAGAACGTTGGCCAGGGTCTGCACCGGTGGTTCTCAAAGTACAGTCCCCAGATCCGCAGCATCAGCACCGCCTGAGAACTACTTAGAAATGCACATTCTCGGCCCTGGATAGGCAGCTCTGGCAGTGGGGCCTAGCAGCGGGTGTTTAAACAAGCCACGGGTCTAGACGTTCCTTTCTGTTTCTAAAAGAGGCCTTGCTTTCCTAAGACAGTTGCTGTGAACCAGCTTTTTCCTTTTGCTGTCTTGCCCCTGCAAGTGTGAAATAGAACTTTGACCCGTGCTCGAAATTACTTTCTGAGATTTTTTTTTGTTTTCACGTGTGGGTGGACGTGGGTACTCAGGGGCATCAGCTTCCCAGCTACCTGTGGGAGCCCACCCCAAGGCCAAACTGGGTGTCCTAGAAAGAAAATGGAGGCCCAGGCACCTGATGTTATCTTGTATGGCTGGTGGGAACTGAGCCAGGACCCAAGGGGAGAAGTTGCAGGGATGTAGATCTAAATTTTAAAAATAAGAAATATCTATCTATTTGTGTCGTAGGAAAATAGAATAGTCAGTTTAGTGAGGTGGCGGGTTGCTGGACAGCAGATGAAGGACCATTGTGAGATGTATGCTTAGGTCTTGCTTGTTTTCTGGTTCTGCTGTTTTGAGGGGGAAGGGAAACTCATATTTATGAACTACTGTGTGTTCTCTCTTATTCATTCATTCTCTAATTGGACATTAATTCCTAACCTCCCACTACGAGCCAGCATTATTTGCTCTTCATAACAACCTTATGAAGTACATATTATTATCCCCATTTTATACATAACAGCCTTTCCAGGGTTGCAAGAATTAAGCATAAGCTATGTCTGTTAGACAGCTAACATTGCTACCTCCTAAATGTTACTGTAAGTGAAAAGCTGTTGAGATGTGTAGTCAAGACAGGTGTGCATAAACATACAGGTACTTGTATGAGGGAAATAAAAGTTTTTGTCTGGCTCACCAGAAAAGGCTCTATGGAGCAGTGGGTCCTCACCCAGAGAAGATATATATATATATATATATTTTTTTTTTTTTTTTTTTTTTTGAGACGGAGTTTCACTCTGACGCCCAGGCTGGAGTGCAGTGGTGTCCCAGGTTCAAGGGAGTGTCCTGCCTCAGCCTCTCGAGTTGCTGGGATTACAGGCACCCGCCACCATGCCCGGCTAATTTCTGCATTTTTTGTAGAGATGGGTTTTTGCTATGTTGGCCAGGCTGGTCTTGAACTTCTGACCTCAAGTAATCCACCCGCCTTGGCCTCCCAAAGTGCTGGGATTACAGGCATGAGCTAGTGTGCCCAGCCAAGATTTCTTAGGTATGGAAAGATTTAACAGGAGTGCCACCAGCTATCACATTTCTAAAGAGTAGGGAAAGGATGCAGGTTCTGGGGTGATAGTGACTTTCATTTCAGACAACCTGAGGTCTGAGCACTCTGCCCAAGGTAATGTTAGTGATGGTGAATCTATGCGGGTCTGCAGCAACCTCAATTCTTGCCTCCTCAGAAGAAAGAATTCGACTGAAGGGCATAAGGCAGAGTGAGAGATGAACACAAGTTTTACAGCGGGAGTGAAAGTTTTTAAAAAGTTTAGAGCAGGGTCAGGCACGGTGGCTCATGCCTGTAATCCCAGCACTTTGGCAGGCCGAGGTGGGCGGATCACTTGAGGTCAGAAGTTTGAGACCAGCCTGGCCAACATGGTGAAACCCCATCTCTACTAAAAATACAAAAATGAGCTGGGCGTGGTGGTACAAGCCTGTAATCCCAGCTACTCGGGAGGCTGAGGCAGGAGAATCCGTTGAACAGGGGAGGTGGAAGTTGCAGTGAGCTGAGATTATGCCACTGCGCTCCAGCCTGGGCAACAGAGTGAGACTGTCTCTTAAAAAAAAAAAGTTTAGAAGCAGGAATGAAAGGAAGTAAAGTACACTTGGAAGAGGGCTAAGCGGGCAAATTGAGAGATCAAGAGCCCTGTTTGACCTCTGACTTAGGGTTTTATACACTGGCATTTCTGGGGTCTTGCATCCCTTCTTCCCTAGTTCTTCCCTTGGGGTGGGCTGTCGCATGCACAGTGGCCTGCTAGTGCTTGGGAGGGAAGCATGCACAGTGTGTTTACTGGCGTTGTACCCATGCTCACTTGAGGCATTCTTCCTTTACCAGCTGAATGTTCCTAGAAGGTCATGTACCAGTTAAATGCTGCCATTTTGCCTCTTAGTGCGCATGCTTCAGCTTACTCGCCCAACTCCTAAGATCTTATCAGGAAACTGATGATGACCAGTTTCAGGTTTTTTCTGTTTGGAGCCTGCCTTTCCCTAGGGCTGGCTGCGACCAATTACCGTTTTAGGGAAACAGTGTAACAACCACTTGCCCACCACCTGTTGGTCTCCTGACATTCCTTGGTGGGGAGGGGGGCTCTCCTGCTGTGCTCATGCCTGACTAGCTCCCTACTGTAACAGGAAGACCAGCTACTGGCTATTGGTGTGGGTGGGGGAAGGATGGAGGCGCACACCTGGTTAGTACCAAAGATAAACCAGACACTAGGTAACGTGGTAAGGACAGATGGTAATCATAATGTACTATTGCAATAGGGAAGAGGGTCCAGCGTGAACTGAACTTTGATTTGTACAGAGGTGACTGGGCATTTTAAGGGACAATGAGGGATTAACGGAGAGGAACCAGTGGGGCTTCAGCAGAGTCAGGAAGGTGAAAACTGACAAAGGATTGACGCATGTAAATGCTGATTAGGCAGCTGTGTCTGCTAGCTGGCAATGATCAAAGTCTGGATTCTGTCCTTCCAGAGACTGGGAGACACTGGCCCTATCCTTCCTGATGATTACATTGTAAAGGAATGGTTTTTTACGTCCTTGATTGCCTTTGTAGGAGATACACAGCCATCTCAAAGGCACAGAGGAAGGAGTCACAATTGTAAGCCCTTTTTAGTAAGTACTCTAAGAAAGTGCCAGAAGCCTTTCATCAGATGGTGCATAGAATTCTTTTGTCAGTCTTGGGCTTTCTCAAGCAGGCACTCTGAGGGGGTTGAGGCCTGGTCTAGAAGGGGGCTCAGAGAGGCCTGGCTAGCATTTGGTCAAGGAGAAAATCTGTGTCATTAGAAGTGTGAGGAGGGGAGGGTGAAGGGGAAGAGTTAGGCCAGGCCTCCACCTGTTGGTTGAGAAGGCTTTTCAGGTCTTGTGACAGGGAGGAGTGATCGGGAAGCAGGTGGGCAGCATTAAAAAAATACACACACCGCTTATATATATGAAATGAAGGAAGACCACCATGTGAGAAAGCAAAGGCTGTTTATTCAGAGCTTGCTATAGCGAGGGAGTCAGCCACCATCACTGGCATTTGGGAGAGACTCAAAGGCAGGCAGGGGAGTGGGAGAGCTTTACAGCAGACACAAGGGACAGCTTCAGGTGTGCCCTGATTGGAGGCTGTTGGTCTGGGAAGCTGGAGTTAGCTAACTGGGAGCCGGCAGCCATGTGATTATTTAAGGCGCCTTTTGTGGTTGGCCTAAAGTTGGAAATGAGGACAAAAACTAGGAAAGCTGTCAGTTATTAATCAATTCCTGGTCATTTGGAATTAATTATTATAAAAGTTATTGTTTAGCTTCTCAGATTGTTATTTCCCAGACTTCTTGCAAGTCTGGCTTTAGCAGACGGGCTTGCTGGACTGTTTATTGTAGATAAGGGGCTGGTTTCCTGGGCAGGTTATGGTCACAGTTCTGTTTTTATATATGGTCTGACCATGGCCCATTTGGATCTTTGGTTTTATAATATATATTTTACCTGAAGAGGTAACATCTAAAAATGTAATCTGATCATTTTTATCATCATCATCTGAAGCGTGATGTGCTCTAATAGATGTCAAACACTGTCACTTCCCGGGAGTGAAGGCTGAGAAAGACTGAACACCAGGTATCTCCTGGGAACCCCACTGATGCCATGATCACACTTTATAACTTAGGAGGCTATGAAGGGTGAAGGGTGGGAGAATAGGGTCGCCACTTACTTTAGAGAAGGAATGCTTTCAGTGGGAAAGAACACCATCATCATTAAACATTTTTTTGTTGTTGTTTTTTTGAGACCGAGCTGCTATAATTGTTATACATAATAAAACCAGATGAGTATTTAGTAATTCATTAAGGCCTTTTGTGTCATCAATGTGTACATATATTAATGCTCATTTCATTAGTCTTGGATCATAATTCTCCTCTTTTAAATGGATGGTGGTTTATAGTTTACTTTTGTTATACTATTTGTCATATCTCAGATTTATTTGATGTTGAGTCCTTGGCCAGAAATAAAACTTCTGTGTGGATTTACTACAGATTCCAGGAATATACAGTTCCTGTACAATCATCCTTCATATATAGTGTCACAGTGGATTACTTTGTTTAACTTCCTTTTCTAATGGATCATCTTGGAGGATAGTCTGCAGTCCCTGCTTAGGCGAGGGCCCACAGACAGCCCTGCAAATAAAGCTGGACAGGCTGAGCAAGGGAACAGCTCTTCATCTCAGACGCCAAATGCACACTTTAGCTCTGTAAATTCCAGTGTTCCTATAATGAGTTGTCTTAAAGCAGGGAGCACAAATATTTTGCTATTCACTACCTAAATATTTCCTACAATGCATCTTGAGCAAACCCGCTTTCCCCACGTATTTCACTGACTCCCTAGTCCAAAGTATCAAAAATAATGAAAAATGATAGTCACCGTTTATGGAGTGTTCTCTATGTGCCGGGCATTCTGATAAGCACTTTTCATACAAAATCCCATTAAACTTGTCAATAATCCTTTGAGATAGGAGGCATAGTTGAATACAAATAAATAAAAAAAAATACATGCTACTAGGAATGCTGTTGTGAAAAATCAGCATAATTCTGAGATGTACTAAAATGAAACATGAGCTCTAAGTATAAAGTATTAGTTCTTCTTTCATACATTGCATTAATGAGATCCATAAAGAGCATTTTTTTTTTTTTTTTGAGACAGAGTCTTGCTCTGTCGCCCAGGCCAGAGTACAGTGGCGTGATCTCGGCTCACTGCAACCTCTGCCTCCTGGGTTCAACCAATTCTCCTGCCTCAGTCTCCTGAGTAGCCAAGATCACAGGTAACCACCACCATGCCCAGCTAATTTTTGTATTTTTAGTAGTGATGGGGTTTCACCATGTTGGTCAGGCTGGTCTCAAACTCCTGACCTCAGGCGATCCACCTGCCTTGGCCTCTCAAAGTGCTGGGATTACAGGCGTGAGCCACCGTGCCTGGCCATTTTGTTCAGTTTTGATTAACTCAACTTAAAAGGAAAGGATTAACAAAGAATAACAACATGATTAGGAAGGGGAGATTCATTTTAAAAATGGATATGAAGTAAATTTGCCAAGAGGAAAGAAGCTAAGGGTAATTTGATTACTATTTTTTCAGTAGTATATAATTTCTAGGAAGATATCACAAGAAGGAATGGGCTCAGATAAAGGCAGGAGAGATTTCTATTAGAGAAAGACAGGAACTGTTCTGTCAGGGTGATAAGATTGTTTGACCTAGTTGTGTTACAGGAAAGTATCCATCTAAGATTGGGTGAGCTAGACAACTGCTGTCCAATAGCCACGTCTGTGTTCAAATAGGACTGCTAGCCAACTTTTGGCACTTTTGAAAAATCTTCTGAGTTGTGGTTTCTTTGTGCTTGCTGCTGCTGATGGTTCAGGAAGGAATGGTGTGGATTGGCATGAGGTGTGCGCAGGGGTAGAGACAAAAAGGGTGGTGGCCTCACCGGATGAATTCTATTACCTCGTTATCTCTTAACACTAAGTGACTAGAAGCAAAACCAGCATCTGTCCCTGCGGCTGTGATGAGTTAGTGTGCACATCATAATCATGTGCCCTAGTCAGGCAAAAACAGAAAGCACTTGGCATCCTGAGATAAACCAAAAGAAACCATCCAACAGGATAACCCTGTCCGGTTAGAGGCCCCTTAATAAATGAAGCCATGAGACTTTCCTGAAAGTTACTTATTCTATGTCAAAGAATTTTTTCCATGACCAGTTCAAAGCTAATGTATGAAAACGTCCTTTGTAAATAAGCTACTGTGACAAAATTGCTGTTTTCCCACCGTGAACAGAGAAACTGTGTCCTTGGCAACATTGGTACTCTCGTGTGTGAACATGGGTGTGTTTTGGTTTTTTGGGTTTATTTCAGGGTTTCCTGTTTGTTTTTGTTTTGTGTTTAAGCTAGACTTTTGAAAGCCTGGACACCCTTGTTTAACTTTCATGCAAGTAAATTACTTTTTGTTTTCCTAAATGCTTTTCACAGAGCTGGTCCCAGAACAAAACATCTGCTTAAAGATAGACTCAGTGTTAGAAAAGTAAAAATCGGAGAACTTCGATTGAGCCCCAGGCAAATGGAAAGGTGGGGAATTGAACGCATGAAGCAGGAGGCAGTATGTGATGAGAATTAAGAGAAGAAAATTGCCATTCCATCCTCAGTGGCCTTGTGTGAAGGGAATGGGCATTTAAAGATGGAACGGGCCAGGTGCTGTGGCCCTGTAATCCCTTACACCTGTAATCCCAGCACTTTGGGAGGCCGAGGCGGGCGGATCACTTGAGGTCAGGACTTTGAGACCAGCTTGGCCAACATGGTGAAACCTTGACTCGACTAAAAAAATACAAAAATTAGCTGGTCATGGTGGTGTGCACCTGTAGTCCCAGCTACTTGGGAGGCTGAAGTGGGAGAATTGCTTGAATCCAGGAGGTGGAGGCTACAATGAGCCAATATTGCACCACTGCACTCCAGCCTGGGCAACAGAGTGAGACCCTGTCTCAAAAAAAGAGATGCAATGCCTGAGAATTCTTGGTAAGGGTTGAGACATGTTAATGTTTGAAGTGCTTGTATAGTAACACAGACTTTTAAATGATGTGCCCTGGTAAAGGGGAAGCGTATATGCTGCTAGTCTGTTTCATGTCAGTTTCATGATTACCTGGAGGGAAATTTGATAGGCAAGTAGACTCCATAAAATTACCTAGAAAATGGGTATTGAGGTACTATATAAATTTACCTGTATGAAGGCAAATGATGGTACTGATGTTTTCCTAAAATCCATGGTCCTGCCTCTGGAGTCCCTTCCAGCTGCAATGACCCGTGTGTAGCCAGCACAGAGCCCCTTCCCTCCACGTTTGTGTGGTTCTCTTTGAATTAAAAACATTTTTTATGGACACATAATAGTCATACGTATTTATGGGGTACATGTGATGTTTTGATACAAGCATACAAAGTGTAATGATCAAATTAGGGTAGTTGGGATATCCATCACCTCAAACATGTATCATTTCTTTTTGTTGGGAACATTCCAAATCCACTCCTCGAATTACTTCAAAATATATTAGGTGGGTGCAGAAGTAATTGCAGTTTTTAAAGTTGCAAAAACCACAGTTACTTTTGCACCAACCTATGCAATAAATTATTGTTAACTATAGTCACTTTATTATGCTATCAACACTAGATCTTTTTTTTTTCTTTTTTTTTTGAGACAGGGTTTCGCTCCTGTCACCCAGGCTGGAGTGCAATGGCATGATCTCAGCTCACTGCAACCTCTGCCTCTTGGGTTCAAGTGATTCTCCTGCCTCAGTCTCCCGAGTAACTGGGATTACAAGTGCCCACTACCACGTCCAGCTAATTTTTGTACTTTTAGTAGAGATGTGGTTTCAGCATGTTGGCCAGGCTGGTCTTGAACTCCTGACTTCAGGTGATCCACCTGCCGCGGCCTCCCAAAGTGCTGAAATTACAGGCGTGAGCCACTGTGTCCAGCCTGAATACTAGATCTTATTCCTACTATCTAACTGTATTTTTGTGCCCATTAGACAACACCTCTTTATCTCCACCTCCCCACTACTCTTCTGAGCCTTTGGAAACCATCAGTCTACTCTCTATCTCCATAACATCAATTTTTTAGCTCCCACATATGAGTGCAAACATGGGTTGCTTGTCTTTCTGTGCCTGTGATATTTCACTTAACATAATGTCCTGCAGTTCCACCCACATTGTTGCAAATGACAGGATCTCATCCTTTTTTATGGCTGAATAGTGTGTAAGTACCACATTTTCTTTATCCATTCATCTGTTGATGGACACTTAGATTGAGTCTGTATTTTAGCTATTGTGAATAATGCTGCAATAAGCATGGGAGTGCAGACATTTATTGGATATACTGATTTCCGTTCTTTTGGATATTTACCTAGTAGTGGGATTGCGGGATCATATGATATTCTATTTTTTTTGTTTTTTGAGGACCCTTCATAGTGTCCTCCACAATGATTGTACTAATTTATGTTCCCACCAACAGTGTACGAGGGTTCCCCTTTCTCCACATCCTCACCAGCATCTGTCTTTTCGATAAAACACATTTTAACTGGGGTGAGATAATATCTCATTGGGTTTTGATTTGCATTTCTTGGATGATTAGTGATGTTGAGCATTTTTTCATGTACCTGTTGGCCATGCGTTTGTCTTCTTTTGAGAAATGTCTATTCACATCTTTTGCCCATTTTAAAATCAGATTATGTGCTTTTTTGCTATTGAGTTCTTTGAGTTCCTTACATGTTTAGTTCTCTTTGATCTCCCACAGTCTTTCTCATCTTTACAAAGCATCTGTAATTATTGATTCTACTTTTCAGGTGGTGTCTTAAATGGCCCAAGGAATATGTTTTTCTAACACTTGGACAATGTGACCAAAGGTTTATTCTCTTTCTGCAACTCTTAGTGCCCAGAGCAGAGCATCTATTCCACGATTTGTCCTTTCTTTCTTCCTTCTCATCCTATCTTCTTTTTCTATCTCTTTCTTCCACCTCAGAGATCTATTCTCACATTTAAGAGTTGGAAATTTGAAACAATGTTTTACATTAAACACATTTTTTTTTTTAGAATTGATAATTGAGCTACATGGTGGGAAATTCAATCAGAAAAGGAAGTACACAATGAAAAAGAGTCTTTCCTGTAGCTCTAAGTTCCCCTCTGCAGAGGCGATCTTTGTTACTGGCTTTTAGTGTATTTGTTCATAAGTAATTGTTGTATGTCTATGTACACATTTCTATATATATATATCACATTTAAAACAAACAGTATCATTATTATGCACACCATTGTAAAGCTTTTATCTAAAGATGCACATTACTTCTCCTTTGAATGCTGACAACACCATACTTTTCCTTTCTCCCTTTTTTTTTCTCACCGATTCTAAACCTGAGCTGAGCTTTCAAACCATATTTTTGTATTCAGAGGCAGTCTCACCCAATAGCAATCATGTTTATGTTCCCTAATTGATTCAAATTCTAAAGATAATGTTGGAAAGGAATTTAATTTTAAATCCATAAATTATATCTCTATTTGAATAGTCTGATCTCTTATCCCAGGAACAATTATTTTACAAACAATAATTTTGTCATTTGTAAAATAAATAAAACCATAAAAATTTGGTTTTATTTCTTTTACAAAAGGAAGAGCTGATTTGTTGCGCAGGTTTAGCTTTGAGTATGCAGGAATGAAATCCAGGTGTACAGTAACACAGAAGAAACATTCCTCTTTTAAGCATTTTCTAATAATAGGTTGGTAAATTGCTCATAGAGAAATGCACTCAGATGCCTGTTTATTTCATATCTTATTCCTTTAGCGTCACCTTAATTCCTACTTACCTTTCAAGTTCTCTCAGGTTTTTCCTCTTCATGAAAAGTTTTCCATAGTTTAAGCTAATATCCAGCTCTTCCCACTCTGACCATCCTGAGAGCTTGCCGTCTGCTATGCTCTGGGCATGTGATCCTGTCCCAACTTTCATTCTCTGTGTTGAATGTGTGCTTTCTTCCTCATAGCAAAATTCTACTGCCCCTCAAAAGGTGGGTTTGATTTCAGGAAGAATTTTCATGTTCTAGTAACAAAGCAGGGGACTAAGAATTTTGTGAAAAGTCATAAAAAGTCTATTGGAGTTCTTTGGAAATGCAGGTGTTAATGTGTCGCCTGGTGGTGGTCGGGACTGAAAGATGTTGTGTGACCTGGAATAGCTGGAGGGGTGTGGGCTGATAACCCCTAGAAGCTAGAGTAGTGCTGGGCTCTTAGAACAAAAGGAAAAGGGTAAGGACAACAGGGAGAGCCAAACCGCACAGATAGAAACAGACAAATCCTAAGAGTGAGGGAGGAGAAGCAGCTGAGTAGCTTAGACAGTTTATCTAACATGTTAGGATGGGGAAGCTTCTGAAAATGATCTTCATCCCAGGTAAAGAGAGAAACTGCAACAAGAGAGACTGAATGCAACTTCATTCTTTTTCAATCTGAGGTCTCAGTTGTATTTGTGATGGGCAGTGGACAGCCCATAACCTGAACGAACCTGGCTGAAAAATCCAAGTTCAGGGCTCAACACAACGGTCTATGGTTTATACCCTTGAATTCTTACATTGTAGCAAAGACGGATAATGCACCAAGTCCATCTGCTTTTCTCACTACAATAGATGAAGAAGAGGGGGAGATGTGGTATAAAAGGAGGCAGGGGAGAAGGCTAATACCAAGGTATTGGGGCTATGTGTATACATATGGCTTGGCGGGGAGGGGTGGTGGGAAGCACAGCCTCTGGAGGCAGGCTGCCTGGGCCAGAGCTCCAGGCTCACCCCCTGCCTGTGTAATATCCAGAAGTTCCGTAACTCTTCTTTGTTTCAGTCTCCCTGTCTGTAAAATGGAGAAAAATAAAAATCCTTATTTTATAGGGCTAGTGTGAGAATTAAATAAGATAATCCATGAAGAGTGCTTGGCATGTAGTCAGGCAGGTCCTGCAGGCTCAGTAAGCACTCTCTACAAGCTCCACCCTTCTTTCAGGAGTCACTTTCCGCAACATCTCATCTTGGCTGCCCGAGAAAACTTAGCTGTTTCTTCCATCCTGTACTCCCTATACCTTATCCACACAATAACCTGGATATCATCTTCTGGTTGTGTATTTTATTGGTCTGATTTTCTGACTGGCTGCTATTATCTCCTTAAGGTCAGGATTCACATGACTAGCAGAAAACTCATAGTAGGTGCTCAATGCATTTTTGTTGAATGAGTAAGAGTACTTCTCCTCTTTTTTCATCCTGCCAATGGTGGGTCACCACTGCATCATAATCCTTGGCTGTACTTGTTTTTATTATATTTCCTAACATGAGAATCAACTCTTCTGAGAGCCTACACTGACGTTCTTATTCCTTTTCCACATCTTATGTCACCTAGCCAAGTGCCAGAAACATTTTAGGTTCTCAAGAATTGCTTGTTTACATCTATTGACTTAACAGTAAGCAACTATTTCAGGACTAAAAAGGTTGTATGGTTAATTTAAGGTTATGGATGATTTTCAGTGTTTTCGTTTTTATTTGTTTTTTTTTCTCACTTGCATAATTTGTAGAAAGCAATAAAAAAGGCTCTACATCTTCTTCAACATGGCAGCACAGGAGAGCAGGAAGCTGTAAGTCTTTGTTAGTACTTCAAAAAGATCATGGGATTGTCTTAATCTAACAGAGACAGAGACAAGTTTAGGCAGTTTAGGAACGGCCATCTGCCAGGACACTAACTTGGGTTAATTTAGGTTGTAATCCTATGAACCAGGATCATAGTCACACATTACATGGTTGACATTCAAAAAATGTCTTAGCAACAACAGCATTCTCCCCATCTTTCAAGTTACTAGATGTTCTGACTGCTATTTTTAAATGGAAGGTTTGAAGAACTTTCTAGAGAAATGAGATTTGGGAAACCTTTCAGATGTAACTGAGATTGAGAACTAAAGATTTTGTGTTCAGAGAAATTTAAAGAAACTAACAGTCTGGCACAAATAGATACATGTCCTAATAATGGAAACATTTTACTTGATCCGCCAATTACCAATTCAATTATTCTTACAGGGTTACCAGGTGTGTTAGCTTGTTTTGCATTGCTATAAAGGAACACGTGACACTGGGAAATTTATAAAGAAAATAGATTTATTTGGTTCATGGTTCTGCAGGCTGGGCAAACATGGCACCCACACCTGCTCAGCTTCTGGTGAAGTGTCAGGAAGCTTTTTTGTTTTTGCTTTTGAGGTGGAGTCTCTCTCTGTTGCCCAGGTTGGAGTGCAGTGGCGCAATCTTGGCTCACTGCAACCTCTGCCTCCTGGGTTCAAGCAATTCTCCTGCCTCAGTCTTCAGAGTAGCTGGGATTACAAGCTCCCACCACTACACCTCCGCTAATTTTTGTATTTTTAATAGAGAAGGGGTTTCACCATGTTGGCCAGGCTGGTCTCGAACTCCTGGCCTCAGGTGATCTACCCATCTCGGCCTCCCAAAGTGCTGGGATTACAAGCGTGAGCCACCGTGCCCAGCCAGGAAGCTTTTATTCATGGCAGAGGGTGACACAGAGGCAGATGTGTCACATAGCGGGAGAGGGAGCAAGAGAGAGGAGGTACCAGACCCTTTTTAACAACCAGCTCTCATGTGAAAACTCATAGACTGAATATTAAATCATGACCATGGGGAGGGCACCAACCCATTCATGAGGGATCCACCCCAAGACCCAAACACCTCCCACCAGGCCCCACCTCCAACACTGGGGATCACATTTAAACATGAGATTTGGAGGGAACAAACATCCAGACTACATCACTAGGTTACACTGGGTTGGTCTTTAGCAGGCATGTTTGGGAGGTCCCCTTTGAAGAGCAGCTTCTTGGAGGCATCACAGGCCCTGGCTGCTCCCAGAACATTACTCTGTCCAATGTCAATGTTAAATCATCAGGTCCAGGCCTTTTGGTACATGGCATCCTTGAGGGTCGGATCTATCAACCCTGGTCCTAAACTGTATCGACCATTGGCTCCTGGTTGCAGCCACATTTCTGAACACAACCTTTTGTCTCCTGGACCTTAAATAAAAGGCTAAATTTTTCTAAATCTGGAAAGATTTTGTCATTTACTGGCTTCTGAGCTAGTTCTTGAGATCATTTGGAAGCACTAGCAAACTTTTCTGTGGTATTAGGGGTTAGGCTATTTCCTGTGAACACCTCTTTAAGATGCTGATGAGGAGCTAGATTGACTTTAGTTAACCATAGAGCCTCTACGGGTGGCAGGAGACATTCTTCCTCGAAGAGGGAAACCTGGGAGGGGCTACGCCATTTACAAGCACCAATATATTAATAGTGTTTTTTTGTGATTCACTGTGCCCTACCAATCTGAGGGTATAGGCGAAATCACAGTACTGGCCATAGCTCAGAATTTTCTGTCTTTGCTCCAACTATTTATTGACGACCTCTGCAATTAGAAAGATGCCCATTTGCACCTGCCCAGGAATGTTGCATGTATTTTCACAAATAAATCTCAGACTGCTAGCATCACAATTGGACCTCTGGTCCACTAGCTTCCCTCATTTCTTGCTTGGCCTCATGGGTTCTGCTATAGTTCCAGGCACTGCCTACATTAATGCTTACAGGGGTGCTGAGTATTGTGCTCTGCATATCTGCATAGGAGAGCTGCTGGTAGCTCTTGAAGCATCCTTATCTGACAGATTTATATGAAAACTATCCTTCAGTTTCTGGCAGAGCCTCATTCCACTGGGCTGGGTGGAGTGACAGATACTATTTCCATGTCATTTCTCCATATTATTGCCCTGATACTTACAGCAATAATGCTTCCTCCTTATTTAGCCAAAGGCCAAACGTTCCTTTGCAATCAACTCATGCAGGTGACTAGTCTTGAACCTCTTCCATCATTTAGTCAAACATGCCATATACCGTGAAACTCTGTGATACATACAACTGAGGACATGTGGACATATAAAATAGTCTGCATGAAAACAGGTATATAGTATATGTTCTAAATTGTATATATTAACAAGCTAAAAACAAATTTCTCAAGTAAGGCCAGATATTTGAACATTCCAGACAGCCTAATCAAGTGGGCTGCAGTCCCTTCAAGTGATGTTTGCAGAATATTTACTCAACATTCATTTGGGCCAGGTGCAGTGGCACTTGCCTGTAATCCCAGATATTTGGGAGGCTGAAGTGGGAGGATAATTTGAACCCAGGAGTTTGAGACCAGCCTGGGCAACTTAGCAAGACCTTGTCTCTAAAACAAACAAACCACATTTATTTGGATGGCATTGGGGAAAGATGGATGTTACGGCTAATAGCAACTCTCAGCTGTGATGTTGGGGAAATTATCTTTTGCCTTCAAATTTTCCTCCTGCATTCAAACAAGAGTGTTTAAGTTAGCTAGACCCACCCTCCCTAGAAGGTACTTTAGTAACTTTCAGATATTGCTTCAGATTGCTCTTTGAAGATCTCACTCCCTGCCCAGGGCAGCCGATGGCAGTAGAGCAGAAACTTGATTTAGCCTGTGCTTTCCATTTTTTCTTTCAAACAAACTGACTTATGATCAGGGTCCACTGAAAGCCTATGGCCACTCTCTAGTATCCCAGCAGGCTTCTGCTCCCAGTAGTTGACTTGTATGCTTGGCCAAAAGCTGCTCTTGTTCCCACACCTGTTTGTGCCAGTTGTACTTATTACTATATGAATGTGAAAAGCAAAAGACAAAGAAATAATTGGTGGTCTAAGAAAATTAAGTTGAATGCCTTGGCAAAACTTAATACAATGAAGTCATCAGCTGAAACACATCATTTAGCTGTAATGAGGGCTCAGCCCCCTGACTCATTGTACATTCCATTCGACTTGACCTGAAAACTTAGCAGTTCTTCCTTTGAGGAGACATCAGGGTTTGATTTCAAGGGAAACTTACTTGATTACTTTCTCTTTGTAAAAGTAAGAGAGAGAGTTGGACACAATAGGGTAACTAACAGAGATAAATTAATAGGTTATTTAATTTATTATATACATTTTTATTTAATATATAATTATATACCTATGAATAAAATATATATGGGGAAACTTGTGAATGTGGACTGAAGCTGCAGCCAACTTATTTTGTAACAATTGTTTTGATCTTGTTCTATTGGAAATCATGGAGGATGCATCACAGGTGTAGTAAGTGTAAGAACTTTGGTCAGTCAACCTACACTCAAAGTGTACATACATAAAAAGATGTTTAAAGGAATGAACAGTTACATGTTTTAAGATAAAATACTGTAAATTATTTAAGGTGCTTGTGTAATTTGTCATGATTCCTTGCTTTGATTAACTTTTTCAATGACCTACTGGCCAATTCTAATTGAGTTGGTAAGAGACATTTGCTCGATTTCTTTCTTTCTTTCTTTTTTGGAGGCAGAGTCTTGCTCTGTTGCCCAGGGTAGAGTGCAGTGATATTGGCTCACTGCAACCTCCAACTCCTGGGTTCAAGTGATTCTCCTGCCTCAGCCTCCCAAGTAGCTGGGACTAGAGGCATGCACCACCACACCCGGCTGATTTTTTAATTTTTAGTAGAGACAGGGTTTCACTATGTTGGCCAGGCTGGTCTCGAACTCCTGACCTCAAGTGATCCTTCCATGTTGGTTTCCCAAAGTGTTGGGATTATAGGTGTGAGCCACCGTGCCTGGACTTTCTCCCATTTCTTTCAACCAGGGTGTTTTCCCTGTATGATCCAGTAATTGCCATTTTTCTCCATCTGGTTACTTTTCCTGTGGTGTTTTGGCCTGTCTTACAGGATTGTCACAATGCTGAGTGCACTTAAGTTTGTAAAACATTTTCGGTAAATATTTTAGGTAAGATGTTAATAAGCATCTTTTGGACAAAAAGAATTGCATGGTCTTACACCTTTGAGAAATGATGGGTTATGCCAAATAAATTATTTTTGTCATTTTATTTTTATTGTCTTACTTTTAGGATTCTTTCATGTTATAACTACTCCCATTTCTTTCAACCACGGTGTTCTCCCTGTATGATCCAGTAATTGCCATTTTTCTCCATCTGGTTACTTTTCCTATGGTGTTTTGGCCTGTCTTACAGGATTGTCACAATGCTGAGTGCACTTAAGTTTTTAAAACATTTCCAGTAAATATTTTAGGTAAGATGTTAATAAGCATCCTTTGGACAAAAAGAATTGCATGGTCTTACACCTTTGAGAAATGATGGGTTAAGCCAAATAAATATTTTTTGTCATTTTATTTTTATTGTCTTACTTTTAGGATTCTTTCGTGTTATAACAGAGAGAGGAAAGGGAATGGGGGAGAAAGGTCACAAAAATTAGCATTTCCCAAGCAGTTTGCTGTGGAGCCCCCTTTTCAAGGATTGCCATTTATTTATTTGTTTATTTTTTATTATACTTTAAGTTCTAGGGTACATGTGCACAGCGTGCAGGTTTGTTACATAGGTACACATGTGCCATGTTGGTTTGTTGCACCCATCAACTTGTCATTTACATTAGGTGTTTCTCCTAATGCTATCCCTCCCCTAGCCCCTGACTCCCTGACAGGCCCTGGTGTGTGATGTTCCCTGCCCTGTGTCCATGTATTCTCGTTGTTCAACTCCCACCTATGAGTGAGAACATGTGGTGTTTGGTTTTCTGTCCTCGTGATAGTTTGCTGAGAATGATGGCTTCCAGCTTCATCCATGTCCCTGCAAAGGATATGGACTCATCCTTTTTTATGGCTGCATAGTATTCCATGGTGTATACATGCCACATTTTCTTAATCCAGTCTATCATTGATGGACATGTGAGTTGGTTCCAAGTCTTTGCCATTGTGAATAGTGCCACAATAAACATATGTGTGCATGTGTCTTTATAGTAGCATGATTTATAATCCTCTGGGTATATACCCAGTAATGGGATGGCGGGGTCAAATGGTATTTCTAGTTCTAGATCCTTGAGGAATCGCCACACTGTCTTCCACAATGGTTGAACTAATTTACACTCTCACCAACAGTGTAAATGCGTTCCTATTTCTCCGCATCCTCTCCAGCATCTGTTGTTTCCTGACTTTTTAATGATTGCTATTCTAACTGGAGTGAGATGGTATCTCATTGTGGTTTTGATTTGCATTTCTCTGATGACCAGTGATGATAAGCATTTTTTCATATGTCTGTTGGCTGCATAAATGGCTTCTTTTGAGAAGCGTCTATTCGTATCCTTTGACCACTTTTTGATGGGATTTTTTTTTCTTGTAAATTTGTTTAAGTTCTTTGTAGATTCTGGATACTAGCCCTTTGTTAGATAGGTAGATTGCAAAGATTTTCTCCCATTCTGTAGGTTGCCTGTTCACTCTGATGATAGTTTTTTTGCTGTGCAGAAGCTCTTTGGTTTAATTAAATCCTGTTTGTCTATTTTGGCTTTTGTTGCCATTGCTTTCGGTGTTTTAGTCATGAAGTCTTTGCCCATGCCTATGTCCTGAATGGTATTGCCTAGGTTTTCTTCTAGGGTTTTTGTGGTGTTAGGTCTTACATTTAAATCTTTAATCCATCTTGAGTTGATTTTTGTATATGATGTAAGGAAGGGATCCAGTGTCAGCTTTCTACATATGGCGAGCCAGCTTTCCCAGCACCATTTATTAAATAGGGAATCCTTTCCCCATTGCTTGTTTTTGTCAGGTTTGTCAAAGATCAGACGGTCGTAGATGTGTGGTGTTATTTCTGAGGCCTCCGTTCTGTTCCATTGGTGTATATATCTGTTTTGGTACCAGTACCATGCTGTTTTGGTTACTGTAGCCTTGTAGTATAGTTTGAAGTCAGGTAGCCTGATGCCTCCAGCTTTGTTCTTTTGGCTTGGGATTGTCTTGGCATTGTGGGCTCTTTTTTGGTTCCATATGAACTTTAAAGTAGTTTTTTCCAATTCTATGAAGAAAGTCCGTGGTAGCTTGATGGGGATAGCATTGAATCTATAAATTACCTTGGGCAATATGGCCATTTTCATGATATTGATTCTTCCTACCCATGAGCATGGAATGTTCTTCCATTTGTTTGTGTCCTCTTTTATTTCGTTGAACAGTGGTTTGTAGTTCTCCTTGAAGAGGTCCTTCACATCCCTTGTAAGTTGGATTCCCAGGTATTTTATTCTCTTTGTAGCAATTGTGAATGGGAGTTCACTTATGATTTGACTCTCTTTTTGTCTGTTAATGGTGTATAGGAAAGCTTGTGATTTTTGCACATTGATTTTATATCCTGAGACTTTGCTGAAGTTGCTTATCAGCTTAAGGAGATTTTGGGCTGAGATGGTGGGGTTTTCTAAATATACAATAATGTCATCTGCAAACAGAGACAATTTGACTTCCTTTTTTCCTAATTGAATACCCTTTATTTCTTTCTTCTGCCTGATTGCCCTGGCCAGAACTTCCAACACTCTGTTGAATAATAGTGGTGAGAGAGGGCATCCTTGTCTTGTGCCAGTTTTCAAAGGGAATGCTTCCAGTTTTTGCCCATTCAGGATGATATTGGCTGTGGGTTTGTCATAAATAGCTCTTATTATTTTGAGATACATTCCATCAATACCTAGTTTACTGAGAGTTTTTAGCACGAATTGCTGCTGAATTTTGTCGAAGGCCTTTTCTGCATCTATTGAGATAATCATGTGGTTTTCGTCGTTGGTTCTGTTTATGTGATGGATTACGTTCGTTGATTTGCATATGTTGAACCAGACTTGCATCCCAGGAATGAAGCCGACTTGATTGTGGTGGATAAACTTTTTGATGGGCTGCTGGATTTGGTTTGCCAGTATTTTATTGAGGATTTCTGCATCGATGTTCCTCATGGATATTGGCTGAAAATTCTCTTTATTTTGTGGTGTCTCTACCAGTCTTTGGTATCAGGATGACGCTAGCCTCATAAGATGAGTTCGGGAGGATTCCCTCTTTTTCTATTGATTGAAATAGTTTCAGAAGGAATGGTCCCAGCTCCTCTTTGTACCTCTGGTAGAATTCGGCTGTGTATCCATCTGGTCCTGGACTGTTTTTGGTTGGTAAGCTATTAATTATGGCCTCAATTTCAGAACCTGTTCAGAAATTGAGGTCTATTCAGAGATTCAACTTCTTCCTGGTTTAGTCTTGGGAGGGTGTATGTGTCCAGGAATTTATCCATTTCTTCTAGATGTTCTAGTTTATTTGCATAGAGGTGTTTATAGTATTCTCTGATGGTAGTTTGTATTTCTGTGGTGATATCCCCTTTATCGTTTTTATTGCATCCATTTGATTCTTCTCTCTTTTCTTCTTTATTAGTCTTGCTAGTGGTCTATCAATTTTGTTGATCTTTTCAAAGAACCAGCTGCTGGATTCATTGATTTTTGGAAGGGTTTGTTGGGTCTCTATCTCCTTGAGGTCTGCTCTGATCTTAGTTATTTCTTGCCTTCTGCTAGCTTTTGACTTTGTTTGCTCTTGCTTCTCTAGTTCTTTTAATTGTGATGTTAGGGTGTTGATTTGAGATATTTCCTGCTTTCTCTTGTGGGCATTTAGTGCTATAAATTTACCTCTACACACTGCTTTAAATGTGTCCCAGAGATTCTGGTATGTTGTGTCTTTGTTCTCATTGGTTTCAAAGGACATCTTTATTTTTGCCTTCATTTCGTTATTTACGCAGTAGTCATGCAGGAGCAGGTTGTTCCGTTTCCATGTAGTTGTGTGGTTTTGAGTGAGTTTATTAATCCTCAGTTCTAATTTGATTGCCCTGTGGTGTGAGAGACAGTTTGTTGTGATTTCTGTTCTTTTACATTTGCTGAGGAGTGTTTTACTAACAATTATGTGGTCAATTTTAGAATAAGTGCGATGTGGTACTGAGAAGAATGTATATTCTGTTGATTTGGGGTGGAGAGTTCTGTAGATGTTTATTAGGTCCACTTGGTCCAGAGCTGAGTTCAATTCCTGGATATCCTTGTTAACCTTCTGTCTCATTGATCTGTCTAATATTGACAGTGGGGTGTTAAAGTCTCCTATTATTATTGTATGGGAGTCTAAGTCTCTTTGTAGGTATCTAAGGACTTGGTTTATGAATCTGGGTGCTCCTGTGTTGGGTGCATATATGTTTAGGATAGTTAGCTCTTCTTGGTGAATTGATCACTTTGCCATTATGTAGTGGCCTTCTTTGTCTCTTTTGATGTTTGTTGGTTTAAAGTCTGTTTTATCAGAGACTAGGATTGCAACCCCTGCTTTTTTTGCTTTCCATTTGCTTGGTAGATCTTCCTCCATCCCTTTATTTTGAGCCTATGTGCATCTTTGCACATGAGATGGGTCTCCTGAATACAGCACACCGATGGGTCTTGACTCTTTATCCAATTTGCCAGTCTGTGTCTTTTAATTGGGGCTTTAGCCCATTTACATTTAAGGTTAATATTGTTACGTTTGAATTTGATCCTGTCATTATGATGTTAACTGGTTATTTTGCCCGTTAATTGATGCAGTTTCTTCATAGTGTCGATGCTCTTTACCATTTGGCATGTTTTTCCAATGGCTGGTACCGGTTGTTCCTTTCTGTGTTTAGTGCTTCCTTCAGGAGCCTCTTGTAAGGCAGGCCTGGTGGTGACAAAATCTCTCAGCGTTTGCTTGTCTGTAAAGGATTTTATTTCTCCTTCACTTATGAAGCTTAGTTTGGCTGGATATGAGATTCTGGGTTGAAAATTCTTTTCTTTAAGAATGTTGAATATTGGCCCCCACTCTCTTCTGGCTTGCAGGGTTTCTGCCGAGAGATTCACTGTTAGTCTGATGGGCTTCCCTTTGTGGGTAACCCGACCTTTCTTGCTGGGTGCCCTTAACATTTTTTTCCTTCATTTCAACCTTAGTGAATCTGACAATTATGTGTCTTGGGGTTGCTCTTCTCAGGGAGTATCTTTGTGGTGTTCTCTTTATTTCCTGAATTTGAATGTTGGCCTGCTTTGCTAGGTTAGGGAAGTTCTCCTGGATAATATCCCAAAGAGTGTTTTCCAGCTTGGTTCCATTCTCCCCGTCACTTTTTGGTACACCAATCAAATGCAGATTTGGTCTTTTCACATATTCCCATATTTCTTGGAGGTTTTGTTCATTGCTTTTCACTCTTTTTTCTCTAATCTTGTCTTCTCACTTTATTTCACTAATTTGATATTCAATCACTGAGATCCTTTCTTCCACTTGATCAAATTGGCTACTGAAACTTGTGCATGCGTCACGAAGTTCTCGTGCCATGGTTTTCAGCTTCATCAGGTCATTTACGGTCTTCTCTACACTGTTTATTCTAGCTAGCCATTCATCTAACCTTTTTTCAAGGTTTTTAGCTTTCTTGTGATGGGTTAGAACATGCTCCTTTAGCTTGGAGAAGTTTGTTATTACCGACCTTCTGAAGCTGACTTCTGTCAACTCGTCAAACTCATTCTCTGTCTAGTTTTGTTCCCTTGCTGGCGAGGAGCTGCAATCCTTTGGAGGAGAAGAGGTGTTCTGTTTTTTGGAATTTTCAGCTTTTCTGCTCTGGTTTCTCCCCATCTTTGTGCTTTTATCTACTTTTGGTCTTTGATATTGGTAACCTACAGATGGGGTTTTGTTGTGGATGTCCTTTTCTTTGATGTTGATGCTATTCCTTTCCGTTTGTTAGTTTTCCTTCAAACAGTCAGATCCCTAAGCTGCAGGTCTGCTGGAGTTTGCTGGAAGTCCACTCCAGACCCTGTTTGCCTGGGTATCACCAGCGGAGGCTGCAGAACAGCAAATATTGCTGCCTGATCCTTCCTCTGGAAGCTTCTTCCCAGGGGGCACCTGCCTGTTTGAGGTGTCTGTCGGCCCCTACTGGGAGATGTTTCCCAGTCAGGCTACACAGGGGTCAGGGACCCACTTGAGGAGGCAGTCTGTCCATTCTTGGAGCTCGAACACCATGCTGAGAGAACCACTGCTCTCTTCAGAGCTGTCAGACAGGGACATTTAAGTCTGCAGAAACTGTTCGCTGCCTTTTGTTCTACTATGCCCTCCCCCTAGAGGTGGAATTCATAGAGGCAGTAGGCCTTGCTGAGCTGTGGTGGGCTCTGCCCAGTTTGTGCTTCCTGGCCTCTTTGTTTACACTGTGAGCTACTCAAGGCCCAGCGATGGCAGACGCCCCTCCCCAGTCAAGCTGCAGTGTTGCGGGTCAATCTCAGACTGTTGTGCTAGCAGTGAGCAAGGCTCCATGGGCGTGGCACCCACCGAGCCAGGCACAGGAGGGTATCTCCTGGTCTGCCAGTTGCTAAGACTGTGGGAAAAGTGCAGTATTTGGTCAGGAGTGTACTGTTTCTCCAGGTACAGTCTGTCACGGCTTCCCTTGGCTAGGAAAGGGAAATCCCTAGACCCCTGGTGTTTCCTGGGTGAGGCGACACCCTGCCCTGCTTCAGCTCCCCCTCCATGGGCTGCAACCACTATCCAACCGGTCCCAATGAGATGGACCAGGTACCTCAGTTGGAAATGCAGAAATCACCCATCTTTTGCGTCAATCTCGCTGGGAGCTGCAGACTGGAGCTGTTCCTATTCGGCCATCTTGGAATCACCCCTATTTATTTATTTTGAAGGCTAGGTCTTGCTCTGTTACCTGGGCCAGGGTGCAGTGGTGCAATCATAGCTCACTGCAACCTTGAACTCCTAGCCTCAAGCAATCCTCCCACCTCAGCCTCCCGAGTAGCTACAAGTGCATGCCACCATGCCCAGCTAATTTTTAAATGTTTTGTAGAGATAGGGGTCTTGCTGTGTTGCCCAGGCTGGTCTTGAACTCCAGGCTCAAGCGATCCTTTCACCTTGGCCTTGGAATTGCCTTTTAATATCTCGGAATATCCGTGTTACTCAAATACAGTTTGGGAAATTCTTTGTGCTGGATTTTTAATGTCTTTAATCTGGTTCTCAATTGCTTGAAGACAGAAATTGTGCATTATTCATCACTGCAGCTCCAGGGCATCCCACAGGGCCTGACTCAAGTACTGGCTCAGTAGATGTGTGTTAACTAAATGAGTGGGCATACAGTGAGTGCTGATTTGGCTCTTGCCATGATAGTACCCATAGTTGGGACCCAGGAGCCATATGCCCCATAGTTCTGTCAGCTTGCTGTAGATAATCATGCCCCATGAGTTAAAAGCCTTGAAGACAGCACATGTGGCCAGAATTCAGTGTGCTCATCAAATTGGACTTTGAATGAAGTTGTGCTGACCCATTTGTAGCTATAATCATCATGGCCTTTGGGCTTAAATGAAGAGCAGTTTACAGAAGCAACACGTGTATGCAGCCAAACCAAACATTTGTGTGGTCATCTAGCAGAAGCAAACTCCTGGTAGAAAGATTCATGGCACCACCACGCCTGGCTAATTTTTTATGTTTTGTAGAGACAGAGTCTCACTATGTTGCCCAGGCTGGTATCAAACTACTGGACTAAAGTGATCTTCCCCTTCCTACCTTGGCCTCCCAAAGGGCTGGGATTATAGACATGAGCCACCATGCACAGCTGAGAAAATTCATTAAAAGAAAATCTTTTCAGTAATCTTAGCTGTGCAGAGGCCTCAAGAGTTGCGTTTAATATGACACAATCCACTGAGGCACAACCTCCTGCAAAAGCAAAGGGAGCACCCTCTCTCGCTGTGATTAGGCCGCAATGAAGGAGGCAGGGTGTCTCTGTGACATGAGGGAAAGACAGAATAAAGATGGCAAGTAATTCCTACACCAAGGGATGGAGCCTGTATTTGCTTGCCAGGGCTGCCATAACAAAGTGCCACAAACCGAGTGGCCTAAACATCAGAAATGTATCACCTTGGCCACGCATGGTGCCTCAGGCCTGTAATTCCAGCACTTTGGGAGGCTGAGGCAGGTGGATCACCTGAGGTCAGGAGTTCGAAACCAGCCTGACCAATGTGGTGAAACCCCATCTCTACTAAAAATACCAAAAATTAGCTAGGTATGGTGGTGCATGCCTGTAATCCCAGCTACTCGGGAGGCTGAAGCAGAAGAATCACTTGAACCCAGGGGGTGGAAGTTGCAGTGAGCAGAGACCGTGTCATTGCACTCTAGCTTGGGCAACAAGAGGGAAACTCCACCTCCAAAAAAAAAGAAGGTATCACTTCACAGCGCTGGAGCCTCGAAGTCTAAGAAGATCTCAGGGGCTGGTTTCTTCTCAGTTATATCAGGAAGAATCTGTTCCCTAGCTTTTGGTGGTTTCCTGGCAATCTTTGGTGTTTCTTGGAGTGTAGAGGCATTATCTGATCTGTCTTCATCTTCACAGGGTATTCTCTCTGTGTTCATATACGTATCCAAATTTCCCCTTTTATTAATATAATGGGTACGGATCATATTGGATTAGGGCCCGCCCTTGTGACCTCATCTTAACTAGTTACATTCGTAACAACCCTATTTCCAAGGAAGGTCACATTCTTAGGTACTGGGACTTAGGACTTCAACATCTGAAATTTGGGGGCACGAGGGCACAATTCAACCGACAACAAAACCCTACTAGGGTTCTCCAGAAACAACCCCAAGGCTGAACCAAGAAAAGACGCTTTTAATTCTGGGGGAAGACAGCAAGCCACTCTGCACATGCGCACAAAATGCAATAAAAATCTCTCTTTTCATGGAAGGAGAATCACAAAGCAGCCAGCACTTGATCACTGGCTTTGCTCACGCTTTCCCACCTCCTCAGACAGGACTCTGAGCCTGCCTATCTAAAGGGTCTCCAGGCCAGTGGCAGAGGGGATTGCTGCCAGGGAGGGTCTGGGCTGGCCCAGGACGGCTATGGGCAAGCAGGCCTGTGGCGATGGTCATAGGCTGTCCTCGGCCCAGGATGCCATGTAGCCACATGATCTCCCCATCCTGAGCAGACATAAGGCGGTAGCCACAGCCTGCTCCCTGGCATCCTTGTCAGTGCTGCTTTTCATTCTTCAGCCATTCCGAAGGTGCCACAGCCCATTGAGTTTCCTGCACCTGTCAGGAGCTTGTTTTGGGTTTACCACAGCTTCTGAGAGAAGTGGAGCTACCTAGAATGTATTGTTACAAATGCCAGCCTTCTACACCCCGGTCATAGCTCGGCTTGAGTTGCAACCAAAGCTTTTTTGGGGATGAAACAGTCTGGATGGAGATCATCTCCTCCTGCTATAAAGGGGGAGGTATTAGCTCATTTTATTGAATTCAAGTTCACAGATGAACTGCAAATCCCTTTTTTCTTCTTTCTCTCCCAAAGTAGTTTCCAGATGTCATATATACGTTTGCACTCACTTGGGTGCATGAATGGTTATTGTTAGCAAATTACTTAGATTTGGGCTTGGGGGAAATGCAAAATGGTAAAAAAAAAATGGAGTCCTCAGAATTTTAGGTAATTTCTTTCCAGCCCAGGGAGCAGGGAAATTTAAGCACGCTATTGTATACATTTTCAGAAAGGTGTTGGGGGCTTATGTGGGGGTGTAAATACAGGACAAGAATCTCATTTCTCCCCAATTAGGGCAGGGCAAAAGTGTCTCTGATCAGAATGGTGCTGCTTAGGAATGGCGTAGTTGTAAAACCTTGAATAGAGGTTTAGCCAGGGAGATATGAAGACGGAACACTGTTCCACAGTGAGCAGGTCTATGCAAACCTATCCCAAAGTCTGAGGAAGTTGAGAGGCCAAAGAAAGAGATTGACTAATCCAGTTTCTTAGAAAGAAACATTTAATAGGGACTTATGTACAGAGGCCATGTCTGTGACTCAGGTAACTGCAAGACTAGATGGTGCATCACAGTACTACTAACCCTCAGACTCAGGGCTTAGATACCATAGGTGAGGGGCATGTAGGACAATTGAAGTCCACCCCCCAGGGAAAGGCAAGAAGGCACTGTGAATCTTCCTAAGGGCAGGATTTATGGTCAAAGTTGTTTTGACTTAAGGGCAAGATTTATTTTAAGTACATGCTCTTATACAAGAAACAAAAGATAAAATAGAAATCTTAGAGGCATTCCTGGAACTCAGGTTAATCAGAAGTCAGTATGGCTGATTAGCATCCCAAGATGGAGCTTCTTTCACTACCAAAAACATTTAACAAAGGAATGGTTGATTTGCTTCCCCAAGGAGTGGGTCATCCCCAGTAGAAACTGCGACATTCTTGCTTTGAGGTTGGAGACCCCAGGCCCCCTTCTACTGGCTACATATTCTCTGGTGATTGCATGTTGGGAGCAAATGAAGGTAATGGTAAATGGCTTTTATCTACTCTCAACTTCCTCCCAGATGTAAAACACGTATGCTAACACCGTCAATCTTCACACACTCACCACTGCATGGTTAATGCTCCTGCAGCTTGACTGTACCAGGAAAAACACAGACTCAATTCAGAAGGCCTGAGTTTGAGTTCTGGCGGTGCCAGTAACTA
This sequence comes from Homo sapiens, assembly GCF_000001405.40. NCBI lineage: Eukaryota > Metazoa > Chordata > Mammalia > Primates > Hominidae > Homo > Homo sapiens. The sequence goes on along the minus strand of NC_000013.11, from coordinate 94,522,826 downwards.
TATGGCTATATAACCTTTGCTAAATAAGACTCTTAAGTTGTCTGGACTCATCTCTAAAGTGTAAAATGACATCTGTCACCCAGGATCATGGTGAGCTGCAAATGAAATTGCTCATGTTCAAATGAAATCATGTGTGTCAACATACCCTGTAGGCTCCAAAGCAGCTCCACAAGGATGAAAGTTGGGACTACGTCTCACTTTTTTTTATAACTTAGCATCGAATTCACAATTAATCCAAAAATAATAGCAATGATTAAGCAAAATGTACTACATCCGTATGTATTAGCCAGGGTTCTCTAGAGGAACAGAATTTATATATATATATAAAGGGGAATTTATTAAGTATTAACTCACATGAGCACAAGGTCCCACAATAGGCCATCTGCAGGCTGATGAGCAAAGAGCCAGTCCGAGTTCTAAAACTCTAAAACTGAAGAACTTGGAGTCTGATGTTCGAGGGCAGGAAGCATCCAGCATGGGAGAAAGATGTAGGCTGGGAGGCTAGGTCAGTCCCTCCTTTCATATTTTTCTCCCTGCTTATATTCTAGCCATGCTGGCAGCTGATTAGATTGTGCCCACTCAGATTAAGGGTGGGTCTGCCTTTCCCAGCTCACTGACTCAAATGTTAATCTCCTTTGGCAACACCATCACAGACACATCTAGGATCAATACTTTGCATCCTTCAATCCAATCAAGTTGACAGTATTAATTATCACACCATGCAATAGGATATTATTCAGCCATAAAAAGGAATAAGTCCTGATACATGCTACAACATGGGTGAACCTTGAAGACACTGGGCTAAGTGAAAGAAGCCCATCCTAAGAGACTATGTATTATATGGTTCCATTGATATGAAATGTCCAGAATAGGTAAATCGATAGACACAGGAAGTTTATGGCTGGGAGAAACGGAGGGATTGGGACATGTTAGGTATTAGGTATAGGGCTTCTTTTTATAATAATGCAAATGTTCTAAAATTGTGGCGATGGTTTCACAACTCTTTGAACATACTAAAAGCCATCAAATTGTGTATTTAAAATGAGTGAGTCTTATGGTTTGTGAATTATATCTTAATAAAGCTGTTAACAACAACAAAAGCAGCAATTGAAATTACTAAAGGTTTTTTTTTGTTTGTTTTTGTTTTGTTTTTGTTTTTTACAGAGTCTCACTCTGTTGCCCAGGCTGGAGTGCAATGGCATGATCTCAGCTCACTGCAACCTCCACCTTCCAGGTTCAAGTGATTCTCCTGCTTCAGCCTCTCGAGTAGCTGGGACTACAGGCACAGGCCACCACGCCTGGCTAATTTTTGTATTTTTAGCAAAGACGGGGGTTCACCCCATTGGTAGGCTGGTCTCGAACTCCTGACCTCAGGTGATCCGCCCACCTCGGCCTCCCAAAGTGCTGGGATTACAGGCGTGAGCCACCGTGCCCGGCCACTAAAGGGTTCTTAACATGAAAATGTATCTTTCTTTTTTAAACTCATTAAAAATATTTAGGTTCCTCTATTGACAATAATAGTAACTAACTTTAACAAGCACTCATGAAGTGCCAGGTACTGAGCTAAGCATGTTATACGCATTCTCTCTTTTATCCTTACAACACAGGTTTTTGTCCCTGTTTTAGAGATATGTAGCAGAAACTCAGAGGGGTTAAGCAAGTTGCCCTGGATCACACAACTAGTAAGTTGCCAAGCTGGCATTTGAAACCAGGCAGATGGACTCCACAGCCTCCATCCTATTACCCAGGTCTGCCTGTGTCTTCATTGAGAGCCACTGTTGAAACATCTTTACCTTCTAAATGTGGGCTAGTTAGGCCTGCCTTTGTCTTCATTGACAGCCTCCATTGAAATATCTTTACCTTCTTAGTACTGGGCTGTATTCTGTCCCATGAGCTTTCAACTGAGTTTAAATGGATACGGATAATTCTGCTTAAATATTTACCGTGTGATTTACCATTAGGGAATAAAAGCAGAATCTATATTTTCTGGGGACTAATTATTATAGAAAGGTATAAACTTGGTCCCAGAAACTCCATCTGACTTTACTACTGCCCAGCATATGTTTTGATCTGGAGATGATGCCAGGAAGGTGTGAGTTTCTCAGTCCTTTTTTTTCTCTACCCACCTTGCTAGAAAGCCAGAGCTTCTGACCACTTAAAGCCTCTGTATTTACCTCTTTTTAGAGAGAAAGGAAGGCAGGCTAGGTTGATTCTTCCTGGGGAATCATTTAATATTTTTGTAAGATATTTGGGGCTCACATGTTTTGTGATAGAATTCACCATGAATACAAAAGCCACAACTGATCTGAGGCTCCTCAACGTGCTAGAGATTGCTTTCCCCTTCGACGCAGGGTCGGATGCTGTCTTCCAGCCTTATGGCAGGCCTCGCCACCAGAATAGATTAATTTTGTCATTACCCTTTCTCAATTTCTGCCTTTGACCAGAAAAAAGAGGTTAATTGTGTGCCATTTCTCAGGAGAATGAGGTATCAGAATTTTAATTCCTGATATTTTATGAATTGTGGGCAGCTAATTAAAACTTAAAGATTAGAGGAACTATTTTGGCTAAGAGACCATTTGCAGGATTGTGAAATAAAGAGAACAAAGGGTTGTCTTTTCCTTTTATTCCTGCAGCTTAAATGGAACTTCATGCTGAAATAGAGCCTTGAATTGTTTTGCATACTGAGTACTCATTGTATTGACTCTAATTTTAATTTTGCAGCAAGTGGTATAATATCTGAAAGCTATTGAGGAGCTAACATTGAGATTATTGAGAATGTTAAATAGCAAGATTTGTGTTTTGAGGCTCTGTTTGACCCTTCTTGACCTCAGAGAGACATCTTAGAGTCAGATAGGGACCACTTAAAGATTCTATTAGATGTCCTTAATTGCCACCTTAGAACTCAATATGTATTTAGACCTTCTCCTCAGTTCTCCCTCATAGTTAACTGTTTGAATAGAATAATGGACATGTCTCAAGCCTGGGGCTTTTTCTTGGTTCTACTACTACCTGTCTGAATTTTAGGCTATTGCATTTCTTTAAGCACCACCAAAATCACCCAGGACCCACATGTTTGGGATGTGAATCAAGGCAACCACTGGCCTCTACCATACCTTTTCTCAAGATAGAAAAAGGACATCTTCAGCAGATGCAGTCCCTACCAATGTGTAGCTGGGAAAGCTGAGCATGGTTGGATTGAAGCTCCTAACCCACCTCCTGACAATGTTTCCTTGTGCAGTGCAAACCCCATATAACTTTACAGTGGCCATGCTGAAATAACCCCTTTTAAATTGCTTAGGTACTCATCTCAATATGCTTCTTGATATACAGTCATTTCTTTTTTCTGAGATGGGGTTAGATGACATGAGATTTGAACAAGTATCCAAATGCAAACTCCTTGGGTACAAAACCAGGTTTTGCTCATCTTTTATAACTCCCAAGCTCCTAAGTTTTCCATTCCATCCAAAATTGAATAAGCACTCGCTTACCTACTAGGGCCCAAGCACTGTTCTAGGTGCTGGAGAGTCACCAGGAATGAGATGGATAAGGCTCCAGACCTTATAAAAATTATAACCTAGGAAAGTGAGATACATTAAATGAATCAAATAACTACCCAAGTAGTTCACAATTTCACTTGGGTATGTGCCGTGAAGGTAAAGTATAGGGGGCTTTAGCAGGATATCATTAGCAGATGTGACCTAGGCAGGGAGGTGGTAGAGATTTCCATGAGAAGATGACATTTGTGCTGGAACTTAAAGGAGGAATAAGAAATAACCAGGTTAGGCGGAGGGGGCAATGGTGGGTGGGGCAAGGAAGAAAGAACAATCCATTCAAATAGAAGAGTGTAGGCAAAGGTCTTGGGGCTGGAAAGAACTTGGTGCATTCTAAGAATTGAGATAAGGCCAGCAAGACTGCAACTTAAAGGGATTAAGAAGAAGCACAAATCAAAATGAGGCCGAAGAGAGAAGAGGCCAAATCATGAAGCAGAGCTGGAGTCCATGCTAAGGATTTGGGACATTATTCTATGAAGAACTGGAATATATTCAGATATTCAGTTTTAAGCAGAGAGCCAAAATGATTAAACTTGTATTTTAAACAATAACTCTGGTCATAACAAATGAACCAACAGGAGGAAAGCAAGAATGGATGCAGAGACGTGTGCAGAGGCTATTGTCCCAGGTCAGACAATTGATGACAGTGAATTGAATATTACATTGGTAAAAAGTGGAGAAATGTGACCAGGTTTGAGAAACTTTGAGGCACTAAAATCAACAGAATTTGATGATGGATTCATCAAGGGGATGAGAGAAGAAAAACGTCAAGGATTCTGACATGAATAACTGGACAGTATTAGGGCCAGTATTTTCTGAGCTGTGGAACATGTAGATGTAAGTTTGGAGAGTGAGATCATGAGAAAAGTTTTGGATACATTGGATTTAAAGTGCCTCTGTGACTTCCATGTTGAGTTGACAGTGATATACATATAGTCTAGAACATGGCTGAGGGTAAGCAGTGTGGAGGGTTCAACTGAGGTTCCCAGATATCAATTTTGGGTGGTATCAATCTGCCTGGTTGTATAATTGTTTTTTTTTAACAACACTTAGTTGCCAGTTGCTGACACAAAGATGGCCAATGGTTGGACTTTCTTTCTTTCTTCCTTCCTTCCTTCATTCCTTCCTTCCTTCCTTCCTTCCTTCCTTCCTTCCTTCCTTCCTTCCCTTCGTTTCCCTTCTCCTTCCTTCCTTCCTTCTTTTCTTTTCTTTTCTTTATTGCCCAGACTGGTCTTGAACTCCTGGACTCAAGTGATCGTCCCACCTCAGCTGCTCAAAGTGCTGGGATTAGAGGTGTGAGCCACTGTGCCTGGCCCTGAAATCATCTTCAATGGGGTGAAATCAGTGGGGACCATGCTTTCCTTTGAGGCTGTAGTGGGGAGAATTCATTCCTTGCCTCTTCCAACTTCTGGTGGCTACCAGCATTCTTTAAAAAATTTTTAAATTTAATTAATTAGTCAACGTATTTTGCTACTAGCATGCTTTGGCTTGTGGTTGCATCATTCCGATCTTTGCCTCTGCCTTCACATTGACTTCCTGTCTTCTGTCCGTGTTAAATCTCTCTCTGTATATCTCATATAAGGACACTTGTGATTTGATCTAGGGCCCACTGGGATAATCCAAGGATACTCTCCCCATCTCAAGATCCAGAATTTAATTGAATATTCAAAGTCTTTGCCATACAAGGCAACATTTACAGGACTTAGGACTTGCTGTCTTTGGGTGTCATTATTCAGCCTGTTACAGAATGCTTGATCAAGGGAAGTGGAAGGATGTGAGGGTGTGGTCACAGAGGTGGATATTTACATGTTATAAATTTTAGAAGTCTCATTTTTGAAAATGACACAGTTTCAGGTGATGAGAGTCAAGAATGAGATCATGAGGGTGGTATCTGAGGTAGAGAAAAAGAGGAATTCACTAGAGATGAAGTCAAGAAGATGAGGGTCCAGGATATTGGGTGAGTGTCAACATGGACCTTGAAGCCTCATTGGAAAATGGCAAAAATTGTTGAGGTTAATTGTCAGTCTTTGGATAGTGAGTAAAAGTGATTAGATGTTAGGAGACAGAAATGAAACGATGTTGTTGGGTGGAATAAAAAGGGTGGAAGAGAAATTGTTAGAAAATCATTTCCAACCTATATAATTCTCCTCAATCCCTTACTTCGCTTACCCTCTTATATTTAGGAAATGACCATATTTGGGGGGAAATTTTAGAAACTACATAATTAGTATGCCTTGAGGTGCATTATTTGCAATAATGTATCTTTGTACAAACTTGTTTCTTAGAACACGCTTTTGAAATTGGTTTTGACTTTCCTTGAATAATCTTGTAAATTACTTGGTTAGGAAATGTGGTTGTGTCTCAGTCTATTTTCTGTTGCTTATAACAGAATACCTGAAACTGGGTAATTTATAAAGAAAAGGAATTTATTTTTTACAGTTATGGGGGCTGAGAAGTCCAAGGTTGAGAGGCTACATTTGGTGAGGACCTTCTTGGTGGTGGGAACTCACTGCAGAGGCCCAAGGTGGCACAGGGCATCACATGGTGAGGGGGGGTGGACTCAAGTATCTGTTCCTCTTCTAATAAAGCCACCAGTCTCATTCCCATGATAACCCATGAATCCATTCATTCATAAATGAATTAATCCATTCATGAAGGCAGAGCTCTTATGACCTGACAACCTCTTAAAGACCCTCCCTTTCAGTAATGTCACATTGGGGATTAAATTTCAACGTGAGTTTTGGATGGGACAAATATCCAAACCATAGCAGGTTGTCTCCTAATGATTTATTCTCTTAAAAAGTTTTTTCCCCCATTGCAAATGAGACAAACCGTGAAATCTTTAGCACAAAGAAAAATTGTTGATTTCACTTAGCTTGAACCATGTGACTTTCACCAGATGTATTTCTTTTCTGGGCAGCAGTTATAGCAAGGATTGAAATTTAATGTAGAAAATAGCCTACCTGATTTGTATCTTTCCTCCTCAAGCCTTAATTCTTCCAGAAGTTTTCCTCCCTACCCACCTGCACTTGGCCATCATCTTTTCCTACTTGGAGAAAATTCAGGCTTACAATATCTGCCAGGCACACTCAATCCATATGCCACCTCTTCCATATACAGCTCCGGTCATGCGCTAGAGAACATGAGGCTGAGGGCTTGCACTGGGATCAGCTGAGTCTGGCTCCTCACCATAAGAGGTGAGGAGCTCCTAAAGTTAGACGGTGGGTGGGGGTGGGGGCGGGGCTTGAGTTGCTGCTTATCTTTGTCTTATTTGGACTCCTGTGGATACTGTCCTGTTCTTTCTCACTTTTCTGCATATGTTCTCTCTGGGTGATTCCATTTTTAAGCCCCATGGCTTTCAAATCTGTCCTTCTAGTTCAGAGCTCTTCCTTGTTATCTGGATGTGTGTATCAAACACCTTCCTTGGAGATCACGTCGCCTACCCCAACTCAACTTTCCATTCTCTAGCTGAACTCCCAGGTGAGTATTTGTTACAGTGCTGTAGGCAGTGTAGACAGCTGCAGTGGCTTCTTGGAGATGACCTGCATTGCTACTGTAAGCTGAGGTCCAAGCTTTCTAGAAGTTCTTGAGATTCAAAGAAGCTTCTCTTTTTCTGAACAGCAGCTGTAGCACTTCTGAAAACCACTCCAAGCCCTTCTTGAGGTTTTGTAAGCCTCTACTTCCTTGTATCAGAACCCATGATGCTTGGAATACACATAGCAGCTTGGCACTGACAAGTACTGATTCAGTATTTGGTAAGTGGCATTACCAGCTACTCAGTTAGCTAAGCCTTAACCATGGTGTTTACTTTACTTCTCCTGTTCCTCACCTTCCGCATCCAATTGGTTTCCAAATTCTGTGTATTCTTTTGTACGTCTGTGTTGCAGTTTGAATCTATCCCATCCTCTTCATTCCCACTGTTGCCAATTTGGTTTAGAACCTTGTTTATTTAGTACTTGGGTTATTGCAGCAGTTTCTGGACTAATTTTACTGCCTTCTGTATCCCCCTTGAACTCTTGTCTTAGTCAGTTGGGGCTGCTACAGCAGAGTACCATAGACTAGGAGGCTTATAAACAACAGACATTTATTTCTTACAGTTTTGGAGGCTGGAAGTCCAAGATCAAGACACCAACATCGTTGGGTTCTGCCCAGGGTCCTCTTCCTGGTTCATAGACTGCCATCTTCTTGTTGTGTTCTCACATGGTAGAGAGAGGGCTAGAGATTTTTCTGCAGTCTCTTTTCTAAGGGCACTAATCCTATTCCTGAGAGCTCTACCCTCATGACCTAATTATCTCACAAAGGCCTCACCTCCTAATACCATCACATTGGGGTTTAGAGTTTTCAGCATATGCATTTGGGCAAGAAGTAGGGGGTACAAACATTCAGTCCGAACAAACCTAGTTAACTTTTTCCATCCTGTCATCAGAGTAGTCTTTGTAAAATACAGCTGTAATTATGCTACATCTGCCGAGCTCCTCACTGTCTGCAGTCTAATTTGCAGGTTCCTTTGCCTGCCATGCGAGGCTAGGTCTCCACGTCCATCTTTTGTCTTCCCCCTTCCCGCCTTGCCCTGCAGCCATATTGAGGGAACCGAAAGGCCCAGCCTTTCTCACATCCCTGCCTTTCTTCCTGCTGGTCCCTTTGCCCACGTGCTCCCCACTCTGCCTGGTTAACTCCTGTTTAGCTTTTGCATGTAAGTGCAGCCTCTTCTGACACTGCCCTGGAGTCTGGGCCACACGTCTTACCCTGTGCTGCAGCAGCCTCTGAACACTCAGAACCTTCCAGTGACTCAGCCCAGCCAAGGCTGCTCACTTTGCTTACTAGCTGCTAACTTTGCTTACTCCTCTCAGACTCTGCAATGGTCAGTATAGCCTTTCAGGGCAGGAAGGGAAACAAGAGGAAGGGGTTCAGACAGGCTGCATGAAGTCAAATGTAGTGAACCCCATTGATGCCCACCCCCGTTTTGGTGGTTTGGCCACCTCCCCTTTCTCTGTGAGGAAATTCATATTTTGCCACCTCCCCTTCCTTGGACTGTTGTTACGACATCACATCTGTGCTCTTTCCGTATTTCATTAGGATGGAAGTGGTGATGTTCCCGGCACAGTAGGCAGCTAGGTCTTAGAGCTAAGTGTCGATGGCTTTTGCTTTCCATCTCTGGAAAGCCCAAGTGCCCAGCCCATGATCCTAGTCTCAGGGTTCTGGTTGCCCCGTCGCCAATCCCTGACCTTTTACATCTAAATCAAGAAAAGAGATAGGTATCTATCTTTTTTTTTTTTTTTTTTTTTTTTGAGACAGAGTTTTGCTCTTGTTGCCCAGACTGGAGTGCAATGGCACGATCTTGGCTTACTGCAACCTCTGCCTCCTGGGTTTAAGTGATTCTCTTGCCTCAGCCTCCCTCAATAGCTGAGAATACAGGCGCCTGCCACCATGCCTGGCTAATTTTTGTATTTTAGCAGAGACGAGATTTCACCATGTTGGTCAGGCTAGTCTCGAACTTCTGATCTCAAGTGATCCACCCACCTTGGCCTCCCAAAGTGCTGAGATTACAGGCGTGACCCACCGTGCCCAGCGGTATCTATCTTTATCTAAAGGCCATCTCCCAGCCTAACTCTCTGGGAACTGAGTAGAGTCTTTACAGCCTGCCTAGCCCTAGTGTGTGGACCTCTGGCTGCTTCCTGCTTGTTTTGTCTCCCTGTCACAGAACATTCCCCACCAAATCTCAGAGGCATAGTAAGTGCCTAACAAATGCTGCCCATTGTTTCATATATTGTTTCTGAAAATTAGATAATTGGAGGTTGGTTGTTATATAAATTGCTTGGTGTGCTAAAATTTACTCTAAGCTCAGGATTATTCCACAGACACCGATAAAACTGTAGCAGACCATAGTTACCTCTCCACACGATAAATTCTTGTGCTCTACAAAGCACTTTGAGTGGAGAGAGTAATTTATATGCCCAGGTGGAACCAGTACACAAATCTGCTAACCAACTGTAGACTGGAATGCAATCTGGAAAGCAGCCTGTTAGCATCTCAAAGGAGATAAAAAAGGATACTTCCTTATTTTTATCTCTGACAGAGCTGTCGCCTTGGGAATGACTAGCACACATCAGAGAGGCACCTTCTTTCACCCAGCATCACAAGTGACACAAAAGCACAGACGTGAATCAGGAGAAATGAAGAAACCAGCCCTTTGTGTCTTTAAATACATGGGTAAGACTTTGACTTAACAGAATGGCACGTTCTCTGAAAAAGTTCATGGCCTCACCCAAACTTTTGCTCATGCTATTTCTGCTGCCTGGAAAGCCCTTCTTTCTACCTTCTGTATATTCAGCCTCCCACAGCTTCCTCTTCAAATCTTGTTACCTGCATGAAGGCTCCTCTGGCTACAATGATCCACACTAATCTCTTCCTACTCTGAAGTTCTCATGGGTCTGGATACTTAGTTTGGCTTTGTTGTTTTAAATCTTTCATGTGTTTCTCTTCTAGCTCCTGTGTATTTTCACATAAATACACATGGGGTGTGTGTGTGTGTATGTATATATGTGTGTGTGTGTATATATATATATATGAAACCATTGGCATGTTGTATTATAAATATTACATAGATTTGTTGAATTGATGAACTAACAGGGATTATTGAAGATTGAATAGAAACATTCCATACTGAGTCAATGTTTTGGTGAACAAAGCCATGCCATACTACATGTGTTTCACTAAATAGTTTGTCGTTTTTTCCCACTTCTGGCTTCTCAACTGTCCATAATAATTATAATTCCTATTGACATATTTTTATTTTTAAATGGCAAGAACAACTCTTCCTTTAATAAATTAGAAGTTATTTGAATGTCTTTCTTTGGGTGGTAGTTTTGCCTGAAAGAATTGTGCACTATTTTTGTTACTTGATGATATTTCCAATTTCTTTAGATTAGAGAATCTGCTTCTTAGTGTGTCTTGTGGTGTTTAGCACAGTCCTAGGCCACGCTCAAATTTTATTATCTCAATATACTTCTATAAAGTTATTATTAAAAGAGGCAATCCATGTGAAGCAGAGAGCAGTTTCTGACATGTAGTAACTGCTCAATCCCTGCTGCTATTATTAACATTGTTATTATCGTTGCTGTTGTTATTATTATGCTGTATCCAGTACTGGGTGAGGCACTAGGGATACAAAGGCAAGTCAGGAATGGCTACTTCCTTTAAAAGCCTTATGGTCTAGTGGGAGTAGACAAAGTAAAAGGGCAATAAAAAACCAGGTGTGGTATCATGCACTTGTGGTCCCAGCTACTCAGGAGGTGGAGGTGGAAGTATTGCTTGAGCCCCAGAGTTGGAGGCTGCAGTGAGCTATGATTGCACCATTGCTCTCCAGCCTGAGCGACAGAGCAAGACCCCCATCTCTTAAAACACAAACACACACACACACACACACACACACACACACACACACACACACTGACAATGCTGGGCATTGAGGTGTATAGTGGGAGGAGACAACACACCTATGGTATGAGAACATGGAGTGGGGTGAGAAAGAGTTTCTCCTTTAGCCTGAGAGAAGGGGTGGCTGGGGAAGTTTTCATGGAGAGCAAGCTGGGAGTCCTGAATGATGAAAGTTATGAGGCCGGATGCGGTGGCTCACGCCTGTAATCCTAGCACTTTGGGAGGGCAAGGCAAGTGGATCACTTGAGGTCAGGAGTTTGAGACCAGCCTGGCCAACATGGTGAAACCCCATCTCTACAAAAAATACACAAATTAGCCAGGTGTGGTGGCACACACCTGTAGTCCCAGCTACTTGGGAGGCTGAGGCACAAGAATCACTTGGACCCAGGAGGTGGAGGTTGCAGTAAGCCAAGATCATGCCACTGCACTGCAGCCTGGGTGACAGAGTGAGACTCCATCTCAAAAAAAAAAAAAAAGAGAGAGAGAGAGAAAGTTATGTAGGTGCAGGGGAACACGAACAGCCTTCCAGGAAGAGAGCAGTTTGTGCAAAGATCCAGGGTCCTGAGAGAGCAGGGTGTATTGGAGGAATCAGCAGTTCAATGTAGCTGGAGGGGCAGGGCAGTCCCCATTTCTCAGGTGGGAATGGCGGAGAGACAGATAAGCACCTTATCAAGAAAGGCCTGATAGACATTGTTAGGACTTTGGGTTTTATCCTCAAGTCCACTGATGCCATGAAAGCATTTTTAAACAGAGGAGATTTGCATTTTGAAATGATCCATCTCTTGCTAGGTGTCTACAATAAATTAGATGGAAGATAGACCACTGAAAGCCAGTGAGGACAGAAACAGTGGGGATGAAGAGCAATGCAGAGTTTTGAGAAATATTTAGGAAGTAGAATGTGCAGGAGGTGGTTCACATGGTTGGGGGAAGATGTGGAGAAGTGGAAGGAATTGCAGGCTTTTGTCTAGTGGACAAGTAGATGTTGATGCTCCACAGGCAGCACCAGGAGAGGAAGAGCCAATTTTGTGGAAGATGTGTGTTTGGGTTGGATGCGTGAGCTTGGAGCTCAAAAAGAAGTAGGTGCTGGAGAAGCCTATTTGTGGATCATAATGTACAGTGGTAAAAGCCATGAGAAAGATGGCACCACTCAGCAGGAGTGTCTAAAGCAGCTCTGTCTGCTAGAAATATAACATAAGCCACATATATAATTTAAAATTTCCTGATAACCACATCAGAAAGTAAAAAGAAACAGGTAAAATTAATTTGAATAATATATTTAACCCACTACATCCAAAGTATCATTGTTTCAACATGTGCTCAGTATGAAAATTAAGAATGAGTCACTTCACATGCTTTTCTTCATACTAGTCTTTTAAACCTTGTATGTATTTTACACTGACAGCACACCTCAGTTTGGACTCACCACAATGCAAGTGCTTAATTGTCTTATGTGGTCACTGTGGTGGACAGTTCAGGTGCAGGGCATTAACTCTCCACTTTGGCTACACAGGATGATCACTTGGTGGTAGGAGGGTGGTTTAAATATCCCGATACCCATGATGCACCCTAGTCCAATTATATCAGGAAACCTGCAGGTGGGACCTGGGCCTTAGGACTTTGTAGAGCCATCCAGTGACTCTGATGTGAAGAGGGCCAAAGACATAACTCTAGAGAATGCCCTTGATAGTTAGGGAGTAGAAAGAGAAACTGGAAAAGAGATTGAGGAGAGGACAGAGATCTAGGAGGAAACCAGCCAGGAGGAATATCTTAGAAAACAAAGGGGGAGTTTCAAGGAGGATGCTGCCAATGAGTAAGATTACAACTGAATATCATTCATCAGATTAGCAATAGTGTGGTAGGTGTCATTGATGCTCCTTGTCAAGAATGACTTAATTTGATTCTTCAACAAATTGCTATTGAGTGCCTGGCCAATAGCAACAAATTGCTATTGAGTGCTGGGCACATGATTCCTGACCCAGTGGAGCTTATGGTATAGTGATCATAGTAGATAACATTTTTGAGCACTTACTTATAAGCCAGGCACTGTGTTAAGACTTTGTATGTATTAACTCTCTCACTTGATTCTCACAGCACTTCTAGAAGATGGGTGCTATTATGATTCCATTTTATGTATAATAAGTCTGAGATTTAGCAGTGTCAAGTAACTGGCCCAGAGCCCATGTATCAGTCAGGGTAGGCTAAGTTATGCTGAGATAACACTCCTAAAATCTAAGTAGCTTAAGACAAGGATTTATTTCTCACTCACACTGCATATCCATTATGGTTGGCAAGGGGCTGTGCTCCACATTGTCCCCACTTTAGGGCCAGGCTGAAAATCACACACTGGCTTTACTTCTTTTATTTTACTGGCCAGAATGTGTCACATGGTCACACTCCTCTGTGTGTGTGTGGGGAGGGGGTGATGGTGTGGGGGGAGATGTCAGTACTTCCCAGGAGAAAAGATATGGAAATATTTGAGAGAACAGCACCAATGACTGCCACAGCCAGGAGATGGGGACCCAGGATTTATACCCAGGCAGGCTCTCCACAGCTGACATCCTACCCACCATACTGCATGGCCTCCCACTTACAGAAAAAGGAGAAAAGTTCACAAAGTTAAGAGTCTTCCAAATTTTAGATCTCATAGTTTTCTCTCAGCTCTGAAAGACTGACAGCAATGCACTGGTTGTCTGATTCAGCCTCTTATTTCCAAATACCCATTCAGTTTGCTTCTCTCAACTCAACATAATAGGTAGCCCAGAGCTAAGACACCATGGAGGAGGGAGTTGGAAACTGACCTCTCTCAGTAGGGTCTGATTCAGTGGCTTGGAAACTGACCTCTCTCAGTAGTGTCTGATTCAGTGGCAAAGCAAAGGCTCAGAATTCCTCACAGAGCATCCTGACTAGAAGAGACTTTCAAAGTCGTTTAATTTAAGTACCAATCCCCTGTTTTTATTCTTCTTCTCTGAGAGTTGGTCATCCACCCTCCTCTGTAGCACTCATGGGACCAAGAGCTCAGAAAGTTCTGAGGCAGCATCTCCTGTAATTGGACTATCTGGTTAGAAAGTGTTTCTTTATAATGAGCTAAAATGTGTCTGTGTAAACTTCCACCCAGTGGCCCCCTATTCTTCTTTCTCAGGCCACACACAACAATTCGAATCCCCCTTTCCCAGAACAGCCCTTCACATTTAAAAAACTGTCTTTCATATTCCTCCTGAGTCTTTCTCCTCCAATTGGAAACTTCTCTAATTTGAAACACATCAAACTGAAAGTTTCATTTTTATGACAAGGTTGAGACTCTTCAGACAATTTGAGATTTCTTTTCCTTCTTTCTTTCTTTCCTCTCTTCCTCTTTCCCTCCATGCCTACTCCCCTTTCCCCAGTGCTAACAGAGTAAACTGATTGAAAAGACATAAATAGAAGGGAATTGATCAAATAGTGCCTGTTGCTGTGACAACTCAGTCACTGCTCCAGCACAGACCTTTCTTGGGGTCCAGTATAACCCACCTAGCTCTTTCTCTGATGCCAGATATTACTAGCGAATATGTGTTTGCAGACTCATCTGTGCCTAACTCATAGTGTTATTGAAGGAATAAAATAAATAATCTATAAAGTGGTCTGCTCAGTGCTTCATATGTAGTAGGAATCAAATGTTAGTTATTATGACAAACAATTAGGGCAATGATAGACAGTTTCTACCACCAACGTAATACATAATAATTACTAGTTATCACTTTTTACTAACAGCATCATGAAATGTAGCATGCTATGATCTTTGCAGATAACTGAGGTTTGCCTATGTATGCCATAGTAAACAATGTAAACTTATAAAAATGTGACTAAAGAGCAGTATATAAGGCCCTTTCATGTGCACATTTTTATCTTTGCTAAAGATTTGGATGAGCAATTTCTTCTATCATGAATGAAGTGAAGGATAGAGACTAAAACATGTAGACTCTTGACTCTATAAAGTTAGAAGTGATTAATTAAAACTGAGCTAATATCTTCTAAGAGTTTAGATAAAAAATAGTCAATATACGGCGGGGCGCGGTGGCTCACGCCTATAATCCCAGCACTTTGGGAGGCCGAGGCAGGTGGATCACGAGGTCAGGAGATCGAGACCATCCTGGCTAACACGTTGAAATCCCATCTCTACTAAAAATACCAAAAATTAGCCGGGCATGGTGGTGGGCGCTTATAGTCCCAGCTACTTGGGAGGCTGAGGCAGGAGAATGGCGTGAACCCAGGAGGCAGAGCTTGCAGTGAGCCAAGACCATGCCACTGCATTCCAGCCTGGGCAACAGAGAAAGACACTGTCTCAAAAAAAAAAAAAAAGTCAATATACCAGAAATGCAAACTCCAACTGTTGTTCAAAAGCAAGCTGTTCTTTGATAGCCCACATCAAAGGTGTTGCACCTGTTCGCTTGTGGTGTGAGATTGAAAGGCTACCAGAATATCCTCTTAGAATACCAGATGTTTTTTATTATCAAACTTTTTATTTTGAAATAACTTTAGACTTGTAGAAAAGTTCCAAAAAAGAGTAGCGAGACTTTCTCTTTACTTTTTACCCCCAGCTTTTCCTTATGTCAATACTTTACATAACCCTAGTATAATTATCAAAGGTAGGAAATTAGCATTGATACAATGATATTTACTCATTCGGAGATCTTATTTGAGTTTTGCCAGTTTTCCTTCTAATGTCCCTTTTCTGATTAAGCATGGCATGCCATGTAGTTGTGTCTCCATATTCTCCTTGGTCTGTGCAGTTCTTAGTCTTTGTCTTTTATGACTTGAACACTTTTGAAGAATACTAGCCAGTCCAACATCCTTATTTTCCAGATAAAGAAACCAAGACTCAAAGAGCTCAATAGAGTAAGATAATAGTAAAAACTCTCAATGTGCATCAGCCTGATTTTTAAAATAAATATTAATAGATTGAAGCTAAACATTTTTGGCAAGAACACTGCCAAAGTGATGCTGTGCCCTTTTTAGTGAATAACAGGATGTACATGATATTGATATATCTTATCATGGTGATGCTAAATTTGATCACTAGTTTAAGGCGGTATCCTACAGATTTCCCCACTTTTTAAAAATTATTTTTCTCTTTATAAGCAATAAATATCTTATAAGAAGATATTTTGAGACTATGTAAATACACTCTTTTGTCATGCAACAGTGTAATCCATAATGATTACTGTGGAATTTGTCTAATAGTTACTTTCTATTTGCATCATTCTTTCTATATTTACTAATTAAATTCTGCTGTCCCTTCTCACACATTAATTTTTTTATGTGTTTATTTATATAAGTATGAACTCATAATTATTTATTTTATTCTATGGGTTATAATCTATTACAATCATTATTTAAATTCTTGTTCACATTGTTTCAGATTTTACCACTGGGGGCTCTTCAAGTTGCTTTCTGTATCCTTTTGACTTGCCTCATCATTTTAGGGAGGACTCCTTACTTTCTTGCATCAAAAAATGTTTCAGGCTCTGCTTTTGCCTTTTTCTGCCCCAACCCTGGAATCAACTTTCCCCAAGAGCCTAGGTTGTTTTAATGGAGAATGGTATTTAGAAACGAAGAGCTGGGGCTAGATGACCAGATGGAGTTTTAAGCGATTAAGTAAACACCAGGGGGAGAAACAAAAGATAGTCACTGGTGTTTAGATATCCATGGTGGCAGATAACAAACTATACGTGATTTCTGAATATCAAGTATATTAGTTATATATTGCTGTGTAACAAATTACCCCCAAATTTAGCAGCTTAAAATACATGTATTATCTCACAGTTTCTGTGGATCAGGAATCCAGGCAGGGCTGAGCTGGTTCTCAACTCCAGCATTTCTAACAAGCTTCAGTCAAGTCAGCTGGGCTGTAGTAATCTTAAGGCTCAGCTGGAGATAATTCACTTCCAAGCTCACATGGATGTTTCCAAGATTTGGTTCCTTGTGGATTGCTGGACTGAGGGCCTTAGTTCCTTGCTGGCTGTTGGTTGAAGACTGCTCTCAATTTCTTGCCACGTGGGTCTCTTCAACAAGGCAGCTTGCTTTATCAAATTGTTCAAGCTGAGAAGACAATAGTGTTGGCTAGCAAGATGGAAACCAAAGTTTTTTATACAAACTCACAAAGTGATGTCCCATCATGTTTGCCATTTTCTCTTCTCCCCACTTTTGTGCCATACTCACTCTCTTTCAACTCTGATTATGTAGAATGGCTGTTGGTATCCTCCCGGTCTTCCTCCATGGCCGAAAAGGAAAATATGCTCCCATGGAAACCAGGATAACAGATGACCAGATGGCTTACATTCTCAAGCTAGGTACATTTGTTTTTCTAAAATGTAGCTTCTACAAACGGACTTTCGGCCAAATCTAGACTCTGACATTAAATAAGATAATGACTGATGTTAGAGGATTAGTAGAAAATCTAGAAATAGCCTGCACTTGGCAGTAGGACTATGGTGTCTAATCTGGAGGTAATATTATCTTTGTCTAACAAAGAAGTAGAATTTTTGAAGCTGAAAGAGACCTTAGAATAATGCAGACCAAGCCCTAATTCCCCTTATTTTCCAGATGAAAAATCTAAGACCTAGTAAGATAATGATAAAATGCGTGTGTCAAGAACCCTAGACCAGGATACCAGATCTAGTGTGCTTTCCCCAAGACCAAACCAGGGCCTTCAGGATAACAAAGAGTATTTCTGTGACAAAAGAGACAATTTGTTCTTATAAACATTTTCTAAACTTTTTTGGTGTACCAGGCTTTTGTTCGTTTTTCAGTCATCAAGCCTAACTGAGCATCCACTCTGTTGCTGAAATGCTGCTGGGGATACAAAGACAAATGAAGTGCCGTCTCCGTTCTGATGTGACAAAGAGACTAGAGGAAGATGAACATGTGAACACACACAGTCCAATGAGAAGAGGTAGGAGGGAGTTATGCAGAAGGTGCCTTGGATACAAAGAAAATAAGCCAATACAAGTCATTTCTTATTTTTCACACACCTAATAATAAATGGCATCACCTTGACAAGTCACAAATGTTGTATTGGAAATCCTTAGCAATATTTTTCAGAGGGTTGCTTATGGGCATTTTGGGTGGGACAACTCTGCCACCTGCCCATTGAATGCCAGTAGCAAGTATCCCCCCAGATCAAAAACAAATGCTGGCCAGGTGCAGTGGCTCACCCCTGTAATCCCAGCACTTTGAAAGGCCAAAGTGGGTGGATCACCTGAGATCAGGAGTTCGAGACCAGCCTGGCCAACAAGATGAAACCCCATCTCTACTAAAAATACAAAAAATTAGCCGGGCATTGTGGCAGGCACCTGTAATCCCAGCTACTCAGGAGGCTGAGGCAGGAGAATCACTGGAACCTGGGAGGTGGAGGTTGCAGTGAGCTGAGATTGTGCCACTGCACTCCAGCCTGGGCAACAAGAGCGAAACTCCATCTCAAAGAAAAAACAAAACAAACAAACAACAAAAAAACTACAAATGCCCCAGCACCACCAAAGTTGTGCACTGCATCAGTTGATAAGCTCTACCAAGGCTAACAGGTAACAAGAATCTACCTGCAGTACACAGAAGCAGAATGCTGCTTTGCAAACATATTGAAGCATTGAAAATTAGTGTAAATTTGGAACAGATGATTTTAGCTGAAGATTAATTACATTAGCCAAACACAAGAATCACAGTCTATAAAAATAACAAGGATTGCACCACTTTTCAGCAGCATCTTATTAATTCCAAGTCTTGCAAATTTGGCTTTGGATTAAGATGTACTAATGTTTATTTTTGCCTTCACTTTGATAAATGAGTTCACCAAGCAACAACATAAACAAAACAGAAAGAAAATGTTTACTTCACTTATGCACAACCAACACCATTCATTTTACAGGTATAAAGCAAACAGTAGTTCATCAATAACTCTAATAGTTATGAAAGCCAGGACCCCCACTTGAAAATTGTATGAGCAATTTTTAAAAAGAGAATAATGGGTATGTACCTGTATTAGTTTTCTAGGGCTGCTGTCACAAATTACCATAAATTGAGTGGCTTAAAACAGCAGTAATTTATTCTCTCACCGTTGTGGAGGCCAGAAGTCTGAAATCAAGGTATAGGCAGGGCCATGCTATCCCCAGAGGTTCTAGGGTAGAACCCATCCTGTCTTCCAGCTTCTGGTGGCTCCAGGAAGTCTTTGGCTTGTGACAGTATCACTGCAATCTCTGCCTTTGTCTTCACATGGCTTTCTTCCTTGTGTCTCTCCAGTTTTCTGAGGCCTTTGTCTTATGAGGACACCAGTCAGATTTTGTGCCCACCCTAAATCCAGGACTGTATCATTTTAAGATCCTTAACTTTCCCCTCCCCTCCTCTTCCCTCCCCTCCTCTCCTCTCCTTTTCTTTCTTTCTTTCTTTCCCCCACCTCCCCTCCCCTCTCCTCTCCTTCCCTTCCCTCCTTTTTTTGAAATGGGGTCTCTGTCACCCTAGCTGCAGTGCAGTGGCGTGATCTTGGCTCACTGCAGCCTCGACCTCCCAGGCTCAGGCAATCCTCCTACCTCAGCTTCCTGAGTAGCTGGGACTACAGGCATGCACCACCATGCCCAGCTAATTTTTTGTATTTTTAGTAGAGATGGGGTTTTTGCTATGTTTCCCAGGCTGGCGTTGAACTCCTGGACTCAAGCAATCCATGCCCCCTTGGCCTCCCAAAGTGCTGGGATTATAGGCATGAGCCACCGCACCCAACCTAACTGTATTTTCAAAGACTTTATTTCCAAATAAAGTGACATTCACAGGTCCCAGGGCTTAGGTCTCGAGCACATCATTTTGGCAGACATTATTTAAACCACCACGGTGTTTCTAACAATATTTTATAACCCACCTCTTTACTAGTTAAACCAGGTTTTCCTTGCAATGAGCCTGACTTGGGAAGCCTCACTGAGTCACAGAAAGGTGGGGACCTGGGGTGGCAGGCTCACAGTGGCTGGAAGTCAGAGGATTTGTCTGCATGAGCAGATGTGGTCTGGAGATACAGATTTCGGAGAGAGTGCAGCGAGGAGAGGAAAGGACAGCCACACGTTGAAGGGCTAGTAGACGAGAAAGATTTATAAAGATGACTGAGGAAAATGAAGAAAAAAAGGAGGACACAAGGAGAATGAGGTACCTAGAAGCTGAGGGAAAGGGGTGAACCAAGAAAGGAGAGGAGGGGGTCAGAAAGCTACAAAGAGGCCAAGCAAGCGAAGGACTGGCCAGATGCCTGCTGGGTGTAATCACAAGTTCACCAGCTCCTCGCAGCTGAGTGTTGAGGGCTGATGACTGAACGCAGGTGCAATAGTTAAGGATTAAATGGAAAAAGAGCAGGTGGAGGCTGGGAGCTCAGGCCACTCTCCCAAAGAGTCTGGCAGGGAAAGTAAGCCGAGAACTATGGCAATACCTGCTGGAGGAAGGTCCGTGTCCTTCCCCACCACAGAATCAACTGGAAATGGCAGAGGCAACAGAAGAACATGATGGTGAGAGAAAGGGGCAAAATTCATGGGATGAGGGGGACAGCAGGGAGGGCTATGGAACAGTGAAGGCACCCTCAGCAGAGCCTCAGAAGTGGGGGCTGGGGCTATGGAACAGTGAAGGCACCCTCAGCAGAGCCTCAGAAGTAGGGGCTGGGGCTATGGAACAGTGAAGGCACCCTCAGCAGAGCCTCAGAAGTGGGGGCTGGGGCTATGGAACAGTGAAGGCACCCTCAGCAGAGCCTCAGAAGTAGGGGCTGGGGCTATGGAACAGTGAAGGCACCCTCAGCAGAGCCTCAGAAGTGGGGGCTGGGGCTATGGAACAGTGAAGGCACCCTCAGCAGAGCCTCAGAAGTAGGGGCTGAGGCTATGGAAACAGTGGGAGACCCAGCAAGGGCAGAGTGAGGGAGACAATAATACCTACAAGATAGCGAACTTTGGGCTGCCTTCAGCTTCCTTAAGCTGAAACATGAGGACTTTCCTGACATGGTCTCTGCTCAATCTGCAGCCTTGTCCCTCATGAACTCTTCCCTTCTTGCACCTAGTGCGCCACATTGTGATGATTTGGCTTTTGTAATGCTGTGCCCTCTGCTTGGGACACCCTCCCTCACTCTCGCAGGTTTGGTGGTCTTGCCAGGAGTTTCTGCAAGCCTGTTCTCATTCTCTCTCTCTCCTCTCTCTCCTTTCTCTCTCTCTCTCTCTCTGTCTCTGTCTTTGTCTCTGCATAAGTACCGTGACTGCAAGATCCATGGCTGTCTTCTTCCCCATCCTTGTGAGCCTGGTGCCTAGTGCAGGGCCAGGCATACAGTAGGTGCTTAATAAACATTTGTTCAAGGAATAAGTCAAAAAGGAAGGAAAGTAGAAAGGAGGAACAGATGGTGACTAGAAAGGACAACTTACTTTTTATGTACTAGAGGCACTAACTTCTTTAATTTTTCCGACAGCCTGATCAGAGAGAGGTATTATGAACACCATCCACTTTTTATAAACAATGAAAATAAATGCTCAGAGAGATGAACATTTCCAAATTCTTTTATTTATTTTTAATTAATTAATTTATTTATTTATTTGAGACGGAGTCTTGCTCTGTCACCCAGGCTGGAGTGCAGTGGTGCGATCTCCGTTCACTGCAAGCTCCGCCTCCCGGGTTCACGCCATTCTCCTGCCTCAGCCTCCTGAGTAGCTGGGACTGCAGGTGCCCGCCACCACGCCCAGCTAATTTTTTTTTGTATTTTTAGTAGAGATGGGGTTTCACCATGTTAGCCAGGATGGTCTCTATCTGCTGACCTCGTGATCTGCCCGCCTCAGCCTCCCAAAGTGCCAAATTCTTTTAAAATCTATAAAAGAACAATTATTTAGAAAAAAAAGAAACTAAAAATCACTGTGTGAGGATGGCAGTGGTAGAAAAGTCTGGAAGGATCGTCACCAAATGTTAATGGGGTTGTCACAGAGTGGTGCATTGTGCTATTCTGCTTTTGTTCCGTTTGCCTATCTGAATGATTTTTTAAAATGAAAATATATTTACAAAGTGAAGAGCAATGTTTACTGCAGCATTATTCTAATAGCCAAGAAAAGGAAACAAGCTAAGTGTCCATAAACGGTTGAATGGACAAAGAAAATGTGGTACACAATGGGATATTATTCATCCTTAAAAGCAAGGAGATTCTGTCATTTGCAACAGGATGGATGACTCTGGATGACATTATGCTAAGTGAGATAAGCCAGGCATAGACAGACAAAATCTGCATGATCTCACTTATATATGGGTTCTAAAAACATCAAACTCTTAGAAGCAGAGAGCAGAATGGTAGTGATATGGTTTGGTTGTATCCCCACCCAAATCTCATTTTGAATTATAGCTCCCATAATTCCCACATGTTGTGGGAGGGACCAGGTGGGAGATAATTGAATCATGGGAGTGGTTTCTCCCATACTGTTTTCATGGTAGTGAATAAGTCTCACGAGATTTGATGATTTTCTAAGGGGCTCCCCCTGTTGTTGGCTCTCATTTTCTCTCTTGCCTGCTGCCATGATTGTGAGGCCTCCCCAGCCACGTGGAACTGTGAGTCCATTAAACCTCTTTTTCTTTATAAATTACCCAGTCTCGGCTATGTCTTTGTTGGCAGCATGAGAACAGACTAATACAGGTTGTTGTCAGGGATGGGAAGTGAGGGAAATGGGGAGATGTTGATGAAAGGGTAAAAGCTTCAGATGTGTAGGATGAATAAGCTCTGGAGATCTAGTGTATAGCCCGGTGACTATACTTAACTATACTCTATTGTATACTTGAAATTTGCCCAAAGAATAGATCTTAATTGTTCTCTCACACACAAAAAAGGTAACTATATGTTATGGATATGTTAATTAGCTTGATTATCATTTCACAACATATAGGTATATTAAAACTTCCTATTGTATGCCTTAAATATATACAATATTTGTTTGTCAGTTATAACCTCAATAAAGCTGAGGAGAAGAGGGAAGGCCAGCTGTGCTTTCGGTTAGAGCATGGTGGGGGTTCAGCCCTCTCCTATGGAGAGAGTGAAGGGCTGGAACACAGGGTTGGCCAGAGTCATGAGGGGAGGTCAGTTTAATATTCTCCATGGCTTGGACTTGAGGCTAGCTCTGGGAGTCAAATCATTCCTAACTTATTGATTCCAGTGTAAAACTGAAATGGTGTCTAGGCCACCGATGGTGCACTTTGCTTATTTGTTCATTAAGAACTAGAGGTGTTTTGTATGTTTAAAATTAGGCCATCTAATTCATGCTGCCAGGTTTGCTTTTGAACATCCTGAAGAGAAAATTATTCTTTTATACTGCCATCAACAGCCACTGCTTGGTGCTTTGGAGAGAACGCACACACACACACACACTCACTCTCATGCACACTCCTTTGGTCCTTTTATTGCTTTGGGAATGGGAGCATATATCTTTATGCTTTTAGTCTTCTTTATGCTAAATATTTATGCCAAGTTTTAATCAGGAAGCTAAATGTGTGTCTGGAATTGGTTCCTTCTGGTGGGTTCTTGGTCTCACTGCCTTCAAAAATGAAGCCGCAGACCTTCACGGTGAGTGTTACAGCTCTTAAAGATGGTGTGTCTGGAGTTTCTTCCTTCTGGTGGGTTTGTGGTCTCGCTGACTTCAAGAATGAAGCTGCAGACCTCTGCAGCCAGTGTTACAGCTCTTACAGGTGGTTTGGACCCAAAGAGTGAGCAACAGCAAGATTTATTGTGAAAAGCGAAAGAACAAAGCTTCCACAGTGTGGAAGGGGACCCGAATGGGGTGCCACTGCTGGCTGGGGTGGCCAGCTTTTATTCCCTTATTTGGCCCCACCCACTTCCTGCTGATTGGTCCATTTTACAGAGTGCTGATTGGTCCATTTTACAGAGTGCTGACTGGCGCATTTACAATCCTTTAGCTGGACACAGAGCAATGATTGGTGTGTTTTTACAGAGTGCTGACTGGTGCATTTACAATCCTTTAGCTAGACATAGAGCAATGATTGGTGTGTTTTTACAGAGTGCTGATTGATACATTTACAATCCTTTAGCTAGACACAGAGCACTGATTGGTGCATTTACAATCCTCTAGCTAGACAGAAAAGTTCTCCAAGTCCCCACTCGACCCAGGAAGTCCAGTTGGCTTCACCTCTCAAATGTACACAGCTCCTGTCATAGTTCAGGCTGCTGTAACAAATTACTGTAAACTGGGTGGCTTCAACAACAAGTGTTGATTTCTCACAGTTCTGTCTGGAAGCTGGAAGTTGAGTTTAGTGTGCTAGCTGGGTCAGGTTCCTGGTGAAGGCCCTCTTCCTGGTTTATAGAGGAAAGCTCTCTCTGGCCTTTTCTTATTAGGGCACTAACCCCATTCATGAGGGCTCCACCCTTGTGACCTTATCATTTCCCAAAGGCTCCACCTCCTAATGCTATCCCATTGGGATTAGGGCATCAGTATGAATCTGGAGCAGGGAGAGGGGATGCAAATATTCAGTCCATAACAGCTCCTAAAGATTTTCTGCTCAGCTCTAATTTATTTGTTCACTTCTTTGACAATTTTAACTGTGGGATTGAGGAGAAAGTCTATAAAAGTCCCTCTTATTATGCTTGGTCTACCTGTTTTCACTCACTGATGGAGTAGCCAGGGGGCTTCATCTAGTGGTTTCCTCACATATTTTATCCACATGCAATTCTTGACACACCAACTTTGGGGATTTCACTCATCCAAGATTGTTCCCTTCCTGAGGGAGTAGAGGTTTAGGATTCTGTCTGGCTGTTGTCCTCGATTCTGAGTTTGCTTCCTGAGGACAGCAGCTCTTACTTAGGCCTCCAAAAGGTAGCTTGTTCTTTGCATTTAAGAATATCCTCCACTGAAAAGTGCAGAGCAGACATATTAAGGTACTCCAGGGAAACTGAACCAGTAAGATGTATATGTGCATGCATGTGTGTACACACACACACACACATATAGGTGACCCCTGAACAACATGGGTTTGAACTGCACAGGTCCATTTGTACATGGAGTTTTTTTTGATAAAAGTTACATGGAGCATGCCTGCCTCTCCTGCCTCCCCTTCCATCCCCTCTACCTCTTCCACCTCTGCCACCCCTGAGACAGCAAGACCAACCCCTCTTCTTCCTCCTCCTCCTCAGCCTACTCAATGCAAAGATGAGGATGAAGACCTTTATGATGACCCACTTACACTTAATTAGTAGATATATTTCTCTTCGTCATGATTTTTAAGTAAAATTTTATTTTCTGTAGTTTGCTTTATTGTAAGAATACAGTGCCTAATACATATAAAATATGTGTTCATTGACTATTTATGTTATTGGTACATCTTCCAGTCAACAGTAGGTTATTAGTAGTTAAGTTTTGGGGGAGTTAAAAGCTATACTTGGATTTTAGACTGCATGGGGAGTTGGTGCTCCTAACCCCATGATGTTCAAGGGTCAACTGTTATTCACCTAGAGAGACAGATTTATTTTAAGGAATTGGATCACTTGATTATGGAGGCTGACAAGTCCAAGATCTGCAGAGTAGCCTGGCAGGCTGGAGACTCAGGGAAGGGTTACCGTTCAAGTCTGAAAGCAGTCTGCTGGCAGAACTCCCTCCTGCTCAGGGGAGGTCATTCTTTGATCTATTCAGGCCGTCATCTGGTTGGATGAGGCCCACCTACGTTATGAAGAGCAGTCTGCTTTACTTAAGGTCTACCCATTTAAATGTTAATTTCATCCAGAAAATACCCCGCAGAAATATCCAGAAAAATGTTTAACCAAATGTCTGGGTGCCCAGTCAAGTTGACACATAAAATTAACCAACACAGATTTCCCAGAGGCTCGACTGAAGAACATTTATGAGACACAATTTAGTTCAACTCTTAACGTGTTCCCTGTGAGTCTTGAAGGACGTCCAGCACTTGTGTGGGCACAGCAAGGAGCACTGAGGCCTGCAGCTTTCCTCTCTCTCCTCTGCTCCAGGTGTATTCACAGCCCACTAGACACTATTTCCAGAGCCTGCAGAAGCCGAATATCCATGGTGCTCTGAAGTCCTGGTATCTAGGAGCATGTTGCAGCCTGCTGTTGTGCATTTCCCATGGTGAACATGCAGGTTAGGCATGTTGCAGTTCTAGTGCTTTAGCAGTTAAAAAGGGATGCTCAACCTATTAAATGCAAACTGTACCACACATAAATATCTTCCTTCACGTCTCATTTTTCTGTGCCTTAGCATATCCAAATTATGTCCCTTACCACCAGCCCATACCTGAAGATCAACAAGGTCTGTACATGCCACTGTGAGTTCTTTGAGATGAGTGAAAATGTTAATAATGTTAATAATGACAGAATCCGGCCGGGTGCGGTGGCTCATGCCTGTAATCCTAGCATTTTGGGAAGTCGAGGTGGGTAGATCACTTGAGGCCAGGAGTTGGAGACCAGCCTGGCCAACATGGTGAAATCCTGTCTTTACTAAAAATACAAAAATTAGCCGGGTGTGGTGGTGTGTGGCTGTAATCCCAGCTATTTAGGAGGCTGAGGCAGGAGAATCCCTTCAACCCAGGAGGCAGAGGTTGCAGTGAGCCAAGATCATGGCACTGTACTCCAGCCCAGTGACAGTGAGACTCCATCTTAAAATAAAAATAAAAATAAATAATGCCAGGATCCATTCCAAAAACAAGTATAGACTACAGCTCTTAATCTCTGAGTTGATTAAGCTGGATCACACTTTATAAGGTTCAGAATGAGGTCAGAAGAAAGGGCTGGGTAACATCAGCATGTTGTTGACAATAAGTGAATACTGATGGCACAATGAATAGGGCAGAGAAAGGCAGAGAAGAGTCAATTGGCAACGATCAGAGGCGCGTTGTTCCTTTCTGGGAAGAGCCTGCTCTATAGACTTCTATGCAACAGACTTACCATGCAGCTTCACTAGCCCTGCAGAGCCATCCCTTCATGAATTCTAAGGGGGTGCCATATCAAATTATTTATAACCAGATTTAAAAGAAAACCCTCACAGTTGAAATATGAAGTTATTGTGTTCAACTTCTTATTACTCCAAAAAGCTTATACAGTTGAACCATGTCTCTCTCTCCCTTTGAGATAGTACATCCTTCACAATTGTGGAATGATTAATACAGTTGGAGAGAGGGTAAAAATTAATATTTTAATAGAAATATTGTAATATTAGTGTCATGACATCTTCCAAAAAGGTAGCATGTTATATTCTTCTTTTCTCTTTGAATTTTTGCATCTTACATTTTGACAAGTGCTCCTACATTCACTAAAATTTAAACTTTGATGATACATGGAATACATTTTTTATTTGAAGTTTTGGCTTAAAGATGAAATTATGTCTTGGGCGCTCTGCTTTTGGGAGTAGAAGTGGGTACATTCTTTCTGGAGGGCAATTTGGGAACATATAACAAAAGCATTAAAAATAAGCATGTAAGGCCGGTTGTGGTGGCTCACACCTGTAATCCCAGCCCTTGGAGAGGCCGAGCTGAGTGGATTACTTGAGCTCAGGAGTTCGAAACCAGCCCAGGCATCATGGTGAAACCCTGTCTCCACAAAATATACAAAAATTAGCCAGGTGTGGTGGCACATGCCTGTATTCCCAACTACTCAGGAGGCTGAGCTGGGAGGATGGCTTGAGCCTGGCAGGCAGAGGTTGTAGTGAGCCAAGATTGCACCACTGCACTCAAGCTTGAGTGACAGAGCCAGACCCTGTTTTAAAAAAAAAGAAAATATAAATAAGCATGTAGTTGAACAGTCTGCTTCTTGGAATTTAACTCATGGAAAATATCATAGAGGAGGGCAAAGATTAATTGACGAGGATGTTTGTTGCAGAATTATTAATACAAGTGACAAGCTGTAAATAATGCTAAATATTCAAAAACAGGGAAATTAAATCAATTATGACATCATAATTATCTACTATACAATGAGTATTCTATAACCCTTCAAAATCATATGAAAAAATATGCATAACATATTGTTAAATGGAAAAAATAATGCAGAATGTAATATCATAATTTTGTTTCAATTATGTATATGCACAGAATAAAGATTAAATGTATAAATATCAACATGTAAGCTGTGGTTATCTCTGAGTGAAGGAGTAGTGATTAATTACTTTCTGCTTCTGTTTCTTTAACACTTTAAAAACTTTCTATAATGCAGTGAATCATTCCTTCATTATATTATAGAAAGTTTTCAGAGTAAATGATAACTTAGTGCTAGGGAAGACCTGCAGGAGGCTAGCGAGTAAAGGGTTAAACAAAATTCCACACATTTACTTCCTAATTTTGCTGTTGCAAGGAGAATGGGTATACAGCAGGAATGAGACAAAACTGAGTGAAGGAAGAGGAGATCAGCAAATAATACCAATTAGGCGTTCCCTGCCTGGGAAATCCCTGAAGATAGAGGAGAAACTAGTCTCAGAGAACCCCTAGTGAAATCAGTGAGGCTGATTACACCTAAAATAGACTTAAGGAGCACAAACAAAATGATGAAAGGATGCAGATTGGGGAATAGTGACAAAGCAATCAAAATGCCCCTCTAAGGAAACTGTTTCCTGGGCTCTGGCTAGGAGCCAGGATCGGGGAGGCCAAGCACAGAAGGCAGATGTTAAAAGCTGTGAGGCCTGCAGGGCCAGGTGGCAATGTATGGGGACGAGGAGCACTAGCTGTGAGATCCTGGGGAGCCATGAGTGGGCTTAATGCAGGATTTCTGGAGCTTCTTGTCTTTTGGGATGAGCTTGAGATCCAGACTTTTAGGTGGAATCTCCTAATTTTATAGCTTTTGGCATCTCTAAACATTTAAAAAAATTAATAGCCTTTATTCTTTAGAGCAGTTTTAGCTTTACAAAAATTGAGCCGAAAGTAGAAAGAGTTCCCATACAGCCTCTTACTGCCCCACTGTTTCCACTGTTGATACAATCATTAACTTGGGCCCATAGTTTACATGAGGGTTCACTCTTTGTGTTGTGCACCCTGTGGGATTTGACAAATGTATAATGACATGCATTCACTGTTACAGTATCACACAGAATAGTTTCACTGCCCTAAAAACCCGCTGCATTCCACTTATTCATCTTTTCCTCCCTCCCTACAAGCCTCTGGCAACCACTGATCTTTTTACAGTCTCCACAGTTTTGATGTTCCCAGGATATTGTGTAGTTGGAATCATATCGTATGTAGCCCTTTCAGACTTAGCAATATACATTTTATTCTGTCCATGTCATTTTGTGCATGTCACCATAACTTGACTGAGGTATAACTGATGTATAATATACTGCACATATTTCAAGCCTACCATTGGATGACTTTTCACCTAAGAATTCACCAGTGAAACCATCATCACACTCAAGGTAATGAATGTTTATCTGTCATAGTCCTCATATGCCTTGGGAATTCCTTTCTCACAGCCATACCTACCACTCTGTCCTCTGGCCGACACTCATCTGCTTTCTGTCACTTAAGATTAGTTTGCATTTTCTAGAATTTTATATAAATGATTATATGTACTATTTTTGTCAGGTTTTTTTTCACTCAGCATAAGTCGTGGGGGGCAGGCATTTCCCTTGGATCCTGTAGAAGTCTAAATTTCGAGAAGCTGGCAAGTCTTAGGATGATGGCTAATAATGTGGAATTAGAGATGTGCCCTAATATCAAAAACCATCTTATAGAGTATATTAGATCTGAAAATAGCCCACAGAGTTCTTTTCTTCGGGGTCATGTTGCAAAAGAGTCTCTCTTGTCTTGAGCACAGATGTGAAGCATTTTTCACCATTGGATACAATGAACGTTCCAAGCACAATGGATGCCTTGGGTGCTGCCATTCTCTATGACTGCCATGTTTTGATTGAGCAAAGATTTCAGACTTCCTTCCTCTGTACTTTGACAACTGCAAATTTGGAAAAAGCATTTTCAATATGTACGTCGATCAGGGGTCAATATAGACTATGAAAATATATATACTATAATTCCAATTAGGTTTTAAAAAGCTATTGAAGGAATGAATATTTTCATCTGGAATGATAAACACCCAAAGATTAATTAGAATAATTTCTTGATGGTGAGAACATGAGTGATTTACATTTTCTTTTCTGTACATCTTTGTGTTCTTCAGTTTTTCTAAAATCAATGTTTCTTATAAATAATGTGAAAAAAATTATATTAAACCTCAAATTTGGGGGTTTGATTTGGAAGACATTAGCAAGTAATTTGGAATAAGTTCCCATCCCCAACTAACTTGGATCCTGTAGTCCAAGTAATAGTCATGGTCTATCATTCAGTTACTTGTGCTAGGCACTGTGTTAGATATTAGGTATAAATATTAACAGAAGGCAGGGAGTGAAGCCCCCAGGCATAGCCAGTCATGTTGCCCTGGAACACAAAGAGGTGTCCAATCTCCTGCAGGAAGAGGAGCTGCTGCCATTCTGGGAACCTCAAGCTTAGTTCAGAGGAAACATCTATGAGGAGAAGACCCAACCACCTTCAACTTAGAAGAAGCAAAAGAGTTCTGTGGACCCCTCTGTAGAGAGGGAGGGGCATGTGATTCAAGAGGCCACCTGGATATTTCAGTTGAAGTTTATCTTTAAGGCTCGCTGCTTCTCTGCTGTCATTTATAAGTTCATTCAATAAATACTGAGCACTTTCTATGTATCTGCCTTTAACTGTTGAGTTGGGAGAACGATGAGCTAAGAGTGAGTTTTACAAATGCGATGCTTGAGACAAAGGTGAGGGGAGAAAAACGTGTCCATAACAGGTAAGAGAGATCTCATGTTTTACTCACCCCTGGTTGTCCAGTGAGAGAAAAGAGCACTGCACTATGAATCAGGATGCTGAGGCTCCATGGTCATGAATGAGTTATTCTAAACTCTGAGTGGGCTTTGATTTTCTCACTTGAGAGTATTGGTCTAAATGATCTTTAACTTCTCATCCAGATCTAAAATTTATGAGGTAATATGGTTCACAGAGACCATGCATAGGACTAACTGCAGAATTCTGAGAGGAGATCCAGTACTGATTGACAAATGCTAACCTTTGCAGAAGTAGACTCCCCTACACCCAATTTGGCACTTCCGTGAGATTAAGCAGAATTCTTCATGTCACCAGAAAGCAGCTAAGTCTTATGATGGTGACCCACTTCTCTTCAGTTTCTCTTCCATACAGCATGACCCATACCAACTCTCCTTCTAATCCCAAAAGTTTGAGGATGTGTTCAGGATGACTTGGTTGTAAAAAGAGAATGAGTATTTGAGTTTTGATGCCCAGTTTCACCGTTTATTATCTGTTATCTGTTGAATTGTGTCCTTCTCAAATTTATATGCTGAAGCCCAAACCCTGAGTAACCCAGAATGTGACCTTATTTAGGAGTCAGGTCATTGCAGGTAATAATTAATTAAGATGAGGTCATACTGGAGTAGGATGGGCCCCTAATCTAATATATTGTTGTCTTCATAAAAGGGGAAATTCAGGCCCAGAGCCTTGAACACAAGAAGAACATCATATTAAGATTGGAGTTCTATATTACAAGCCAAGAAACTACCAGAAGCTGAAAGACAGGCCTGGAAAAGATCCGCCCCTATCACTTCAAAGGGAGCATGGCTCTGCTGACACCTTGATCTTAGACTTTTAGCCCCAGGACCGTGAGATGATAAATTTTTATTGTTTGAGGCACTCAGTTTGTGGAAGCTTTACTCTGAACTCTTTACTCTCTATGGTTCCCAGTCCCTAAAAGCGCCCTGACTTTTCTTGTTCACTGACATCTTTGTATTCTTTCCGGTCTTCGGTGAGGACTAAATGTTTCCACAAGAAGGTTGCTCACCCCTCCATTATTACATACTCTTCTGCTGAGCTCCAACCTGGCCTTTGAATCATTGGTGCTCAAGGTGAAATCCATTTCATGGCATAAATAAATAGGTAACTTTCCTGAATTCAATAGATCTTGTGATTACAAAAATATTACATATTATAAACTCATAATTGAAGGTAAACTGAAACCTCTATGAAATTATCTTGTTTTCTACTACTTTTCAGTGTGTCTTCCTTCTTATACTAGAATACTTTTTAGAAATGAAAAATTCATTACAACAAAATTTACATTTACTAGGCAGCTGTCTGCTATGATTTGTAAGTACATATATCTTTTCTATTATGAAAGTTTGGAGGTTTTTTTAGCTTTGTGTATGTGTGTGTGTGCATGCACACGTGGTCCATGAAAAGTAACTGAATGAGTGCAGGTGAGATTCAATGAGAAGAACCATTTTTAAAGCAAATGTCAGACAGACACAGACACCATGGTTAGTTGTTTTTTTTTTTTTTTTTTTTTTTTTTTGAGACCGAGTCTTGCTCTGTCGCCCAGACTAGAGTGCAGTGGCACAATCTCGGCTCACTGCAACCTCTACCTGCCAGATTTAAGCAGTTCTCCTGCCTCAGCCTCATGAGTAGCTGGGACTATGGGCATGCACCACCATGCCCAGCTAATTTTTGTATTTTTAGTAGAGACAGGATTATACAATATTGGTCAGTCTGGTCTAGAACTCCTGACCTCAGGTGATCCACTCACCTCAGCCTCCCAAAGTGCTGGGATTACAGGCATGAGCCACTGCGCCCAGCTTTGGTTAGTTGGTTTTTGACAGCAATGATAAAGTAATGAACTTGGTGTAAAACCACCAGATTCAGGTCAAGAAATTTTTGAAAAAGATTTTTCCTTATTTTTAATGATAGCATTTATTTTTGTCAGCTCTTGAAATTAGTAAGAGGGCTCCTATCTGGTTTATTCATTCTCTGTGGCTTCTTTAAACCTTGCCTCCACCTATATTTGTCATAATTAGTGAGATTCCTAAGTTCCAAGGCTAACAGAATAGCATAGCTGTAAACATAGCGTATCATCATTTGACTAAGCAGAATCTAAGAAGAAAACAACTTCATTTCTGGGTAGTAATATTGCATTATGGACAAGAATATCTTCTATGTGTGAGTTATAAATACTTATTTAGTTTCCAGAAAAAAATTATTAGAAGTACTTATAATTAGATGCTTAGACATGTGTATATGTGTGTGTGTGTGTGTGTGTGTATTAATCATTCCTAGAATCAAAATTTTCTCAGTGGAGAGGATTTTTCAGTACTCTGGCAAGATCTTTCACCCCTTCCTGGCTGTCCATTGAAATAGAGGTCATATGGGCTACTGATTATGAAGGTAGTAATTTTTCAAACAAGTAATAATATAATGGGTCAGACCAGTGGTTTGCCAGTGTAGAAATTTGAGGCATTGTTTAATGGAAGTAATAAAAATGTGCTAAGTACCTACTGTGTGCCAGATTCTGCTAGGCAATTTATATCCAATGCCATATCTAATCCTTAAAATTATGCTTTATTAAGTAGATATCTTCATCTTGGGTTTACAGATGAGGAATCTGAGGCTGAGAGAGAATAACCACTTGTCCAGGGTCATAGAACTGGTAAGTTTCTTGCCTCTCCATATAAACCTCTACTGTTTGTCCTTATTCACAAAGTAACTTGCTGGGATTTTGACTGGGTTATACTCTTTTTAATACTTCCAGGAAACTCCTCCTTTATGTAATGTCATCCTCACAAGTCCTCATCATTCCAAATTTTTTTAACTTGAATTTTTTTATTAACGAAATTTTTAAACTAAGTACTATACATGCATGGTTCAAAATTCAAAATGTACAAAAATATAGAATGAAAATAATTGTTCTTTCTGCTCCTGTTCCTCACCCCATTAGGCCCATTCCCACAGACAGCACTCAACCAGTTTCTTGTGTTTATTCTACACATTGACACACACAGATGGGCAGATAGACACAGACAAGTCACAGACACAGACATACTCCCTGCCCCCACTCCCTCACATGTACATGTTAGCATAAACATAGTGAGTTCATAGCTATATACCTTATGTTTTTCTCTTGACTATATATATATGTGTGTTTGTGTGTGTATGTGTGTGTATGTATGTGTACATATGTGTGTGTATATGTATGTATATATATGGTGTGTGTATGTATGTGTATATGTGTGTGTATATGTATGTATATATATGGCGTGTGTGTGTGTGTGTGTGTGTGTGTGTGTGTGTGTGTGTGTGTGTATATATTAGACAAGAAGGTCTGGCCGTATCACCCAGGCTGGAGTCCAGTGATGCGATCTCAGCTCATTGCAACCTCTGCCTCTTGGGCTCAAGCTATTCTCCCATCTCAGCTTCCCTGAGTAGCTGAGACTACAGGCATGCACCACCACGCCTGGCTAATTTTTGTATTTTTTGTAGAAATAGGTTACGCCATGTTGCCGAGGCTGGTCTCAAACTCCTGAGCTCAAGTGATCCTCCTGCTTCAGCCTCCCAAAGTGCCGAGATTACAGGTGTGAGCCACCGTGCCTGGCAGACAACATATTTTGGAAATCCTTCTAGACCCTGAACAGTCTAAATTGTACATCTATAAACCCTGGTAGATCCATTAGTACTAAAGTTGTCTAAAAATATATATATTTTTTCAGCCCATACAACCTCTTACAAATGTATAGGTGGTATTTTCTGGATTTGATCAGAATTGAGCAGGAAGAGAGTGATTCCCTCCCATAGAACTGTATTTTGAAGAAGGAGTAGCTCTATTGCTTACCCAAATCAGTCATTAAATTATAAGGGTACACATAAAAATCCAAATTGAATACTCATGTACCAGAATGAAGCATAAAAAACAATGATAAAATAAGAATTAGAGGGCACAGTGTGCATAGCAAATAACTAAGATTAATATAAAGATAAATGATGCAAAATCTGAAATTAAAAAGTGTTTGGTGTATAAACACAGACTTAAGGATGAACTATAAAAAATGCATTCAAGATGAAAAAAATGCACTCAACTGAAATAACAGACCACACGTCCCATTTCTAACCCTTAATTCCTCTGAAGAACAATTCATACCACCAAGAAGAAAAAAGGCTCTTAGATGTAGAAAGCAAAACTCTTATCAGGACAGATGTCCAGCATTTAGGAAACAACTTGGTCACAGGGAAAAAAATAATCTCTTTTCCCCATGATGAGGCAGCAAAGAATAGATCAAAAACCATCAGACAGGGAAGGTGAGCAGGGGGCTAAAAAACGGGGAGGATTTTCACATTCAGAGGCACAGGAGTAAAGAGCAGGCAACTCGTTGGCAAGCAGGAGAAAGATGCATATGTTTTCTCTGTATTAATCTTAGCCATGGCTCTAACACATCTACCTTTCTCTTCAATTGCTTCCCAGGCTTTGAGCCATTTCTTCCTCCTTTGAACACATAGACTGGCACAGGAAGGCAT
Source organism: Homo sapiens (assembly GCF_000001405.40). Taxonomy (NCBI): domain Eukaryota; kingdom Metazoa; phylum Chordata; class Mammalia; order Primates; family Hominidae; genus Homo; species Homo sapiens. The sequence goes on along the minus strand of NC_000013.11, from coordinate 94,487,517 downwards.
AGGCTGGCATCCTAGCTCCAAAGCTATGCATGTCTGCCCTGCATCATCCACTTACAAATTCTCTAAGGTATCTAATTCAGTATGTCATGAACATACATTGAGTCCTTCTTATGTGCAAGTTGGTGCTAGGTGCCGGCATGCAAAATGAAAGTATGCAGAACATCCCTTTTCACTTAGTCTTGCCTCAGCTGTAAAAAGAGAGAGTAAAATGAATTGCTTTCTAATAAGGCACTTTTCTACTCTCAGACTATTAAGCTGTATGATACACAGCTGCCTCTCTTTACTGGCTTTCAGAACATTCCTTATAGTAGTCCTTGATTCGATGGCTTCCATTGGTAACCAATGGTCTCAATACACCCATGAGATATCCCCTCTTGGATTCTGCTATTCAGTTTCTAACAAAGACTTTCTCTTTTGCAAATAATGCAATGTTTAATTACAGTCATGCTTATGATTTGAGATCTTCTTAGCTTATGTCCTTAGGTCTGTATTCACTTATACCAAATTTTTAGGGATTCTTCTTGAACTCTTCTCTAAGCCCTGTTTTGTAAACAACAACTTGGCTGTGTGTTTGTTACCTTTGCACTTACACAGAAATGTGTGTGTGTGTGTTTGTCTTATTTCTCAAAGGATTTGAGACAAGCTAGGGAAATACATAAATTTGCAAAAGGATAAAATAAGAATCCCAGAACCCAGGAACATAAGGGAAGGAGAATATTAAAGTAGATACTGCGTGAATCAGTTGCTTGATGTGGGGGCTGCAAATTTGGCTCCAAGCTTCATAACTGGCCAAGGTAAAGAAAGAAACACCATCCTAAGATTCACATGGTCCAACAGTCCTGGATAAGCTGCTTTCTATGGGGAAGTACAGCTTTCCTGGATACTGAAGCCTGCAAGAAATCTCTCCCTGGATCCCCATAAAATGACATTGGGAAATGTGTTTGATGATATTAAAAATACCTTACAAGTTTCACAGGATGTTTTTCCAAATCATGCCCTAATGCAGGCTGATGGCTTAATACTAAAGGGTAATTTAGTTAATGCAAGGCTAGGAGGAGCCCAACCCTTATTCTCAACTTCAATCAATCTCCTCCATCAGAATGAGGATTTCTTAATTCTATTCTGACGTGCTTAGGGCTTCCATCTAGGGTAGCAATATTAAATCAATTCACTTAAATTAGAAATACTAAAATTTCAAGCAGCAGTTTCTTGGAATTTAAATGAGATAACAAAAGGTAAGGAAAGCAAGCTTAGCATAGTACCTGGCATGGAGTAGGAGATAAGAGATTGTAAGTTTCCATCAGTCCCTTTGTATGAGGCACTGTGCTGACTTCCCCAGAGAAAATGATGAGTTTGACAACTCGACATGGTGAAAAGACCACAACTTTGGAGTCAGGAAAACACAGCTCTGTCACAGAGCTTGTTACCCGAGGTCTGGCAGCCTCTGTTTTCTCTTCTGTAAAATGAGGATAATAACCAGTGAATAAATAACTAGAAACATTACATACTCACCCTTAGCTTAGTGCCTGGAGCATAGTAGGGACTTAATACATTAAGCTGCTTTCTTACTTTTAAAATCATGCAATCGAGCAACGCGTAGGAACTAAAAAAGACCACAAACCCAATGACATTGAGCACTTCACAACGTATAGATCACCTGCAGCCTTATCCTTCCAAATCCAAAGGAAATCTCTTTATCTTTTTGAAAATCAGTCACTCCCTAGCAATTCTCTTGGCTAAATAATCAATACTTTTAGCCCTTTCTCACCTATCAAGCATTAGTATTATTACTTCCTGTCCCATTTTGTTTTCTCTGCTCTCCTTCAAGATATGGGACTTCAAACTGGGTGTTTCCGTGAGAGAAAGAGTGACCTGCCTTTATTAGGAATGATTGTGAATTTGGGGAGGATACTATAGATGATGGTTCATTTACTCAACAGTTATTTTGAAAGTGCTTCCTATGTGCCAGACACTGTGTTTGTGCAAGGTTGATGGGATTGCAGCTTCGTTTAAGCCTTTTCCTTTAAGTATTTAAGGCTTTTCTTTTAAGACCAGGTGAGTACAGGAAAGCTCAGGGGCTCTGCCATTCTAGGAGAAAGGCAGTGAACTATACAGGTGCCTCCATTGTGGACAAGCAGACTGGTGGTTAATGGCCATGACATCCTTTGGAAACACTGATGATGCTCGGAGTCTCTAAGTTCTCTCACAGAGCCCTCCAAGGTTCTACCTGTGCTAAAGTCTCAAGGGCAGGGTCATGAATCCATTTGAGAAGCTAACAAAATCTATGAATCTTCTTAACAGAAAAAGACCCATGCTACATTTTCTTCACAATTTCAGGATGTTCAAAGATCCCCCTGAAGTTCCTCTTGTGGCCACCCCCCCACCGCCCCCCAGCAGAGTGCCAGAGTGAGACGCTTTTGTTTGAGTGACGTGTCTCAAGTCCTGCCATGGACCTTGACATTCGGTCATTTTCATCAATGAATTGGGTTACGAAGACAATAAAGACGGGTCAACCAAATGTGTAGTTAGGACAAAGGCAGGAATGAGAGAAATCCCATTGCTTATCACACCCATTTAATATGACAACATTGGACAGAGGCAAAATAAACCCTTTCATTTACACCCTGTTAGGAGCTGAACTGCATCCTCCCCAAAATTCCTACATTCAATTCCCAACTTGCAGCACCCAAGAATATAACTGTATTTGGCAATAGGGCCTTTACAGAGGAGATTAAGTTAAAAATGAAGTCGTCAGGATGGGCCTCAATCTGACCAGTGTTCGTATAAAAAAAGGAAATTTAGACACATGAGAAGGCACCAGAAGTGCATGTGCAGAGAGGAAAGACCATGGCATGGGGCAGCAATAGGGAAGCTCTCTGCAAGCCGAGGACAGAGGCCTTGACAGACGAATCCAACCCTGCCCATGCCTTGCTCATGAACTTTCAGCCTCTGGAACTGTGGGAAAGTACATTTCTGTTGTTTAAGCCATCTACTCTATGGCATTTTGTTATGGAAGCCAAAGCAAACTAATACAGACCTCAAAAGGCAATTCCATACGAATAGAAGAGCAGATGGGGATATGAGAGGCATCTGACTTTAAGGCAGCCTTGTGAAAGCTATATGAAAATGACATAAGGCTTTAAGTTGATTTCAAATGCAGTAAAAATAAAATACTTCTTGACTCTCCCTAAAGGGGCCATCCTCACAGAACCCCTGTCTTTGAGAGCAGCTGTCTTGCCCGCGGACTTGCTTTTTGCCAATGGGGTGGGAGCAGACGTGAGTAAGGTGGACCTCTTCCAAGTAGTGGCCCATCACTGACCTCTACTTTGACGCAAAATTAGCAGAATGAAAAGAATGAAAAGATGCTGTTTCCCCCTGGGTCCTGGAGTGAACACAGTGTACAGCACAGTCACAGCTGACATGTGGTGGATGTGCAGCTGCATAAGAAATAAACATTTCTTTTATAAGCCAAATAACATTTTGAGGTCTTAACTGCAGCGTGAGTTAGCCTGAGTGGATGTAGACAAAATTGATGAGGTGATGTGACTGTCTAGCAAAGCTTACAAGGTAATTCTTTTTCGGTTATCTTTGCTTAGATCGTAGCAGGAACATTGAATTAAGTTATGGGAAACCTGCATTCAGAGGTCAAATCGTGAACTGTGTTGTCCGTAAAAAAGACCATGCTGATGGGGAGATTTAAAACTAAGTCATATGGGCCGGGCACGGTGGCTCACACCTGTAAACTCCCAGCACTTTGGGAGGCCGAGGTGGGAGGATCACCTGAGGTCAGGAGTTTGAGACCGGCCTGGCCAACATGGTGAAACTTCGTCTCTACTGAAAATACAAAAATTAGCCAGATGTGGTGGTGGGTGCCTGTAGTCCCAGGTACTCGAGAGGCAGAGGTAGGAGAATTGCTTAAACTGGGAGGTGGAGATTGCAGTGAGCCAAGATTGCACCACTGCACTCCAGCCTGGGTTACACAGTGAGACTCTGTCTCAAAAACAAAAAACAAACTAAGTCATATGAAAGAAAATGAAAAGGAATGGAGAATATTTAGTCTGGAAAAAAAAAAAAGGGAGAAACGCCTGTGGGAAATGGACTGTACCCGGTCTATGGAGCCTGACTGGGTTACCAAAGGCTTTTGATGAAAGAATTGGGGAAGGAAATTTTTATTTAACATTTATGTTTAAATTTACATTTAAATTATACTTACTGTTAAAAACTTTTTTTTGTTTATTTATTTGAGACAGGGTCTCACTCCTTTCTGCAGGCTGGAGTGCAGTGGTGCAATCACGGCTCACTTGTAGCCTCAACCTCCTGGACTCAAGAAATCCTCCTGCCTCAGCCTCCCTACTAGATGGGACTACAGGTGCATGTCACCATGCCCAGCTAATTTTTGTATATTTAGTAGAGATGGGGTTTCACCATGTTGCCCAGGCTGATCTCAGACTCCTGGGCTCACGTGATCTGCCTGCCTTGGCCTCCCAAAATGTTGGGATTACAAGGCATGAGCCACTGTGCCAGGCCAAAAACTTATTGAAAAGGAAGAATTTCCTCACCCTTAGAACTGTTCCTGAAATGTTGTGAGAACCTCCTCACTAGTGATATTTTGTTGGAAATACTGAGGGGGGAGTTCATGGGTTGTAGTGATGTTGGGTTGGTGGTTTTCAAACATTTGCAGCAGTTTAATAAAACCTAATATGAAACCCCCAATATAATAGTGGTCATTATAAGCCTAAGTGTTTTATATATTCAAAATAAAAGCATTTAATTTGTATAAAGCCAGTCACTATAATAATGAGGCCCTTTTGATGAACATACAGTTTTGAATTGGGAATATTTATTCATCAACTATTTATCAAGTAGTCTCTATTTGCCAAATACTGTTGCACATGTTGGAAAAACACAGCAGAGTTAAGGAGCTTATAGTCCAGTAGATGAGACAGTCTTTCAGCCACCTAACCAATAAGTCAGATAACTTTAGATGGTGATAAGTGCTATGAAGAAAATAAAATAAGGTAATGTGGTAGAGAGAAGGTGGCTGGCTGTAGACGTGTTAAAATATCATGGAAGGCCTCTCTGAGAAGCTGAGGGCTCTGAGCAAGATTATTCCAGACAGAGGGAATGGCAAGACAAAGGCCAAGGTGGAAATGAATGGGGGCATGTTTGAATAATAGTGATTGCAATAGTCTGCCATCCAGAAGAAGAGATTGAGAGGCAGGCGAGGGAAAAATCATGGAGGATCTTTTAAGCTAGTTCTCAAACTATCCATGGTAAATGATTAAAAAAGAAAAATGTTCCAGCCACAGACTAACACGTGATCCAACTGCACATGACTCATTGCATTCAGCCTGTGCTCCGTGATCATCACCATGCACGTTTGGCAACCTCACAGCCGGACTCTCCCCTCTTGAATGAAACTACTGATCGTATGCCTGAATGTTATCCCAATGTCAAATTGCTATGAAAATTTCCCAGTGTTGACTCTCAATTTCTATTCTTATTGTTCTTAACTTGATGTAAACCAGGAACACACCATTCACGGATCTGTTGGCCACACTTTGAGTAGCACATGCAAAGCACCTCGGATTTTACTTGAAGTGCATTGGAAAGCACACATGGGGAGGTGGGAAAGAGAAGACTCAAAGATCACTTGTAGGGTTGTGGTGATGCTGCTCTTTGTGGAGATGGAGAAGACCAATGGAGAACACATTTGGGAGGAGAGAGCAAAAGTTCTCAACTTGGGTGAGAAATATCTAAACCTTCAAGTAGAGAGGTCCAGTAGGAAGTTAGATAATATGAGTCTGGGGCTCACAACTGAGGTCAAAGTCAGAGTTGTAATTTTGGAAAGTCATGATAGCCTGCATTTAAGGCCTCAGACTAGCTGAGTTATCTAGCAAGTGTGGAAATGAAAGAAAAGAGATCCTAGGACTTCGACCTGGGGCATTCTGACATAAGAATTATTGACTCCATCAGTTTTAACATCCAAGAAATTTTATCTTAACATTTATGGAGCCCCAAGGCTTCACAAAAACCTGGAATAAAATTCCCAAGTGTCACAATGCTGGCATGAAGTGGCAGTCAATAAATATACATGGAATGAATGAATGAGCTCCAAAATAAAGGTTTCAAAAACCCCTGAGATTTTGCGATTTTAGAACCCCAAGTTTCTTCCCACCCATGATGTGTTAGGTTGAATGGTGACTTCCCCAAAAGATATGTCCATGTCTCAGAACCTGTGAATGTGACTTTGTCTGGAAAAAAGAGTCTTCTTTGCAGATGTAATTGAGTGAAGAATCTTGAGATGAGATCATCCTGGATTATCTGAGTGGGCTCTACATCCAATAAGTGTCCTTATAAGAAACAGACATGGAGGAAAAACACAGACAGATGGGGAGAAGGCCATGGGGCTGTGGCAGACATTGGAGCTGCGGTTTCAAGCCAAGGATTGACAGCAGCTGCCAGAAGCTTGAAAAGGCAAGGAGGATTCTAGCCTAGAGTCTCCAGGGAGAGTGCAGCCGCCTGGCTGACACACGCCAGTCCTGCCAACACCTTCATTTTAGACTTCTGGCCTTCAGAACAGTGAGAAAATAGATTTCTGTTGTTTTCAGTCATCCAGTTTGTGGTCATTTGTTACAGAAGCCTCAGGAAACTATTGCACATGGTCTCTTTTAGCTGATGCTGATGCAATATTTCCTTTGGAGCTCTGCTGTATTCTGATTCAGTGATTCTCAACTCTGGCTGAGCATTAGAATTGCCTAGATGTTTTCTAACAAAGGTTGGTTGGTGTCTGGAACATCCTCAGAGATTCTGATTCAGTAGGGCTGTGGTACAGGCTGATATTGGTGTAGAGTCAGACATAAGAATTGCCATTTAATTAGTCACAACAACTTAACATCAAGGGGTGGCACAGAGGTACAGGGGGTGGGAATACCTATATAATTGTTTCACCTTAGGAATTTGCTTTGAAACATAACAATATGTGTCTTTACATTCAAGTATATTCTTAGAAACTAGCTGAAGCCGTTTCGCATCCTTGTGGCACTAAGTCCTGTTTCCACTGTGAAACAGTTACCAAGACAGTCCTGTTTCCACTGTGAAAAAATAAATGGATGTTCTGACAGGTGGCCACCATTGCTGACCTGACCATTCTCCAGAAGCACCAGGAGGCATTGCTTTCTAGACTGAAGCTCAGTCATGCTTCACTTTAGTCTAATCAAAAAGATTTGCTTGCAAGCCTTCATTCCAAATGGTTCCAGTGCCTTCCATACAATCAGATAATGACAATTGTGAGTTTCTGGTGGCATGCTACTTCATGTAATTAAAAAAAAATTGCTGCGTAGATGTGCTGAATAGGAGAAGAGTAAGTTATTATTTGGAGGGAAGAGGATTCCCAATTGTGGAACAAAGCAATTCCTTGTACCCTGGTTCTACATAAATGTTTCTTTATTTTTGAAGTTGCATGACCCCCTGTTGTGGTCTTTTTTGCACACATGTCAGAAAGCAGCCATGAGTGCATTGTAGTTGGCAATGTGAGCTTCTGTGTAAAGGGTCTTTGACGAAGAGCTCACTGCATCTACTGACTCCCCAGGATGTCTGAGGTCACAAGTTTGGCTGGAGCACATGAGCCCAGATAAAGAAGATGGTTTTGCCCTCCTGAAATAAAGCCAGAAGTGATCTCCTTTATTGTGCACTTTGGGTCATGTGCTAATGATGAGGGTTTCTGTAATACTAATCCCCCTAATGAAGGCTTCTCCCAGCCCTTACACAAGCCCCCAAGGCCCCGTGGCTTGGCAAGCCAGAGAGAATAAAAGCAGCACGGTGTTTGGCTTTTGAACTGAGTTCAAGGCAATTAAAGTCAAGAGCTAAGGAGGGAGGGAGAGGGTTTAGAAATACCAGCATAATAAGTAGTATGACTGGGTGCTCTGTAAATTAACTCAATTAGACAAAGCCTGACTTAACGGGGGAAGATGGTGAGAAGCGCTACCCTCATTAAATTTGGTTGTTAGAGGCGCTTCTAAGGAAATTAAGTCTGTTAGTTGTTTGAATCACATAAAATTGTGTGTGCACGTTCATGTACACATGTGCACACATGTAACCTCTGTGATTCTTGTGGGTATTTTTTTAAGAAGAAAGGAATAGAAAGCAAAGAAAAATAAAAAATACTGAAAAGAAAAGACTGAAAGAGTAGAAGATAAGGAGAAAAGTACGACAGAGACAAGGAAAGTAAGAGAGAGAGAGAGCTCTCCCAATTATAAAGCCATGAGCCCCCTTTGGTGGGGGTTTCTGCTCAGTTGCTTGGGCTGCAAAATCCTGCCAGGAGCCCAGGGTCAGTTCCCCCGAGTCTGCATGACGGTGGACAGCCTAGTGAACAAGGAGTGCTGCCCACGCCTGGGTGCAGAGTCGGCCAATGTCTGTGGCTCTCAGCAAGGCCGGGGGCAGTGCACAGAGGTGCGAGCCGACACAAGGCCCTGGAGTGGTCCCTACATCCTACGAAACCAGGATGACCGTGAGCTGTGGCCAAGAAAATTCTTCCACCGGACCTGCAAGTGCACAGGTGAGGCCCATGCTCCAAGCTTGGTGGGGAGGGCCAGAGCTGGGGAAAGAGCTCCTTCTAAGGAAGAGATGAGACTCTTGACAGAGACTCTTAGATTAGGCTTTGAAAGGCAAACCAATGATGGTTTTGGTCGGAAGCATATTCAATAAGGCTGATGTGCTGGTTTATTCTTCACACCCTCTAGTACATCTAGTTATGAAGACTAAATAAATATGGCGTGGGCCAAGCCTGCTTATATGAATGCATGCCAACATACTATTGGCTTGTTTGTTGGAAGGGGAATTTAAGAGCTTAAAAGCGTCAGCTTTGAAACTCGGAGCAAGTCCTTTCAAGATGGATTCGGTGCCCTCTCCTGAAATGGGTTTGCACTTGTTGAAAAGGGATGGGTGAAGCTTGGCATTCGGAAGACAGGAGTCAAAGGCAGGTGTTCTGGTCTCAGCATTTCTCATGATTTGAACAGATCTCTCTCTCTCTCTTTTTTTTGGAGATGGAGTCTCGCTTTGTCACCGTGGCTGGAGTGCAATGGTGCTATCTCAGCTCACTGCAACCTCCATCTCCCGGGTTCAAGTGATTCTCCTGCCTCAGCCTCCCAAGTAGCTGGGATTACAGGCACCCGCCATCATGCCTGGCTAATTTTTGTATTTCGAGACGGGGTTTCACCATGTTGGCCAAGCTGGTCCCGAACTCCTGACCTCAGCAGGGTGCATGTTTCTCATTAAAGCTTATGACCAGGTTGTAACTTTGACAAAATTGTCGAGACGTGGCAAGACAGAGCTTTCTCGAGGAGCTGGGGGTGGGGGGGGCGGGCGGGGGGTTGTTATTAGATAACAATGGCTTTTTGTCACTCTTCTCTGGACTTGAACCGGACATCACAAAATTTGCTCAGTGTCCTTCCTTTAGACTCTGGTCTCTCTCATTACCTGTTGCTTTGACATCTCTGTGCATTTCTCATTCCTCTAGCTCTTTGGGGCTTTTTCAAATCCTCTTCAATCTTTCCCACCTCCAGTTTCCAGCAGCCATATGCCCTTCGGGAATAAACACTCAAAGCCTGGCAGGGGGCCACTGAAATACAAAAAACACAAGTGGCAACCTCAGGAAAGCCCTTGGACACTGTTGTAGGCTGGGTGGTTGCAGAAGACTTTTTCCTTTTAAAAATACTTTTTACTTCTCTTCTCATAGGATGCTGGAACATAGGAGGATATAGGTCATTGAGCTTCATAAGGGGTTGAATAGGTATTACTAAGGGAACATACAAAGGCCTGTGATGTTGGTGTAGGAATGACATTCGATTTTTTTTTTTAATTTTAACTTTCAACTTTATTTTAGATCCTGGGGATACAAGTGCAGGTTTGTGACATAGATATATTGCACAGTGCTAGGGTTTGAGATATGATTGATCCTGTCACCCAGGTAGTGTGCGAAGCACCCAGTGGGTAGTTTTTCAACCTTTGACCCCTCCCTCCCTCCCCTCTCTAGCAGTCCCCAGTGCCTATTGTTGCCATCTTTATGTCCATGAGTGCCCAGACATTAGATTTCTTTTTTCACATTAAGAGTTCTGGCTTTAGGCCTGGTGCAGTGGCTCACGCCTGTAATCCCAGCACTTTGGAAGGCTGAAGTGGGTGGGTCACTTTGAGGTCAGGAGTTTGAGACCAGCCTGGCCAACATGGTGAAACCTTGTCTCTACTAAAAATACAAAAATTATCTGGGTGTGGTGGCAGGCACCTGTAATCCCAGCTACTCTGGGGGCTGAGACAGGAGAATCTCTTGAACCCAGGAGGCAGAGGTTGCAGTGAGCAGAAATCACACCACTGCACTCCAGCCTGGGTGACAGAGTGAGATCTGTCTCAAAAAAATAAATAAATAAATAAATAGTTCTGGCTTTATAATCATTTTGTAGTAATATTTTTAATTCTGTCATTCAGAAGAATATCTAGGTCCTGGTTTTGCCCTGGGTATTAATCATGACAAAAATTTCAATAACATATTGGATATATATTATCCAGCTTTTCTAAGTTTTTTAAGCATTTGCTTCTATAGACCTTCTCTCAAAATTATCATGGTGTTTTAGACGAATGAGGAGCAGGTTGCTGGTGTGGTTAGCGTGATTGAAAACCACACTAACACAGTAACTTCTTTGTTCAAAACCCCAAAATACTTCTAGAACAATTATTTCTATGTCAATCAATGAAAAAGTGCTGGCCAAGCGCAGTGGCTCACGCCTTTGGGAGCCAAGCACTTTGGGAGGCCAAGACGGGTCAGGAGTTCAACACCAGCCTAGCCAACATGGTGAAACCCTGTCTCTACTAAAAATACAAAAATTAGCGAGGTGTGGTGATGGGCACCTGTAATCCCAGCTACTTGGGAGGCTGAGACAGGAGAATCACTTGAACCCAGGAGGTGGAGGTTGCAGTGAGCTGAAATCGCGCCACTGCACGCAGCCTGGGCAACAATAGAGTGAGACTGTGTCTCAGAAAAAAAAAAAAAAAAAAAAGAAAGTGCCAACACTTTCAAAAAGTTGTAAATCTGCATTGCATAGAATCCTGAGGCAGAGGACTTTAGGAAGTCACATATAACCATAAACTCTTTTTGTTACCAGCTTCTTCATATTTTTGCCATGGCTAGCAAGTTTTGTTTTGTTTTAGGTAGGGATAGAAAGAATAGAAGGGATCATTGCTATTTCCCTTTGGTAAGGAAATGTTTATAAATATTGCTCTAGAAGTAATAGGAACTTAGGATCATGGAGACCTACCTTCAAAAAAAAAAAAAAAAAAAAAAAAAAAGAGGCTCCCCCTGCTCTAAAAAGCCCTTGGGCCAGAAATAAATAGGGCCTGTTCTTTAAGTCCAGGCTGTAAGGAAGTCCCATGTACATAAGCCAGTCCAAAGAAGCAGGGCTTCCTCCAGGGAGATGGTCTGCCTCTCCAGCCATTGTCAAGGCCCGGCCTGGCCCTGAGGCCCCATCTCCAGGCTGTGGCTCACCTCCCCCCGTGATCTGCTCAGTCCAAACTCATCAGGAACAGAACTCTTTCCACACCTACATTTTTTTAAAGGTAACTTAAGATTTACTGTATCTATAAGTTCAATTTACTAGACTTTTAATGTTTCCCAGTTTTATTGAGGCATAATTGTTACACAGAACACTGCACATAATTAACGTGCACAATATGGTGTTTGGACATACCTATACAGTTGTGTTGCCATTTCCACAATCAAGATAATGAACATATTCATCATCTCCAAAGGTTCCTCGTGGTTCTTTGTTTTTGTTTATTTTTTGCTTTTGTGGTAAGAACAGTTAACATGAGATCTGCCCTCTTAACACATTTTTAAGTGCCGAATGCCTTATTGTTAACTATAGGCACTATATTGTACAGAAAATCTCTGGAACTTGCTCATCTTGTATCATTATAACTTTACAACTCCCTATCGCCCCTCCCCCATCCCCTGGTAACCACAATTCCGTCGTGTACTTCTCTATGTTCAGCTACTTTAGATGCCTCATATAAGAATAATCATGCAGAGTTTGTCCTTCTGAGACTGACTTATTTCACTTAGCACAAATGTCTTCCAGGTCCATCCATGCTGTCGCAAATGGTAGAATTTTTTTCTTTTTAAAGGCTGAATAATATTCCATTGTATTGTCATACCAACTTTGGATGGCTCTACTTATCTTGCTAGATGGTCTTTTTCTTTGAATCTCAGGGCACGAGACTAAGTCCTTAGTGACTGAGCTGGGAAGTTATTTTGTGTATGTCATAATTACCATTCTGTGATGAGCCGTGTGTCCCAAAGCAGGACACATGTCCTTCAATTAATTATTCCCCAAAGAGTAAGTTGCTAGCCTTCCTAGGGTAGCTTTTTTATGGTTTGTGGGGCAATCTTTGGAATTGAAACCTGATCCTGAGCCTCCCAGAGAACATCCTCTACAGTAGCCTGATGACTCTTTTGCGAATGGAGTCACTGGGGCACTCCTGGGATGATCCAAAATTTCTCAAGGAAGAGATGTAGATTAGTGTCTTGTAACAGACTATTGATGACCCCAAATGTTGTTAATTCTTTGGAAAATAAACACCTCATAGTTTCCATAATCATGAAGCTGGTAAAGTAATTTCAGCCTAATAAGTAGAAACACATAGAAATTCTGGGATTTGTTTTTTAAAACTCTAAATTCTATGGTGAAATTCTCTGTAGAGAGCTTCTCTATAGTCTCTGTAGGGATAAATTGAAACAAAAAAGCCACTGAGCTTAATTGTCAGGAAGAGCTGAATTGCAGGAGACTTTGAATTTGCTATTCACCTTATAAGGCTTACCTGCCAGTTGGCTTTATGAGAATATGCCATTTGCAGCTATGTCTTTTGGCTTCTGAAAAACTTGCGCACCAAATAGTTTTTGAACAGTTGACGGTGAACTTCTTGTTTGTACAAGTGACTAATTGCCTCCATTTTCCAATCTCTGAAATGGGGATAATGATGAAACCACACTTGTAAAATCCTTTTGATTTCTGTAGATGAAAGGACCTATGTAAGTATAAAGTATTGTTATTAAAATAATAGAATCTCTAATTAAAAGGAATAGGCTATTTAGAGTTCCTTGTAAATTCACTAATCGGTGGTCTTTAAGCTTATTTAGTCTAATGGCTTTCTGAGGTTGAGCTGATGCAGTTCATGTAGGAATGTGTGGTGTTTAGATGATCTCACTCTTTTTTCCATTTTTATCATAGTCCTTTGTAAACATGAGACTTTGACTCTTTAAATTTAATTTTCACTGAAGGACATACTCAATGGTCGATAGATTGATATTATCTAGGAATCATTTTTTTTCCTCTCTCCATTTCCCAGTAAGATAACACGGTTCTTTCTAAAACACTTCTCTTCTTATATTTTTTGCATTGGTAGATTAAGAAGAAAAAACTAAATCATGTTAAATTGATGGAAGATGCTATTAGGAAAACTAAATTAAAGAAATAAACATTTTGTCTGCTAGGCTTTCATGTTGTTACACTTTTCAGTCATCTCCAGCATTTCAACAAATTCTTCAGGTCAGGTCTATAAACTTAGAAATGAAAGGGACCTGACTGCAGAGCTTTGGAATAATTTCTCTGAGACATCTTGGAAAAGGAATTTTTTAATTGAATAAATTTCTGGGTCATAAATGGGCTCCAAAACAGACACAAGCTTTCTTTACCCCCCCACTTCCCATTCTTTTCACAGATGTTGAAAGCTTTCTTATTAGAACTTATACATTGCCTTTTGGAGGCAACTCTGGTTACATTAAAGTTTCTTGTTCACTGTAGTTGTGAAGCATCTCTGATTTTCTGAATCAGGATTAATCATTTCGTCATTTGTCATCCAGTGGAGCTTGACTTATTCCTCTGTTTTCACTTTTCCCACAGTTTGACTTGTGTTGAAATGTCATTGTGTACTTGTCCTTCATTTCCACTAGACTAAGGTATTATTGCCTCATTTATACAGATGCTCCCTGACTTATGATGGGGTTACATCCCAATAATCCATCATAAGTTGAAAATACTGTTAAGTCAAAAATGCATTTAATACACCTAATCTATGAACATCACAGCTTAGCATAACCTACCTTAAATGCACTCAGAACACTAACATTAGCCTACAGTTGGGACAAAGCATCTCACACAAGGCCTATTTTATAATAAGGTATTGAATATCTCATGTAATTTACTAAATACTGTACTGAAGGTGAAAACCAAAATAGTCATATGGATATTCGAAGTAGAGTTTCTACTGAATGCATATTGATTTTGCACCATCCTAAAGTTGAAAAATTTTAAGTTGAACCATCATAAGTCAGAGGCCATCTGTATTTGTATTCACTAGTGTCTGATCCCTTTTATTCAATTATTCATTGATTCTTTCACCACCCATCCAAGCAACATTTATTTAGCATCAACTAGGCCCTTCAGATACAGAGAGGGGGAAAAACTGACGTGATTCTTAAGATGTGCACAGTATAGTCATATGTAAGACAGATATGAAGACAAACAATTGCTATACTATTTGATAAGTGGTCTCTAATAATACTAGTAATAATAACACAATATAGAACTCACGGCAGGGTGCGGTGGCTCATGCCTGTAATCCCAACACTTTGGGAGGCCAAGGCAGGTGGATCACCCGAGTTCAGGAGTTCAAGATCAGCCTGCCCAACATGGTGAAACCCCATCTCTACTAAAAATACAAAAATTGGCCAGGTGTGGTGGTGTGCACCTGTAATCCCAGCTACTAGGGAGGCTGAGGCAGGAGAATCGCTTGAACCGGGGAGGTGGTTGTTGCAGGGAGCTGAGATCACGTCACTGCACTCCAGCCTGGGTGACAGAGTGAGACTGTCTTGACAAAAAAAAAAAAAAAAAAAAAAAAAAAAAATATATATATATATATATATATATATATATATATATATATATATATATGTATGTATGTATATATTTAACTCACTGTATACCAGATGTAGTTCTATGTGCTCCACATTAATGTGCTTGTTTTTTATAACATAAAAGCTATGGTAGCATAAAGGAAGATGTGTTGATTGTTGTATTTTTTAATAGACTTTAGAGCAGTTTTAGGTTCACAGCAAAACTGAGTCAAAAGTACAGAGAGTTGCCAACCCCCTGCCCTCACACACTCACATCTCCCTCACTGTCAGTGCATGTTTAGTGTTGGCTACCTTTTAGATAGTAGCTGTTCAATAAATTGTTTGTTAAATAAATACATGAGAGAGCCAATTATTTTGTTTCTGCCAACTACAAAGAATCATGGCAAAGAAAATAAGAGTAGTCTTCAAATTCATGGCATAAGTTATGAATGACTCAGTTTCAACAGTCAGGCCCCCAATTCAAAAACAAGTGTTATGCCTTTAAATGTAAAAAGGTATTAAATTATTATTATAAATTTTAGGTGTGTTATTTATTAATATTTTTAAATATTGAGACTTTATTATTTTAGATCAGTTTTGGATTCACATTGAAATTGGGGAGAAAGTACAAAAAATTCCCATCTACCTTCTCCCCCACACTCTGCAATCTTCCACTAGCAACATCCGCAAACCAGGGTTACAATCAATGAACCTCTACCGACATTATTATCATCCAAATTTCTCAGCATTATGAAGCAAGGAATTACTCTTCTACTGCAGAGAAGTGACTAGACATTTACCTCCAATCAGCTATAGATAGGCAGCTGGAAATTTGACTGAATTTTAATCTGGGTAGCTACTCTTCTTTAGACACAGCATTTTGTTCACTCAGTTCTCAAAACAGTGTTCCATTCCTGTACTGTCATAGTAGGTGATATGTTTTAATCAAATCTGTTTTTAATACATACAGTTTTAGTAAGGTTGCCCCAGGGAAAATAGACTTCAAGGTCCATAAAACGAAGCATCTTGCATAGCATCTGATGAGATAGTAGCCGCTTCATAAATATTTGTTAAATAAATAGTTTGTATTTAATTATCTCCAGGAATCAATGTACATTTTAATGTTTAACTTAAACTATTCAAAAACATTGTTAGTCTTGGGAAGAGTAGAATTTTTCCTTTTTTCAATATTTTAACTTATGTTCTCATAGAGTGCTGTAAAAGAAAAATACAGATAATTGAGCTACGTAAAAGGTGGGATATATGATATATTATAAAAAACAAAAAAACTCAACCGATTACAATTAGAAAAAATTCTCCCTACTTACATTTTAAGGAAATTTTCTTTAACTATCAGAAAATCCACTGTAGAAAAGGAAGCCTGTGCATTTTCTTTACAGAATGCTGTTAATCATTTTGTTTTCATGCTGTTGGAAAATTTTCCTTTCCTTGAGAGATCCAAATAACTCCCCCTCCCCTATGGTCATAGTACTTTTTACTTACCTCTATTTTGCTACTTGTAGTTTACCAAAATTATTTATAGGGGCTGCTTTTTCTGCAAACCCACAGAACAGGGAGAGAAAATGTATGTGGCATCATCTGCTACATGCTCGATACTTCTGTTATTCACTCAACACACATTTGTTTTGAACAAGGCTAAGCACAGGCCTAGGCAGTGAGTTCACAGCCTTACAGCTGCCTGGAGCTGAAACAAGTGTAGTAATGTTTACAATCAGTGTAAATAAATGTGAAGAAAGGGGATGTATGAGGTGCAAGGAAGTAACTGACCCGAACCCCGACCTTTGGAATCAAGAATGACCTTAGAGAGCACAAACGTGAAGCTTAAAGGAGAAATGGATCACGCAGGTAAAGAGGAATTTAGGGAGACAGTGAGGGAAAAGTGTTTCAGGAAGAAGGAAAAGCAAGCAAATAGGCCTAGGGCATGAGGTAGAGGAGGAGGAGTAAGTGAGCTGGTCACCCTCTTTAAATGCTTTACGTAATCCCTTTAATCTTCTGGGAGATAAGCATTATCATCCCCTTTCGTTTCAATCTTGTGCTCTAATGATATTTAAATTTTACCCTCTAACCTAAGGAATGAAATGTTGGTCATACCCAAAGGCAATAAGTTGGAAGGCTAAGAAGGGAAAAGTCTGGGGCAAGCTACAAGGATGTAAACTTTAGATGCTGATCAGAGAGATGCCCAGAGCTTGATCTTATTAGTCCTGTCCTCCTTCCCTGGGCTTTGAGAAAGCAGGGAGCTTTGTGCAGCTGACAGAAATCCTGTGGTGGTTTGTACTTCCTGACATCATGGCTACTGATTCACCCTGAGGACTTGACAGCTTCCGTTGATTTTGTCTTAATGCTGTCAACTTCGTGAAATAAGTCAGCTTTTTAAATGTGAGATTTCTTCTAAATTCCTAGAAATCAGTTAATTTATGTATTTATTTTCTTTCTTTCTCTCTCTCTTTCTTTCTCTTCCTTTCTTTCTTTCTTTTCTTTCTTTTTGAGACAGAGTCTTGCTCTGTCACCCAGGCTGGAGTACAATGGCATGATCTCGGCTCATTGCAACCTCTACTTCCCGGGTTCAAGCCATTCTCCTGCCTCAGCCTCTGCAGTAGCTGGGACTACAGGCATGTACCACCACGCCCCGCTAATTTTTGTATTTTTAGTAGAGACGAGGTTTCACCATGTTGGCCAGTCTGGTCTCGAACTCCAGACCTCAAGTGATCTGCCCGCCTCGGCCTCCCAAAGTGCTGGGATTACAGGCGTGAGCCACCGGGCCAAGCCATGTATTTATTTTGGTTTCATCTTTAGCTTGCTGTGTATTTTCTTCCTTCTCTAAATCAATGAACTGTTCTGTGTCATCCCTTTTTGTGGGCGTGGAGTGGACGCAGGAGGAGACACGCCTGCGATCCTGGGAGGAAGGAGTGTGTGCATGAGTCTGCTACTGCTGCCGTAACAACATCCCACAGACTAGGCAGCTTAAACACTGAAATTCACCCTCCCACAGTTCTGGAGGATGGATGGCTGAGATCAGGGAGTTGGTTTCCTCTGAGGGCTGTCTCCTTGGCTTGCAGATGGCTGTCTTCTCCCTGTGTCTTCATGTGGTCTTCCTTCCAAAACTGTGTCCAAATTTCCTCTTCTTTTGAGGACACCAGTCATATTGGATTAGGGCCTACTCTAATTACCTCATTTACCCTTAATTACCTCTTTAAAGACACTATCTCCAAATATAGTCACATACGAGGTATACTGGGGCTAGGACTTCGGGGACACGGTTTAGCTCATTGCAGTATACAGTGTATTTCATGTCCTGTTTCTTTGCTGGGAATGTGTCTAGGAAACCCTCTAGTGCTTAGTCCACTTGGAGATATAAACATTTAAGAGGAGACCATGGGAGGAAAATTGACTTTCTTTGCCTTTGTGTAAGCACCTTCATCTTCTCTTCCATTCAAATTTCAGAGTACAAATTCAGAAATTTCTTCCAAACGACATAAACCCCCTTCCTTTCCATCTTTCTGTTTTGTGAACTAGGAAACTTTGCCGGCTATAATTGTGGAGACTGCAAGTTTGGCTGGACCGGTCCCAACTGCGAGCGGAAGAAACCACCAGTGATTCGGCAGAACATCCATTCCTTGAGTCCTCAGGAAAGAGAGCAGTTCTTGGGCGCCTTAGATCTCGCGAAGAAGAGAGTACACCCCGACTACGTGATCACCACACAACACTGGCTGGGCCTGCTTGGGCCCAATGGAACCCAGCCGCAGTTTGCCAACTGCAGTGTTTATGATTTTTTTGTGTGGCTCCATTATTATTCTGTTAGAGATACATTATTAGGTGGGTTTTTTCCTTGGCTGAAGGTATATTATTACAGGTTTGTGATTGGGTTGAGGGTATGGCAGTGGGAAGTAATTTCATGCAAGTTAATTAAGAGAGCAACCACAAGGCAGCCTTAGGTTTATGAAAGTCGTAGAATTATCAAATACCGCCTGGAGTTAGAAGGAAGCAGTTTCTTCCTGTGCATTGGATGCAGACACTTTAAATGTTCTCTCCTCTACCGTATGTTCTTGGTTCAAAGTGTAAACTTTTCTCTGTGAAGCTGTTAATCATCAAAGATGTGAGTTGGTGAGGTGGAGGCGAATTCCTTTTGATTTCAGAAGAAAATATTTGCGAATCTGGCCATGGAAGCCCTCTCTGACCTTTTCTCCAAATTAGAGGAATTAACTGAACATGTGCTAAGGCACATGAAGCTTCTTTGTGCGGAATTAGAGTGCTCATGTTGGGAGTGGGCATCTTGTTAAACTCACAGGATAGATCAACTTTGGATGGATTTTAGACAGTCTATCACATGATAGACTTTCAGATAATCATTTATGGTACTCCTGCATGGTCCGGAATCCCCAGGTTTCTTGGAGCTTTATTGTCAAGGAAAAGTACAAGCTTAGCCACAGCAATGTAGAGTTTCTGCTGCTTAGCTCTTTGCAACACAGTCATGTTGGATGCTTGAGAAATTGGTGACCTGCCCTTCCAAGTCTTAAAAATTGGGGGCTGGGTAGGACTTGGAATGAGGGGGTTGTCTGTTACAAACTTCATGTATCAAGTAGGTTCAGCTTTGTCCTTATTTTTCAGTCAAAGGAAAGCCATAGACACCAATGTATTCCAGGAGGGCTTGACTCCATCCTAGATTCTTCCCATAGCAGTTCTTGAATGCATGGCTGCACGTGCACCTCTCCCCATTTTTGGGGTCCTTCATTGGGGTCAGGATGAATGAAGACATCAAGCTCACTTTGAAGAGCAAGATTCTGATTTGGACAGGTTCATCCTTCTGCTCATCACTTGTTCCCCTTCAATTGATACCCTCTCGTTGTTGGGTTCTGAGAATTTGAAACCTTGCTCTGAATTGAACATGAAAAAGGGCCGTGTAGCCAACATCAGGGACAGCAGTGCTTTTCTCAGTGTGAGTCTTTTAAAACTTGCCTTACAGGTAAGCATCTGTCTGTCTTTATCGATAGATAAGGAGGCTCTTTTGGCTATAAACCTTTATAGTTTTCCTGTTATCACTCTGAGGAATTATTGCTTTATGAGAGAGTACTCTCTCAAGAGGAAAAGAAAGTCCTAGTTTCTGGTCATAGCTACGAATTAAATTTATATTCACGTCTGTTCAGCTCTCTGAAGTTGTTATAGGTATTTTGGACAAGAACTAAAGTTAGCTAAAGTTTCCACATAACCATCAAAGCTGTTATGAAAAAGGGAAGAAGGATGGACCAGGCAGTAAGGAGGTCATTAAATCGTCCAGAGCTTTTCACTAAAATTGGCAGTTCCAGTGTCCAGCCTAAATGGCTTGAATGTATTTTTCTCTCTTCTGGTCTCAGCGAACATGCTTGTCAGCTAGTAGTTATAACAGATTGATGGGTGAGGCAAAATACGCGAAAGTTCTTTTTGGTTACATAAATACTGCATTAGGACTAAGTGCAGTTGAAGTTACAATATTATTAATTAATCCCTCCCTTTTAAATTTATATCTTTGTGAAGCATAGGTTAGCAAATGCCTTTAAAAAATATATTTCCTTTAGGTCTTAATGATCTATTCTTTTGGATAGTCTATTTCACCTGAATGGATTGTTGCTTACAAATTAAATATGTATCAGGGGCTCCCAATCCTGAAAGTCACCTGAATTTCCTGGATCTCTGCTAGAAATCAACCTTTTAAGAGATAAAGGAGGGTTTATCCTAAAAGTACTAGTTACTTCTGAAATTCATGTCATTACTATTGCTTTTGGAGATATAAATAACAACAAAACTTTTTTTTCTTACTACTATAAAACATCATGGACTTATTGGCTCTATAGATACAGCCCAGGTAAGATTTAACATTTTAAAAAATTCTATTCTGTCATCTCTAATATGTTTCCCAATTGTTTCAGGACCAGGACGCCCCTACAGGGCCATAGATTTCTCACATCAAGGACCTGCATTTGTTACCTGGCACCGGTACCATTTGTTGTGTCTGGAAAGAGATCTCCAGGTAGGTCAAAACTATGCATTTAGTTCTTTTAATTTTTTAAAAAATTTATTGTATATATTTAAGGCATACAGTGTGAATTTTGATATACTTATCTTGATACTCATACAAGATAAGTGATTAGTGCACTAAAGTAAATTAACATACTCAGCATCACATAGAGATATCTCTTTTTGTGTGTGTGTGGTAAGAGTACCTAAGGTCTACTCTCTTGGCAAATCACCAGTACACAATACAACGTTAACTATAGTCTCAGACCTCGAGTTATTTATCCTACATAACTGCAACTTTGCACCTTTCAGCCTACATCTTCCCATTTCTCCCAGTCCCTTGTAACTACTATGTAACTCTCTATGTATTCACTCTTTTTCTTTTTTCTTCTTTTCTTTAGATTCCACATATAAGTGAGATAGTGCAGTGTTTTTCTTTCTGTATCTGTCTTATTTCAGTTGGCACAATGTCTTCTAGATTCATTCACATTTTGCAAATGGCAGGGTCTCCTTTTTAAAGGCTGAATAATACTCCATTGTACACAGTATATATATATATATATATATATATATATATATATATATATATATATATATATATAAAATATACACACACTGATTTATGTCACAGTTTCTTCATTCATTTATCCATCCAGTAGTCTTTGTCTTGGTAGATATTTGGTTCAGATACATATCAGCCTTTGCCTTGTATGCTTTCTTGTTGTATCTGATGGCATGGATTAAATGACTAGGCCTGCCCTTTGCTTTTAGCGACTCATTGGCAATGAGTCTTTTGCTTTGCCCTACTGGAACTTTGCCACTGGGAGGAACGAGTGTGATGTGTGTACAGACCAGCTGTTTGGGGCAGCGAGACCAGACGATCCGACTCTGATTAGTCGGAACTCAAGATTCTCCAGCTGGGAAACTGTCTGTGATAGGTAATGGCTCCTGTACCTGCAATGGCATCCAGAGATTGTCTTTTCTGATGTCTGAGACATGGAGGAGAAGTCACTTTATAGTGCTGTTTCTTATGCATGTGGTGTCCTATTTACATGTTTCTAAAAACAGTTTTCCTCTGGGAGGTGGGATTTCAAAAATTCAAAGCTCTTTAATTAAAAAAAAAATATCAAAATCACATTTGTGAATTGGTTATGCTTGGCCATCATTTTGAGATCAGGTTAGTTTTATCAGATTAGTGCAAATGTAATTGCGGTTTTTGCCTTTAAAAGTAATAGCAAAAACCACAATTTCTTTTGCATCAACCTAATCAAATTAAGAGTAGTTCTTGCATTCAATCAACATTTGCTAAGCACCAATCATATCCCATGTGATGTGGTACTGCCGGGAATACAAAGATGAATGAAATAAAACCTCCCTTTTGAATATTGTCTTGTATTAACGAGATAGATTTCTTGTAAGTAAATTACAGTTGAGTGTGGGAAGTACTGTAATAGATGTATACACAAAGACAAGAAGAGAGTCTGGGCAAGTCCCCAAGAGGCAGAGATGATGGCTCTGAGAAGGGGAGGGGCACAGACCTGAGGTGTAGAGGAGGGTGAGGGGAGTGTGGGAGGGCAGTGGGTGGGTCCTTGATGGAGGAACATCATGTGTGAAGCTAGATAATTCTCTGGAAACAGCCTGGTATGGCTGAGTCACAGGATGCTGGTGAGTTGAGGAGGACAGGGGCTTGGGGCCAGCCGGGGAAGGATGATCTGTGACATACTAAAGACCATACACAGGTCAGTGGCCTGGCCTGCAGCCCATGAAGAGTTCTGTCCTCAAAGGCTCCTTGAATTTGTTTCTCTGTCCTGGAACACCTGGAACACATTTCAGCCAAAAATTTCCCAAGAGGCTCCTCACCTCACCTTCCTTTATTCATTTTTTTCCTCCAAAATTTGTTTTGTTTTTTGTTTTTTGTTTTTTTGTTTTTTTGAGATGGAGTCTCACTCTGTCACCAGGCTGGAGTGCAGTGACGTGATCTCGGCTCACTGCAACCTCCGACTCCCTGGTTCAAGCAATTCTCCTGCCTCAGCCTCCTGAGTAGCCGGGATTACAGGCATGCGCAACCACGCCCAGCTAATTTTTGTATTTTTAGTAGAGACAGGGTTTCACCATGTTTGCCAGGATGGTCTCGATCTCCTGACCTCACGTAATCTGCCTGCCTTGGCCTCCCAAAGTGCTGAGATTACAAGTGTAAGCCACCTCACCCGGCCTCAAAATCCCCATGTTTTTAACCCCACTGCTCTGTCTTTCGTCCCAGGTCCTTAGACTGCTCCAGGGCACAGAGCTGTGGCTCCCCCGGCCCCCAGGCTTCACTGCCAACACCCTGAGCCTGCATAGGTGTGCGTTTTGAGGGGCCCATGCCCAGCTAGCAGGGACTTCGTCTTCCACATCCTGTACATTTCCTACAGTGCTCAGAACAGTGCTCCACGAGCAGGGACATCATCAGTGCTTTTTCTGTGACTGAGCTTAATTCCATCAAGCGCCATTTCCCACCATACCTTGGAATAGTAGTGGATGGTATGTGAAAAGAGATTTCCGTCATCAAGTAAATTTAGAGAAGGCTGAGTTTAAAAGGTTTTTAAATTTTTAGAATGTCGTCAAGCTTTCCATAGATAAATGTGGTATTCTTTTTCAAGAGGAGCCTAACCCTGGAACTCTTACTTCACCGGACATCCCATTGGAATCCACTTTGGGAAACGCTGCCTGGGAGGCCTTGGAGACCTTTTTCAGCTTAGTGTTTAGGTCCTGGCCTCTTTCATCCCTGTGGATGTGCTGATTATATTCTCACATACTGGGTCCTATCCCTAATTCATGAAAACCCTCACAATAACATCTTTAAATTTTTATCTCTGCCAGTGAAATAATGGTCTGCACTTTGGGAGACCAAGGCAGGGGGATCACTTGAGGCCAGGACTTCGAGACCAGCCTGAGTAACATAGTGAAACCCTGTCTCTACAAAAAGTTTGAAAAGTTAGCCTAGCTGGGCACGGTGGCTCACGCCTGTAATCTCAGCACTTTGGGAGGCCGAGACAGGTGGATCACCTGAGGTCAGGAGTTCGAGACCAGCCTGACCAACATGGTGACCAACCAGCCTGACAGCTCTGTCTCTACTAAAAATACAAAAGTTAGCTGGGCTTGGTGGCATGTGCCTGTAGTCCCAGCTACTCAGGAGGCTGAGGTAGGAGAATTGCTTGAACTCAGGAGGTGGAGGTTGCAGTGTGCCATTGTACTCCAGCCTGGGCTACAGAGTGAGACTCTGTCTCAAAAAAAAAAAAAAAAAAAGTTAGCCAGTAGTCCCAGCTACTGGGGAGACTGAGGCAGGAGGATTGCTTGAGCCCAGGAGTTCAAGGCTGCAGTCAGCTGTGATCATGCCACTGCACTCTAGCCTGTACAACAGAGTGAGACCCTATCTCTAAATTAAAAAAGAAAAACTAAATAAAAAGAAAGAAAGAAATACTATTCTGATGTTGGAATCCAGGCCATAGCAGGCGTGTAGGATATAATGTCTTACGGACATGGGACCTTCTCAGCCCATGCTGAGCACTTAACTATTGATACTCTACTACCTTGGAACATTTTCCAACACAGTGTTTCTTCTAATATCTCCCCTTTGTGTACTTTCATCTGCTTTTACTCTGACCTCCCCGTTTGCCTTCAGTTTGCCTAAAAGGTTTTCGTAACTTTACATGTCACTTCTGCCAAAACTGGCTTAGCTCAGCATAATACGAACCACCCTATTCTCCCTTCAGTTACTCAAGATTCAAATGCACACAATAGGAGTCATCTTGCCTTGTAAACCCTCTCACTGTCTTTCCAACAGAATGGTAATGATTATTCATATTTATGCCCATGTCCGTATTTTGTGCATCTACATTTTTGAAACTTCTCGACCCATAATGACTTTCAGGTATAGTACTTTTTACCACATATTGTTAACTCTGGTAAAGTAATTGTAATACAATTTTACCATGATTGTGACCCTGATTGATTTGCTTGGCCCAAATTTATAATACTGTACATAAGTTAAGACATATCATTTTTTGTTTTGGGGGATTTTTTTTTTTTCTTGAGACAGGGTCTCACTCTGTCACTAAGGCTGGAGGGCAGTGGCATGATCTCTGCTCACTGCAGCCTCTGTCTCCTGGGTTCAAGCGATTCTCCTGCCTTAGCCTCCTGAGTAGCTGGGACAACAGGCACACACCACCAAGCCTAGCTAATTTTTGTATTTTTAGTAGAGCCGGGGCTTTGCCATAGCTGGTCTCAAACTCCTGGCCTCAAGGGATCCACCTGCCTCAACCTCCCAAAGTGCTGGGATTACAGACGTGAGCCACTGTGCCCAGCCAACATATATTATTTTAAATCTTATTACAAATCTTAGCTTGGATGACTACAACCACCTGGTCACCTTGTGCAATGGAACCTATGAAGGTTTGCTGAGAAGAAATCAAATGGGAAGAAACAGCATGAAATTGCCAACCTTAAAAGACATACGAGATTGCCTGTCTCTCCAGAAGTTTGACAATCCTCCCTTCTTCCAGAACTCTACCTTCAGTTTCAGGTGGGTGCTCTGAGCTCTGCTGGACCTGCCTGTACAGTACAGGTTTTCATGCCTGTGATTGTAAAGAACTGGAAGGAAACCCAGGTTTTGGGGGTTGTCTACGAAGCTAAGTGATGGAGAGAGGCCTAACGAGAGAAGTTAGCAAGGGATTGGTGTGAGGAAAGTCTTTACCCATCTACTATGACTAACAATGTGGTTTTAATACCTTCTAACTTAGCTGTTCAAAACCAACTTTTGTATTTCTAATTGCAGTACATTAATAGGTCCAGTCTTTGGAAACAGGGTACTTCATTAAATATAGTGTTTTTTCAATGTCCATGCTCTTTCTCTTTCCTTTCTTATTTTTTAAAATGTCGATATTAGAAATTTATCAGCCATAGAACTTAATAGTGAGGTCTGAGATCTCAGAGGAGTATTGCAGACTAAATTCAACTCAAATCATAGCACAGCAATGACATTACAATACTTAACATTTAAAGACCAACTATTAATCTTCCACCACAGGTTGGGCATGGTGTTCATGCCTGTAATCCTAGTGCTTTGGGAGGCCAGTGCGGGAGGACTGCTTGAGTCCAGGAGTTTGAGACCACCTGGGCAACAGAGCAAGACCCTGTCTCTACAAAAAAATATAAAAAAGTAGCCAGGTGTGGTGGTATGTACCTGTAGAGGTAGGCCTAGAATTTAAGCACATCTCAAAATCACCAAAGAAAAACACATGTTTCATGCCCTGCTCCCAGAGTTTCTGGTTCAGTAGGTGTAGGCTGTGTCTTAACAACTTGCATTTCTAACCAAATCCCAAATGATGCCAGTTAAGGTGGTCTGAGCACTGCATTTTGAGAACAACTCCCCTAACTCAAACATATAGAAAATGCAATCTGTTTTAATAGCACTTTTGTCACAATGAAAAACTAATTCATCCTCCTTTTCAAAACAACCTTAAATGTTACCCTTCCCCCACCTTTGACACTACTCTGAAGGCTGTGTCCAACCTCAGCAGACTGAGCCATGCTACACTTAGCACAACCTCTACATTTGAGTCCAGCCTGCCCTGCCCTGGGCCCATACAAATTGTCTACTTTAAACACAGTTAAGAGAGAGAGAGAATCCAGTTTTGGAGAAGATCTTTAATCTATCTACCATCCCCTTTTTGGACCCATCTTTGTTTAAAGTCTTATTTATAAACATATTTCTCATAATTCTTAAAGTCTTTCTATGGTGGTAGAAAATTTTTTTCTTTTTTCTTTTTTTTAGAGCCAGGATCTCACTGTGTCACCTAGGGTAGAGTGCAGTGGCACAATCATGGCTAATTGTAACCTCAAACTCCTGGGCTCAAGTGATCCTCCTACCTCAGCCTCCTGAGTAGCTGGACCTTCAGTCAAGCTGAAGGTCTATTTGGTTGAGAAATATAAATATCAGATTATATGTTAAATAAAAGAATTTACTGATCACAGACAATCTGCTGGGCATGGTACTGAACCCTGGCAATAAATATCTGAAGAAAACATAGAGCCTGCTCTCCAAGGGAATGAGAGACAGATATGAAAGTTGTCATACAGTACACAAAAGAGATATAATTCAGAAATAGCGTTGCTTAGGAGTTCTCTCCCCTTACAGAGGATTATCATTAAAGTTTGGGGCAAATTCTTGGTCAATTTGCTATGACAGAGCTTCCCATATCCCTACCCAATCTCAAATTAGACAACTATTATCTAGGCTGAAAACAACAAAAAAGAGACCTTTATCAGTCTTTGTCTGTTGTCACTGATATACTTGTTTCTCCTAGGAATGCTTTGGAAGGGTTTGATAAAGCAGATGGGACTCTGGATTCTCAAGTGATGAGCCTTCATAATTTGGTTCATTCCTTCCTGAACGGGACAAACGCTTTGCCACATTCAGCCGCCAATGATCCCATTTTTGTGGTATGTTCAAAGATTCAGAATGCATGAAAATTTTCTAGATAATATGTCAGATTTATTTTTTCATACAATTAATGTTTGATGGTGTTTTATTCTCTGTGTGAACAATGTGATGTGTGCAAATGTAAATTAATTTCAATCTATACCATAGGGATGGTTAGGTAGCATTTGAAGGCCCTAATCAGAACCCATGCTTCAGGGATGGTTCACTTTTGGGTGATCTTAGACAAGAGTTTACAATTCCACTGGTGAATTCATAAATTAGCATAATAATAAATGATTTTTCATTGGCTAAGTGAGTATTGTTGAGGTTCAGTAGTCCACACAAACCACCTTCAATGTGTTACCTGCAGGAAAGAGAGGTTCTGTTAGCCAGAAAAGGGGAGGAGAATGGAGAGGGTGTGCTGGACACTTAAACCTCCTACTCCAACTTGAGTGAGCTTTACTTGAGAAAGAAGAAAAGCAGCACCTGACATCCAAGAGCTGGCCTGGTGAAATCAACCAGGCCTTGGTGTCCCCTGTTGGACATAAACAATCTCCTAGAACATCAACAGCAGACAAGGCCACTCTGATCATGGTGGATCAGGACAAAAACAAGACTACTCCATAACTGTGTCTAAGCACAGACAAATTATGAACATTTTCCAAGCCACAAGATGCATGACATCCCCTTTCCTGGCTAATAGGAGCAAAAAATGACAAATGCCTTCACCGATGGCATTAATACAAAAACTCACATTTGAGGCAATTTAATTTGTTAATCTGATTCATACCTCTGACATGTAATAATACAGACAGTAAATAGGATTGCTGTTGACTGTGCAGGAGCCTCACAGTTATTTAAATTTCAGTGTGATGAACTCCTTTGGTATATCAGTTTGATTTCTGTCTCACTTTAAAACAAAAGAAGAAAACTGCCAGGCATGGTGGCTCATGACTGTAATCTCAGCACTTTGGGAGGCTGAGGTGGGAGGATCACTTGTGCCTAGGAGTTCAAGACCAGCCTGGGCAACATTATGAGACCTTTTCTCTACCAAAAACCTTTACAAATTAGCTGGGCATGGTAGCATGCACCTGTGGTTCCAGCTACTTGGGAGGCTGTGGTGGGAGGATCACTTGAGCCTGGGAGGTCGAGGCTGCAGTGAGCCATGATCGTGCCACTGCATCCCAGCCTGTGCAACAGGGTGAGACCCTGTTTCAAAAACAAAAACAAACTGAACAAAACTTGACAATAGGATTCTAAATTTTACAATTCTGAGCTTTTTTAGTGTTTGTTTATTTGTTTGTTTTTGGAGACAGAGTCTTGCTCCACTGCCCAGGCTGGAGTGCAGTGGTGCTATCTGGGCTCACTGCAACCTCTGCCTCCTGGGTTCAAGTGATTCTTCTGCCTCAGCCTCCCAAGTAGCTGGGACTACAGTTGCACGCCACCACGCCCGGTTAATTTTTATATTTTTACTAGAGACAAGGTTTCACCATATTGGCCAGACTGGTCTCAAACACCTGACCTCCTGATCTGCCCACCTCAGCCTCCCAAAGTCCTGGGATTACAGGCGTGAACCACTGGGCCCAGTCTTTAGTTTTTAAAGTATATTCATCCCCTGGTGAACTTTTCTAAGACAAACAAAATGGGGAAATACGAGTCAGGGCTACACTGTTCAGCTACCCTAGTCAATGCTCTTCAGTCTGTGACCTCTAGGAACACAATGTAGTTGAATACATTGGTCTGTTACTCCTTGCAGGCAGAGAATGGAGGACTGTGGAAAGTCTCAGCCAGTGGGTGTTGGAAAAGACAGAAAGGGTTTGGGCTTGTGCTAGGTGATTTGGGGAGGACTTTTGGAAGCTTTGCTCTGAATCAGATGTTGTCAGGAAGCAGGGGTATGCTTCCTGATTCTATGAGTGGGTATCTTGATAGAGTGATTATGTCTGTATATGGGGCAGACTAGACTGAGGTTAAAGCCATAATTGGTAAAACAGCAGCAGATGCTCATATTAGCCGGGAAAGGGGGTGTCACGCATCTTGCATCTTGGACAATGTTCATAATTTGTCTGTGCTCAGACACGGTTATGGGGTTTTCTTGTTTTTGTCCTGATCCGTCATGGTCACAGAGTGGCCTTGTCTGCTGTCGATGTTCTACGAAATCGTTTATGTCTGATAGGGGGACATCAAGTCCTCGTTGATAGCGCCAGGCCAGCTCTTGAATGTCAGGGGCTGCTTTTCTAAGTACAGGTCACTCAAGTTGTCATAAGAGATTTAGACAACATACACATTCATGTCTCAGCAGCCAATCCCCAAAAGTGCTCCTGCTTTACAGATACGCAACTCACCCTCGTCTATTTTAACCCTGTCTGTGTGTCTTCTGAGTTGTATGTCTTGAATAGATAGTTTTGGAGCAATTACAAGAAGAAATTTCACCTCTTCTCCTTTTTTATTTTGCCAGTATTTTGAGTTTATATTGTTATCCAGTTAGATTGTGTGATATCCAAAGACTCTCTGTTTTTCTCCAGAATTTTCCTCACCTTAATGTTAATCTTAGCAATGTGTCTTAGTCTGCTCAGGCTGCCATAATGAAAGACCACAGATTGGATGGCTTAAACAACAGAAATTTATATCCCACAGTTCTAGAGGCCAGGAGGTCTAAGACCAAGGTGCCAGCTGATTTGGTTCCTGGTGAAGACTCTCTTCCTGAGCCTTCTAGCTGCATCCTCATATAGTGGAGGGAGAGAGAGAATAAACTCTCTGATGCCTCCTTTTATGATAACACTAATCCAGGGCCCTATGGTTCTGACCTCATTAAACCTTAATTACCTCTTTCTAGGCTCTATCTCCAAGTATAGTCACATTGTGGGTTAGGGCTTCAACACACAGATTTTGGGGAAACACAGTTCAGTCCAGATATAGCATTTATAATGCATTGTCAAACCATCAGTTTATAGAAGTTTGTTTTTCTTTTCTTTTTTCTTTTTGAGACGGAGTCTCTCTCTGTCATCCAGGCTGAAATGCAGTGGTGCAATTTTGACCCACTGCAACCTCCGCCTCCTGCGTTCAAGTGATTCTCCTGCCTCAGCCTCCCGAGTAGCTGGGATTACAGGCACGTGCCACTGCGCCTGGCTAATGTTTGTATTTTGAGTAGAGACAAGGTTTTGCCATGTTGGCCAGGCTGGTCTTGAACTCATGACCTCAAGTGATCCTCGGGCCTCGGCCTCTCAAAGTGCTGAGATTATAGGCGTGAGCCAATGCACCCAGCCAGAAGTTTGTTTTTCTGGACTTTTTGGAGGCTTCATGACTGATTACAAGTCAATCAGTTTTACTTGATACAGACCAGGGCAATCTTGGGAATGTAATTGAACCACATGGAGCTTCTGCTTCCCAC
Organism: Homo sapiens; assembly: GCF_000001405.40. Lineage (NCBI taxonomy): Eukaryota > Metazoa > Chordata > Mammalia > Primates > Hominidae > Homo > Homo sapiens. Next base: position 94,456,722 of record NC_000013.11, on the reverse strand, counting down.
TCTGCAAAGTGTGGGTCTCTTGACCTGATCTGGTGGTGAAAATGTTGTTCTCAGTGAAGTGACTCTTAGTAGATTAGGACAATAGGAAACTGGTCTAGAGCCCGTCAAGTACAATACAAATGTTATCATAACAATAATAATGTGTTTTATAATGGTCAGAATTAGAGAACCATATGTTAGGTTTAGATTTTCAAACCTTAATTAATATTTCTTATCTTGTTCTCCAAAGCAGACAGTAATGCCCTAAGACATTTTACTAATAAGCACAAAGTCAGAAGTATTTCACAGGTGATTTATTATTGTTACTCAACCCAGGGTACAAAAAAAGGAGCTATGAAGAGGGAGAGTAAAGGTATAGCTTTCAATGATTCTAAGCTTGCCTGATGGGTGTGAAGTAGCTTTCTGGGGCTCCTAGATAGATTAAAGCATAGTCAGGTGAGCTTCAAGAAATCCTGAGACGGAATTAGTTGGTAGAGTTGTTCTTTCCTTCTAAAAAATGTTTCTTTCCTCATATTTGCATAGTAGCAATAAATGAAGGGGTTGTCAGAAGTCTGAATTAATGGTCCCAGCCTCTAACAAGGTGGGGGCTTATCTGTGACGCCGCCACAGCGATCTTTGCTTTTCTCTAGAATGCCTGCTTTGTTCAATGATTTTAACTTGATAGTTCACATCATTTTTTCTGGCTATCGTCTCAGCCATAGCTTATGCCAAGCATTTCTGGTGTCTGCTTTCTCAGCCATGTATCTGTACATCTATTTATACTATACGTCTCTAAGTATTTATTAAAGCATACATTGTCAACTGTACAATTTATACACACAATTCATATTCATAAGGAAAAATGTCATAATACTCCTTATCCAGTACTCCAATATGTTATAAGTAGAACAGTGGAATCCTCTGATAAATTAAGGATTATACCCCAACTCTTTCTCTCCTATTAAAAATGATGCTAGTAATTTGATTTTCTGCATCCCAAGTCTCCAGGATTGCTAAACCGTATCTCCTTCTTTTGAACAAGCCTGCTAAGTGGACAGAAATTGGCAACATTTTTCTGTAAATAGCCAGGTAGCAAATATTCTGGGCTTTGGAGGCCAGATGTTTTCTGTTGTAACTACTGAACTCTGCCCCTGTATCATGAAATCAGCCATAGATCATGCATAAACAAATGAATGTGGTGTTCCAATAAAACGTTATTTACAAAAACAGGTTGTAGGCTCTATTTGGCCCTCAGGCTTTAATTTATCAACCTGTGGTGTAAAGGATTCACTTTTCTTCTTTGTATTAGTTTGTAGTAAGGATAGTAGGAATCTCTCTCTCTCTCTCTCTCTCTCTCTCTCTAAGAGACAGTCTCTCTCTGTTGCCCAGGCTGAAATGCAGTGGCATAATCATAGCTCACGGCAGCCTCAAACTTCTGGGCTCAAGTGATCCTCCTGCCTCAGCCTCCCAAGTAGCTAGGACTATAGCCACATACCACCATGCTCAGCTTTTTAAATTTTTTATTTTTGTAGAGATGAGGTCTTACTATGTTGCCTAGGCTGGTCTCAGAACTCCTAGCCTCAAGCAATCCTCCCACCTTGGCCTCCCAAAGCACTGGGTGAGTCACCATATCTGGCCTGTAGTAGGGATTTCCCTTTAGTCATATTTCTCCTTCTGCTTTAGGGTGGAAGCTCACATTGTGACTTGATGGGTGAGAAATCCCGTGGTTCAGAGATATAAGACATTTAATCATCTTTGTGTTCGTTGTTTCTAATGTGCTTAATGTTAAAATTTTATTTTTCTTTAGTAGTATGTGTAATATACATATAAATAAACAAAAAGCCACAGCGTTTCTTTAAAGGCACAGAATGAATAATGTTTTGGGCCTAGTTCCAGAACTCACCATTACTTTAGGCTATTTTCAAAGAGTTTTATGCTGAAGCCAATTCAGCCTTAAATGATTTTTCACATATTGAGATCCAGGTTAAAGTATTTCAGTTAACAGAGTTATAGCTTCTGGAATTTCAAATTCATGAGGCAATTCATGCAAATATATTGCACATGACATTTATTAAAATTTTTTTTGTGAAATCTCTCCAAGCAATAGAGCTACAAAATTGTATGTGATCACAATAATGAGCAAAAGAAGGCAGAACATTAAAGTGCAGGAAAAACTCTGAAGCAATCTCTAGTAATTCCTAAGGTAATTGAGGCAAATGCACACATTTATCATGGAAAATAAGATTAGGCCAGAGAAATGCTAAGTGCTGTCTTCAATATTAAATTTAGATATAATCCAGAAAAGAGAAAAAAAAGGAAACCAACAGACTGTAAAGTTATTTAAATGCCAAGAAAGAAACTGTGTTACATAGTGGTAATTTCCTTCCCAATTCCTAAAGATACTATTCTTAAGAGTATACTTGGATGTTATCCTTTTAGAAAGTACATTTGGTGAGTTCTACGTTCCTTCAATTCATCAGTGGCTGGGGGGTCCATAGGTTCCATAATTAATACTAAACAGCTCGTGCCTGTTTTCTACCTTGTACGTTGACATTCTAAATGGAATACAACATACAGTAGTCTTATTACTAATCAGTGTATAAAATAAGTTCATTAATTTAGAAAATGTGCAGCAGGAGAAAATGAATTTCTAAAACCACACATAGCTGATGGACTACCATAAATTAACCCTGTAAGAAAGAGCCCTTCTGAGTCTGCTGTTCTAGGCTACAACAAAGTTAGTGAAATCAAAAGCTCACAATTACAGGTATAAATAATTCTGAGTTAGAGTGAGTTTAGTTGAAATTTAAAAAAAGAAGGATAGGTGTATCAGTCTGTTTTCATGCTGCTGATAAAGATGTATCTGAGACTGAGTAATTTATAGAGAAAAAGAGGTTTAATGGACTTACAGTTCTATGTGGCTGGGGAGACCTCACGATCATGGTGGAAGGTGAAAAGCACATCTTACATGGTGGCAGCCAAGAGAGAACTTGTGCAGGAAAACTCTCATTTATAAAACCATCAGATCTCATGAGACTTATTCACTATCATAAGAACAGCATGGGAAAGACCCACCCCCATGATTCAATTACATCCCTTCCACAACATGTGGGAACTGTGGGAGCTACAATTCAAGATGAGATTTGGGTGGGAACACAGCTAAACCATATCAATAGGGCATTGCTTTTTTCTTCCCAAGAGTGAAACATTTAAAGATAGATCCATTTTGCTTTACTTTAAATAAGAAAAATCATAATTAGACTAATATTGTAAAAAAATAAAATAACATTGTTGTATGTGAAATTTTTATTTTTATTGGTTTATGATTTTTATATTATTTATAATTACAGAAATGTTGGTGAAAATAGTTTTTAAATGCCTGTAATTCCATCTCAATTTTTTTGTTTATTTCTTTTCATATTCTCATATGTTTTATACAGTTGCAATTATAGTCATCCCTCAATATCTTGAGGGAATTAGTTCCAGGACCCCCCACCATGGGTACCAAAATCTGTGACTACTCAAGTCCCTTATATAAAATGGCATTATATTTGCATATAAGGTACGCACATCCTTCTGTATACTCTAAATCATGTCTAGATTACTTATAATTGGATTCAGAGGACCATCTCTATAAGGCACCTATTATGTATAATATCCCATTATCACTTAATTTATTTAATTTTTAGGTTGTTGCATAGTTTTCTAAATTTTTTCATCTTAAAATCTTAGTGCACATAAAAGATTCAAAATATAAAATGTATAAAATGAAGTCCGTATTATCACTACCATCTTCCAGCAAACAATACAATTTTTTTCTAATTTTCCAGATATATTTTATAAATACACAAACAAATATGTTTATATATTTATCTACATGGTAGCATATTATAGACCCCTCTGTCCCTTTGCCTTTCCCCCACTTTTTTTTTAACTTATTCCAAATCATTTCAGTTCTGAAGGGCATTCTTATTCTTTTTTTATAGCTGTATAGTATTCTTTTGCATGGATTTATCCTGAAATGTATTATTTTAATTTTAAATTTAAGATTTTAAACTATTTTCTGTTGATGGACATTTAGGTGATTTCTAATCGTTTGCTTTACAATGCTACAACAAACATCCTTGAACATGTAAGGTAAGTAAAGAGAATAGAATCCCTGGCTTAAAGGGTAAAAAAATGCATTTGAAATTTGATAAATGTTACAGAATTGCCTCTAGAAGTTTGGACAATATTCCCTCCTAATACCTGTGTGTCACCTATGTGTCAGAGCCACAGTTCCCCCATCATTCCCTCTCATTATGCTCTTTGTCCCTGTGTCATCACACTTTTTCATCTTTGTCAACGTGATAGGTGAAAAGGCATTTTAGCAAATTTTAATTTGCATTTCTCTTCTTATAAGTGAAGTCTAGGCCAGATGCAGTGGCTCACGCCTGTAATCCCAGCACTTTGGGAGGCTGAGGTGGGTGGGTTACCTGAGGTCAGGAGTTCAAGACCAGCCTGGCCAACATGGTGAAACCTTGTCTCTACTAAAAATACAAAAATTAGCCGGGTGTGGTGTTAGGCACCTGTAGTCTCAGCTGCTTGGGAGGCTGAGGCAGGAGAATCACTTGAACCCGGGAGGTGGAGGTTGCAGTGAGCCAAGATCGTGCCATCGCACTCCAGCCTGGGTGACAAGAGCGAAACTCTGTCTCAAAAAAAAAAGTGAAGTCCAGCATCTTTTCAGACATTCAAAAAGAAAAAATCCATTTGCACCTCCTTTTCTGTGATCTGTCTTCATAACTTTTGTTTGTGATCATGACTTCTGGAAAAAGAAAAAAAAAACCCTAAATATTCAAAAAAGTCAGAATTAGGGAAAGTAATTCGTCCTCTGTGTGAGTAACAAAATACAACATTTTCTTTTAATATTTTATTTTCCTGGAAAACCTAATAATCTGGTCATGTAAAGATGTATTTTGTAGGTTTTATTAGTTTATGGAAAATGAATGTGATCACTGAAAACATACTCAACCTCTAGAACAGTACCTGACACTTAGTAGATGTTCTGTACATTTTTGTGAGGAGAATGTCCTATTATTGTACATCTATTCTGTGATGGCCCCTATGCGAGATGTCTTGCAAAGCTCACCTCTTAAATGAACAAATCTGTATATAGTAAACTACTCTCCTTGTTTTAAACACAGGGAAAATACAGTTTAGAGAGGCTAAGAAATGTGTCAAGGTCACACCAATCAGTAAATGGCTGAGCAGAGATTTATAAGAAAAGTTTCCTATTCAAAAATCTCCCCGTGTTCAATCTTTCAACTACAATTTTGCCTTTTGTCAGTTTAGACAATTCTTAACTCAGTCTCTTCACAATTGCATTCACTATAGCTGAGGAAATTAAGTCCCGTTAGATCATATTAATAGGAATTAACACTAATTGGTGAAGGGCAGATCTGACTAATTTTGCACAGCTTTTGAAATGATAGTCATTGCTTTCATTGTGAGCATGTATTTATGCTTTTTAAATGTCACATTTACTTATTCAATACTAGTTTTTAAATAGCAGGTACACAGTTACTACCTCCTAAGTGGCATAACATCTTGATGAGTTTTATAAGAGCTGAGGAATCAGAGAGGGTGGCTGGACCCCTCTCTGGTTCCCCAGGGTGGCAGTGTTTCTATGGACTAGGCTGGGGGCTGGCTTGTTTTCTTTAATTTCACAGGTGCTAAATGTCACCTGAATGGATTCTCTTCAACTCTAGAATTTATAAGGATAAATGCATACTATATTGAGAAGAACTAAACCTATGAATTACATCCAATTCATTCTGATAAAATATGAATATAATAACAAACCACAACTTACATACAAATCTAAGATGGTTCTAGCATTGAGTTGAGCAACTCTCTCCTAGAGTTTTCATGATTGTTTAGTCAAGAATGGCCTGAGAGGTAGCTTAGTCTCTGTCTAGAATCTCTTCTAGCATCACCTTGGTTCTTTCTCCAATCCGTAATGTCAACTTATGATGCATGTTGAACTGGTCACTTCTTTTAAAGTTGACCTAGCAGAGTCTTTCTGTAGTCCTCTGCATCTGTTCAGAGTTTAATTCTTGAAGAAGAAGCTTTTTTTCCTCAAGGGTTTAGAATCAGCATTTCTAATTCTCTCGATTTTTTTTTGTATGTGTGCTGTTAGAGCTTGTATACAATGTATATTGTGTACATTTTTACACACATATAGTATACAAGGCTATTATACAAGTCTATGTGGGAGAATGTGTTCCTGATATAACTCCTCCAAAATGCCTGAGAAATACTCTCTGTTTTGCCTGCCCAGGGTGCTATAAAAGAATGGATAGGGAAATATAGGGAGAGAAAATTATAGCACCATCCTTGCTGCGCCCTGCCTGGAAGATGCTATTATTGCTCCAATATCTTTTTTTTTCTCTTCCGTGGTTGTGTCCTAGTCCATTCAGGCTGCTAAAACAAAAATACCAGAGACTGGGTGGCCTAAACAACATTTATTTCTCACAGTTCTGGAGGCTGAGAAGTTGAAGATCAAGGCATTAGCAGATTCAGCGTGTGGTGAGGAACTTCTTCCTGGCTCATAACGGCCATTTTCTTGCTTGTCCTCACGTAGCTGAAAGGGAGGAGCTCTCTGGGTCTCTTTGGTAAGGGCACTAATTCCATTCATGAGAACCCCATCCTTATGGCTTAATTATTTCCCAAAGGCCCCATTTCCTATTACCATCACACTGGGAGTTAGGATTTCAAAATATGAATTTGTTCGGGGTAGGGCACACACATTGAGTCCATAGGAGATTGTTTCTCATCAGTCACTGAAATATTCTCTCTGTGTAGTACCCACCTCCTTGTGGCAGAGCTTAGTTAATTAAATAAAGGCTTGGGTGTTGTTTAACTATTTCATGCCTATTACATATGGCCTATTTAGGGCAGTGTGAAACCAGCATCCCAATTACATTTGTTTTCAAATCTTTGGTAGAACAAGACAAGATATTTCCCTAAAATAGCAAGCCTGATGAAATATATTTTTTAGGAATGACCATTAGGAATTCTCTCATTTAAAAAGTCCAAACCAACCTTTTAATGTATACCTTCTACTTTAAGTTTTAAATTAGAGTTCCCATATGGACCTGTGTGTGCTTTTATCTGTCATGTGGCTTTTAAGTGATCACATTTGAATTGTCACTTAGTTCTGACTCTCAGAGGACCAGAGCAATAGCATGTCACCACAATAGGATCCAGTCTGATGACAAAGGATGCCTTCTGGGCAGTAACACATGAACTCAAGTGGTGAAAGCTACACTGTGCTGGTCTTTAATGATGCACACACATCTTTGCAGCCGGCCTCATATTTCCATGGTTCTTTCTCTAGATGCAGAAACTTTTCTTATTTCATCTGTGTGGTGGGAATCCAAATTTATAGTCATTTAAGCTAAGGCCCTTTGATAGTAACTTTATCCTCCAATGATCTTGAAAAAATAATGCACACTTTCTTGTATTTTATTTTCTTTATGCCTGCAGGTGCAATATTTGTTGGTTGATTACTTTCTCCTGCATGGGTTACATGAAAAATCTTTACCTTGAAAGCCCATGTAATCACATTTTTTTTTCCATTATGGCCTCTACTTTGAAATTTAGTGTTGTTTTTTTTTTCCTTTTCTGTACCTATCCTCATTTTGTTGGAACAAGACAGAATAGGTTTATATGCCAAAATTCGGAACCTCATTTCTGAAGTACTCAGTTTCTAATACCAAAACGTAGCTATGTAGCCCTCGAGCAGATGAAAGGCACCAATGATACAAATTTATTTATTTATTATTATTATTTTTTTTTTGAGATGGAGTCTCACTCTGTGGTCCAGGCTGGAGTGCAGTGGTGCGTTCTTGGCTCATTGCAGCCTCCACCTCCCGAGTTCAAGTGACTCTCCTGCCTCAGCCTCCCGAATAGCTGGGATCACAGGTGCACGCCACCACACCCAGCTAATGTTTTGTATTTTTAGTAGAGATGGGGTTTCACCATATTGGCTAGGCTGGTCTCGAACTCCTGACCTCGGGTGATCCTCCCACCTCAGTCTCACAAAGTGCTGGGATTACAGGTGTGGGCCACCATGCCCAGCCCAATGATACACTTTCATTTAACTTTTGCTTTTGTTTCCTACCCTCAAATGACATTTGACCCTTTACAGAGATATTAACTTGTATTTAACATTTTTAACTTGTATTTAACAAAGATACAATTAGTTTTTCAAGAGCAATTCAAGGTACCTTATTGAGGAATAATGCCCACAATTTTAACAAAACTACCTATTCCGTAGATTGTACTACTTCTCTTTTTAGCTTGTAGATATGTTATTGCTTGTAGCATTTTGTTCATTGGATGCTTTGCATTTTCTCAGCATGTACCAGTCTTTTCAAAAAAACTTACATTCTATAATTTGGGTACTCTGTATATAGTTCTTACTAGAGCTTTGTTGTTGTTGTTGTTGTTGTTGTTGAGACAGTATCTCGCTCTGTCACTCAGGCTGGAGTGCAGTGGCACAATCATAGCTCACTGCAGCCTTGACTTCCAGGGCTCAAATGATCCTCGCATCTCAGCCTCAAGTAGCTGGGACCACAGGCACACACTATCACACCTAGCTAATTTTTAAATTTTTGTAGAAATGGGGTCTCACTCTGTTGCTGGGGCTGGTCTCGAACTCCTGGGCTCATGTGATCCTCTTGCCTCAGCTTCCCAAAGTGCTGGGATTACAGGCATGAGCCACTGTGTGCAGCCTTACTAGAGCATTTATTGTATGTTTTATAGCCCTCCTGAGAGCTACAATTTCAATTCCTCCTTATTATTTTCCCCTATTCTTTTATCTCTCCAGATTACTAATTGCCTTAGGATCTTGCCTTCTCCTTTATTATTTACATTTTTCCCTTGGTGAATTCTGATACTTTCTATAAGTTATTTGCCTCTTACAGCACTGATTCTGCATCTTCCTTGTGTCCTGATAGTCTCTTGTCTCTTTCTGTCATCACAATTTGAACCCTGACTTGAACTCAGACAGTATCTAAAAGTTCATGATTGGTTTAGGACTCATAGGTCAAAGTATCCTCTTTCTGCATTGTTAAGATTGGAGAATATGCCTTCAAAATCAATTTTTCTTATTCTAGTTGGTCCTGAAGGTTGTACTACAGTGTGGTGGTGTAAAGCAGGGGTCCCCAACCCCTGGGCCATGGGCCCATGCTGGTCTGTGGCCTCTTAGGAACTGGGCCACACAGCAGGTGGATGGTAAGCAATTGAGCATTATCACTTGAGCTCCGCCTCCTGTCAGATCAGCAGCATTAGATTCTCATAAGAGTGCAAACCCTATCATGAACTGCACCTGAGAGGGCCCTAGGTTGCACACTCCTTATGAGAATCTAACTAATGTCTGATAATCCAAGGTGGAACAATTTCATCCTGAAACCATCTCCCTTCCCATCCACCACCCCCTGGTCCGTGAAAATTGTCTTCCTCGAAAACCAGTCCCTGGTGCCAAAAAGGTTGGGGACCGGTGGTGTAGAGGAAGTAGAGTATGTGGATTAGGAACTCTCACTTTAGAACCAGACTTCCTGGGTTCAAATTCTTACTCTACCATATATTAGCTGTGTGACCTTAGGCAAGTCACTTAACACTTTTGTGCCTTTTATTCCCCATCTGTAAAACAGGGTAATAATGTTATGGGTTGAATTGTCCCCCACAAAATTCATATGTCAAAGTCCTAATAGCTAATAACTCAGAATGTCACCTTGTTTGGAAATAGGATAGCTGCAGATATAGTTTATTAACATAAAATGTCATACTGGAGTAGAGTAGGTCCCTAATCTAGTGTGAGTGGTGTCCCTATAAAAAGGGAAAATTTGGACATAGGCACCTGCACACAGGGAGAACACTGCATGAGGATGAAGATAGAGATCTACAAGGCAAGGAATGCCAAAGATTGTCAGCAAGGCCCGAGAAGGTAGGAGTGAGGTCTGGAACAGATTTTCCCTCACAGTGCTTAGAAGGAACCAGCCCCACTGACATCTTGGTGTTGGACTTCCAGCTGCCTAGAAGCGAGACACTGTCTCCAACCGTAAGACAAATGCCTGTTGTCTAAGCCACCCAGTCTGTAGTACTTTGTTACAGCAGCCTGAGCAAACAAATAATATCCACCAAATCAGGCTGCTTTGAGGATTCAATATGTCATTTTGGGTAATTGAGCAAACACTAATAAATACTCACTAATTTACTTATCAAAAAGTGCTAGGCATGTGCCACATGCATTCCTAAATGCCCAGCTCCTCATTGGCTATATGTACAGTGTGTGTGATTTCAGAGGTGCTTGCAGGCCCCACCCACCTGCAAAATGCGAATTCCATCATTCTTCTTCCATAAGTCCTTGTCCCAAGTTAAAATAATAATAGTACTGATGGTATAGTCATAGTGATAACAACCATTGAATAACCATTTCCTACAAGAAAGGTGCTGTGTACTAGGTACCTAATATATATTATCTTCCCTACCTTCTCAGTGCCATGTTATTGGTGTCCACTGTTGAGGTTTACAGACCTCTGTGATCCTGGATCATCAGCTCCACAGGCTGTGTTTTATTCATCTCAAGCTGCGTCACTATCCCCGTTTCACCACCTCTGCCTTCTCATTCTCTGTCTGGATCTCTTAGCTACCCTCCCACCCAGGGGGCAGCAGTGTGGAGGAGAAGTCTCAGGCCTGACATTCCATCTGTTCTCCTTCCTGGAACCCAGAGGGGGCCAGGAAAAGGGGGTGGCATCTCTAGCCCCCCAACACTGAGGAAGAATGGGGCTCTTCCCATTTCACCCCGCCCCCCCACAGTTTCTCCCCTGCCTCCAGGAATGGGCCACTTCTGCATGGGGCAGCGGGTCCCAATTCAGCTCACACTGAGAATGTAAGAACTACAAACAAAATTTCTATTAAATTTTGTGTCTCAACAGAAAAGAGAAAGCGACCAAGGAACTCCCTTCCCTGCATGTGCTGGTAACCATGAGCCTGGGAGGCTCTACTCAGGTTTTTTTCCTTTGTTGTGTTTATCCATTTCTGCATAACAGATTACGATTACCCAAACACTCAGTGGCTTGAAGGTGACCATTTCATTTCTTACCATTTCTGTGGGTCAGGAATTTTGGAAGGGCTTGACTAGGCAGTTCTAGCCTAGCATCTTTCAGTGCAGCTGCAGTCAGATGGTGATAGGTGTTGGAACAGCTGTGGACTGGCCCGCTATCTGTTTTTCTTCCTGAAATCTTGAGCCTCGCCATCATGGTCACTCTATATGAGTTGGTTTGGGCTTCTTCACAGCATGGCTGCCTCAGGACAGCTGGACTGCTTATTTGATGGTTCAGGGCTCAGGCACAAGATAGGAACTGCAATACACTTTATGATTTAACCTTGAAAGTCACAAAATGTCACTTCTGTTGCATTTTATTGGTTATAAAAGAGTCAGAAACTCACCAAGTTTCAAGGGAAGGCCAGATGAAGCCAACCTTCAATGAGGGAGTGGCAAGATTCTAGAAAAGCATGTTAGTCAAGAAACAAACATTGTGTGGCCTTCTTTGGAAAATATATTTTTGTATATCCCTAGACACTGTTTATTTGCACAAACTGTTTATGTAAATAAAGATGCATGACACTGTCATCAGCCAACACATACTTAGTAAATATTGACTCTGTCCAGGTTGTATGCTAAGCTTTGCACTGTATGCAAAGTGTCTGCATGACACTGTCATCAGCAAACACATAGTTAGTAAACATTGACTCTGTCCAGGTTGTATACTAAACCTGAGACTTCAAAGGTGAAAAGTCCTTATCTTAGACCTTAAGGAGTTAGGATCTTGTTAGGGGACATAGATACATAAATAACAAGTTATAGTATCATTTGATCAGTGCTATAAATGAGGTACAAGGTACAGTGGTGAATGGAGGAATGAATACACTGAATAAGTATTTACTGAAATAAGTACCTCCCTTTCTCCATATGAGACACCCTGGGGTGACAAGCTCTGGGGATCCAGGGGGAATGAAAAAAGGACACTGCCCCTGAGCTCCTTGAACTTACCATCCAGGAAGGAACAAGGAACTCCAACAACTGCCATCAAGGTGGGACTGAACTCTCAAACTTGTATCATGTTACAAAATCAGGGCTATCAATGTGGAAATTTTGCTGTTAATATTTCAAAACATATAGTAATTGCTATATTTTAAAAGGACTTTAATGGCTTCCTTGAGAAAACATAAATGAGCACTTTGTACATTACCTTTTTAGACTTTCTTTTGCTGGCATAACAGCAAGAATTCAAGTGAGAGTTTATGAAATGAGTAGACAGAAGAGTATTCCTGGTGAGAAAAATTTACTGTTCCTTTATATTATAATATTGATACAGATTGAGTATCACTTATCTGAAATGCTTGGGACCAGAAGTGTTTGGGATTTTGAATTTTTTCAGATTTCGGAATACTTGCATTATACCAGTTGAGAATCCCAAATCCAAAAAATTCAAAAATGCTCCAATGAGCATTTCCTTCAAGTGTCATGTTGGCACTCAAGAAGTTTCAGGTTTAGGGGGATTTTAGGTTTTAAATTTTCAGATTTCAGATACTCAACCTGTAAACACAACTTTTTCTTTCTCTCCTGTTAAACCAAATCATCTCAATACTAGAACATGTATCTTATCATACTTGCCTTTTTCTGAATTTCATAATTAACACATATATGTTGAAGGCCTCAAATGTTCAATCTGCAACCAATGTTAAATCCAACATGAACTTTCATTTGCTCACTTGACAAAGGGGTTTATAGTCCTGCTTGGAGAGAGAGATTCATACATCGTTGAAAACTTAACTGTTTTTCTTCCCGAAATCTTGATCCTCGCCATCATAGTCACTCTATATGAGTTGATTTGGGCTTCCTCATGGTGGTACACAGAAGGGGGTATTCCACACATGGGTATACAGAAGTTCCTATGTCAAGAAGAAGTTATTCCACTTTAGAGAAAGCAACAGTCAGGTTGGTGTGATCGGAACAGACTGATTTATGTTAAATGCTGTGTCCAACTGTTTTGCAGGTTCTTCATTCCTTTACTGATGCCATCTTTGATGAGTGGATGAAAAGATTTAATCCTCCTGCAGATGCCTGGCCTCAGGAGCTGGCCCCTATTGGTCACAATCGGATGTACAACATGGTTCCTTTCTTCCCTCCAGTGACTAATGAAGAACTCTTTTTAACCTCAGACCAACTTGGCTACAGCTATGCCATCGATCTGCCAGGTAACTAACACAACTTCCAAATGGGTGATTCATTCATCTTCTAAAGAAGCTAGCTTTCTTGCTTTCTTTCTTTATAATGTAAACCAAGACCTTTAGCCGAAGCTTTCAGGTCTAGTTAAGTTTATTGACCATTTTTCTAGCATATACGTATTTAGCAAAATGAGCCTTTAAACTACCAATTAAACATCAGAAAGGGACTAATGAGCTGACTCTTGTTTTAGAAAACTGAAAGTTTTAAATAGATCTTATTAAATGAACTATCTGCTTTTACACCTGACTTGACAATTCTCTCTGAGTTTATTGGATTAATAAAAAACCTCCCTATGGTTCTTTGAAATTTCTAACCAATGAAATAAAAATGAACTAGCCACACTGTACAGGGACTAGCTGGATTTAGAGATTATTCCTTGAGGGCAGGGCTGGGATTAGGGTGAGGAAAGTACAACATTTGCCTTGAGCACAAAATTCAAGAGGAGGCCAGAAAACTCAGTAATCAAGGTAAGTAATAATATAATACAAAATTTTGGAAAGTCAAAATTAATGCAAAAAATTAACCATGAATAATACATCATCAAAATTTTAAATAAAGGCAGACTTTTGTTTGTTTTTCATACCCACATCGTCTTATAACTGAATCAGTCATTTCCCATTTAGCCTATACCACCTGCGATGGATAGGTTCATGAAGGCTGACATTGATTGGTCTACCAACAGATTGGGCTACGTGGGACTCTATGTGTATGTTGCATTAGTTACTGTTTTTAAAGTCATGTTTTAAGATTGTAGATTTCTTATTAACTTTTCCCACTTGGTTCAACATATGGGAGGATATTTTGACAAGTATATACAGGGCACATGTTTTTCTTTTTGGCCCAGGCCCCAATATGGCTCCACACACCATTTAAAGAATGTTAGGAGCCTGGCAACATACTGAGACCTATCTCTGCTAAAATTCAAATAATATTAGCTGGGCATAGTGGTGCATGCCTGTAGTCTCAGCCACTCGGGAGGCTGAGGTGGAAGAATCGCTTGAGCCCAGGATGTAGAGGCTACAGTGAGCCCTGTTTGTGCCACTGCACTCCAGTCTGGGCAACAGAGTGAGACCCTGTTTCAAAAAAACCCAAAAAAACAAAAACAAAACAATTTAAAAAATCTTAATCAAGAAGGTGAAAAATCACACAGCCTATTTACCCAAAGTCTCAGCCTAGAAAGCAATCAAGATGATTTCAGAGCTCAGTCTCTCTCTCTTTGACCTGAGTCTTTCAAGCCTGGCTGTAGTGGGACGCTTGGGCAGAGAATTACCTCGAATTAAGTTCAAATTTATGAAAGAGCCTAGGTACAGAGGGCCTTAGATGCCAGGCAGAAACCCCAATAAGATACCACCTCATACCCATTGGGATGACTGCTATCAAAAAAAAATAGAAAATAGTAAGTGTTGCTGAGGGTGTAGAGAAATTGGAATCCTTGTGCATTGCTGGTGGGAATGTAAAATGGTGCAGCCACTATGGAAAACAGTATGGGGATTCCTCAAAAAAATGGAACAAATAATTACCATATGACCCAGCAATTATACTTCTGGTATACCTAAAAGAACTGAAAGCAAGGTCCAGCAGAGATATTTGCACACCCATGTTCATAGCAGCATTACTTACAATAGCCAAAAGGTAGATGCAAACCAAGTGTCTGTTAGTGGATGAATGAATAAACAAAATGTGGTACATACATACAGTGGAATATTATTCAGCCTCAAAAAGGAAGGAGATTCTGATACATGCCACAACATGGATGAACTTTGAGGACACTAAGCTAAGTTTAATAAGCCAGACATAAGAACAAATACTGCATGACTCCACTTAGACTATGAGATAGTCAAATTCATAGAGACCCCTGGTTACCAGGGGTTGGGAGGGGAGAATAGGGAGTTACTGTTTGGTGGGCACAATGTATCAGTTTTGCAAGATATAAAGGTTCTGAGAATGGATGGTGGCGATGGTCGCACAACAATGTGAATGTACTTAATGCCACTGCACTGCCTATTTAAAAATGGTCAAGGTGGTCAAATTTATGTTACATATATGTTACAACAATTTCTAAAACATAATTTTTTAAAAAACTAAGAGGATTTGGACAAAAGCAAAAGGCAACCATTTTTTGGTCTTGAACAAAGAAATGGCAGAATAAAAATATATGTGTTTTAAGAAGATGAAGTTGGCAATAGGTGCTGCTGGGTTGAATCAGGAGGAGACAGATCAAAACCCTCTTGGAGGAATCCCATCAGGACAGGTCAGGACCTCCCATGGGATTGCAGAAAAAGGACTAGAAAGAGAATCTTATATTAGGTGAGTGTAAGGTATAGAACAAATTCAGAGGAGCTGAATTTAAGAACAGTTGGCCAAGGAGAATATAATTTTTAAAATAAATGAAAAATAGGCATATGTATATTAAAAATGAAATTCGGCCAGGTGCAGTAGCTCACACCTGTAATCCCAGCACTTTGGGAGGCCGAGGCAGGTGGATTCCCTGCAGTCAGGAGTTTCAGACCAGCCTGGCCAACATGGCGAAACCCTGTCTCTACTAAAAATACAAAATTTATCTGAGCATGGTGATGGGTGCCTGTAATCCCAGCTACTCGGGAGGCTGAGGCAGGAGAATCGCTTGAACTCAGGAGGCAGAGGTTGCAGTGAGCCGAGATCATGCCACTGTACTCCAGCCTGGGCGACAGAGCGAGACTTTATCTAAAAAAAAAAAAAAAAAAAAAAACCAAAAAATGAAATCCACTAATTTTGTGGAAGAGAGCTTATAAAATATATGAGAGTAGAAGATTGGATTTATCATGTGGGAGATTTACATTTTATTCACAACTATTTGAATGGGTATAAATATCATCTGCTTGGTTATTGAGTGTCTCCTGGTGTAATAGCCAGTCTGATCCCTCTCACAGGTTTATCATTCTATAAAAAAGGTAGAGACAATAGCAGAATTTCTCTTCCCAAGGGCTGTATATTTTGCAGCTCCCCAGATGCCATTTTAGCATGCACTTTCACAAATGAGTTTCTAACTCAGAAAAGTAGTTACATTCTTCCTTAGAAGGTTTCTTCGGCATAAGCATTTATTGTAACAAATTTTTAAAATGCAATAAGCTGTATTTAAGTAATGGGATGCCAGTTCTGACTACCCCAAGAAAAACAATTGTGGATATGATAAATGGTGAGAAAGGAGAAGATAAATTTTAGTCTAGCATGAGTAGTTTTGCTTTATCAACAAAAAGCACGTGAAAGGCAAGTGCGCTTGCTCTTTTTCTCTTCTGAAAGTATTCAGCTGATGAAAATCCTGATTGTAGACCCTTCTCTTCTGCTTTAGTTTCAGTTGAAGAAACTCCAGGTTGGCCCACAACTCTCTTAGTAGTCATGGGAACACTGGTGGCTTTGGTTGGTCTTTTTGTGCTGTTGGCTTTTCTTCAATATAGAAGACTTCGAAAAGGATATACACCCCTAATGGAGACACATTTAAGCAGCAAGAGATACACAGAAGAAGCCTAGGGTGCTCATGCCTTACCTAAGAGAAGAGGCTGGCCAAGCCACAGTTCTGACGCTGACAATAAAGGAACTAATCCTCACTGTTCCTTCTTGAGTTGAAGATCTTTGACATAGGTTCTTCTATAGTGATGATGATCTCATTCAGAAGATGCTTAGCTGTAGTTTCCGCTTTGCTTGCTTGTTTAACAAACCCAACTAAAGTGCTTGAGGCTACCTCTACCTTCAAATAAAGATAGACCTGACAATTTGTGATATCTAATAATAACCCCCCCCCCAATATTGATTAAGCCTCCTCCTTTTCTGAAAGCATTTAAAAAAAAACAAAAAAAATCCCAAAACATTGATCCAGGGGAGTCATTTAAATTTGCAGGTCAGTGCAATGTGAGACCTGGCCAAGACCATACATCAATCTTTCTTAGCCCCAGTGTCTTTATTGGTAATGCCATGGAGGTGGGAGTTGGTAGGTGCTAGATGAGTCTCCAAGATCCCTTTTAGCTATAAACATCTCTGCTTCTAGGCACCCTCCTGATTATCTTCCTTGGGCTTCTTTTTCTTCTTTTCTCTATATTTTTCCTCTCCAGCTTAGAAGATGAGAATAAGCCTTGTTTTCTTTACAGGATGGAAAATGACTAAATGAAGGATCAATTCCACTCTATTGTGTAAACTAGATTTTACGGATTTTACTTAAAATCTGCAGTTTTAAACAGTAGACCTATATTACAGGATTCAATAGCTGGATACACATTGATTCTATAGTGATAAATAGAGAAGATAATAAAATTATAGAGTTTCCTGGTTAGTTGATATGCTACTGTAAACCTATTAACAAATACAGAATTACTCTTTCCAAGGAAGGCTGACTGAAGGCTGGTGAGGCTGTAAACCTGAACATGAGACAATTTGACTTGAGTCCCATTACTCTGAGGTCTCTTTGGCTGATCCTCTACCAATTTCTTTACTAGGTAGCCTCAGATGAAAAATTATTCCCACATAATGCACTGGGCTTATTTTTAAGCATTGATGTTAGATTGATTAATGTTGCCGAATACTCACAGTTACTTATGAATGCTGATCAATTAAGTCTTATCATTTGAAAGCAAACCATCTGTACAAAACATGACAATTCAGAATTAAGTGGTTATATTCTGCTATGCAATCATCAGATCATGAGGAATAAGAATGAGACAATCTTTACTACGATGTTCAGACTTATCATGATGGACCCCACTTCAGAGAAGTTAATGGCTCTTGAGATTTCCAGGCAAATTTCATCTGCTCATATCTGGTTTCTGTGCATCAGGAGTGAGACTGAAGTTCTAGGGCGTGGCTTGTCTGTCGAGGCCCCTCTCTACTGGAATGAATGAATGTAAAGAATGGGTGTTAAGAGGTCCCTGGAGCTGCCTTCAACATAAGGGGTCCTAGAGGGTGCAAGACTCATCAAG
Source organism: Homo sapiens (assembly GCF_000001405.40). Lineage (NCBI taxonomy): Eukaryota > Metazoa > Chordata > Mammalia > Primates > Hominidae > Homo > Homo sapiens. The sequence goes on along the minus strand of NC_000013.11, from coordinate 94,438,458 downwards.
AACCAGTTTACCCCATGCAAAAGGACTGCTAAAGCCAGAGAAATGGACAAAGCCCAGTTGGAACTGAATTTGAATCTCATAAAGCTACAGGTGCATCTGAGAGCAGGCTCAGTGGTGAAGATCAAGATAGCCCGGTAAAGCCCTGCTTGGGCTTTTTAGCCTCAGCCACATGGATACCTCTCAGTTCCTGCCATTAACAATATTCATGGAAAATACAGCACTGTGTCTTTCACATGCTCCACTCTGGAAGGTTTATGCTCTGAGCTCAGGATAGTTGGGGAACACATTTTTAAATCTTGGTTTTAAACAAAAAGAGAAATTTATTAAAATGGAGATATAATTGTGCATGGTACATATATTTCTGAAAAGTTATGTATAAATCAATTATGTTAAAAGCGCCAGAAGTTACTTTTTATAAGTGAACTATTACGAATAATTTCATAAAGCAAATAACCACCTCTAGCTTATCTGTCAGGTATATCAGAATTCTCATATATCATAGTCTCATAAGACTTGGTTAAAGCAGATCTATCTTAGGTAGGAAAAAATAGTAATCGATTATACTTAGCTGCTTTTATCTGTAGTGTGGGTGACTTTTTATAACTATTATGTTTTATAATGTCTTCCTGAGAGAATTTCCTAATTTTGTAGTTCATATAAGAGAAATACAATTTTCTAGCATTTTCTGACCTTACAATAAATCAATTATGAATGCATTTTAACAAATATTAAGGTAGGATAAACCAACAGAATAAAAAGTTGGTATTTACTTACATTGAATATCATGCAAATAAACTCAGAAAATGTCACCAAATACTGTGGGCTATATTTCTCAATGATAGGGGGAAGAATTCAACCTTGGAGAAAATGACCAGATCACTTTACTGCTTATATCTTCAGTATTAGAAAAACTGCATGTATGATTTTAATAGAAATGCTTTTTATAAAGCTAACATTCAGAAATGGGATAAAATGCAATAACATCTTTCCTTTGTGCATTAAATTCCCTTCTAATTCTAAAATTGACATTTGTATCTTGCTTAGGATTTAACATTGTTAATTATAATACTTTTAATGACTAGTTTTAATCTCATTATTAAGAAGTAGAAAACTTACTAAAAAGGAAACTAAAAATAAATGTTGTTTTGCAGATTATTGTTTGTCTTTTGAGGATTATTGTTTTTTAAGTAGTGTGCATCAATTCCCATCTTTTGGGCACTCAGCATGTATATTGAAATATATATACATGTAAAATATATAATAACAACCTCAGTCTGAAAAATAATCTCTTAAACTGATATGCTATTTTCTGGTGAGTTTCCAAACAATTGCTATTTTCTGAATCTGTTTGAACAGGTAGGAAAAGGAGAGCCAGCCTTTCCTCAGGTGAAGTTACTTTTGATATTCCCCACAGTTTAGTGACTAATCCTGGGGTGGAAGCAGGTGGCTGCTTCAAGTGACTGACCAGGGAAGAGAGGTCCTGCAGTAGCTAACTTGGTGATCTCCCAGATAAGCCTTCAAGATGGGTCAATTTGTTGGAGACTCTAAGGTTGAAGCTCTTCCTATTTCTATAGTGCCTTACTTATCCTGAGTATTTTATAAATATTCTTTGAATGAATAAGTGAATGAATAAACTAATTTCAAAGTAGAATGTTTCATTCAGAGCTTCTGACATCTGTTTTAAGATGTACTGGATAAAACATAAGATCCATCTCTGCCATGAAGTTACCATACAACCTATCCTTCAGATTTTGAATTGCACGTATGCTAGGTAGAATCATACTCTATGCAACCTAACACAAGGAGATACTCTTCAGGTGTATTTTCTTTCTAGATGTATCTTCTTCCTACTATTGGTAGGCCTTAATTCTACCATTTTTAGGGACTAGGATAGGAAGTTAAGATTTCTACCCATCTCTCCTCTAAGTCCTCACACATGCCATTTTAGGATCCTCCACTGTCTGATATCCTAAAAGCTTTGTTTCAGTGGAAGGAGTTAGTGGGCAAATTATTTAGTCAGGCAAACCAATGCCTCTCTCACACTGATGGACTCAAGCAGCAATTGCTTTAGAAACTCTCCAAAGATGACAATACTTTGACTTTAGCCGTAACAGCAGTTCAAGCTGAAAAAAACCCTTATGAACTTAATTCTGCTTTGGCAGGTCATTAAATGAAATATTGAAAACCATACACAAGAGTATTGTGAACTAGAAGTTAAAGTTTTCTAAAACAAAACAAAGTTAAAAGGTTCCTATTCAATACTTGCATGCTCTGTATAATTTTCTCCACAGCTGCATGTTTGATGGAAACCATTGGCCCACTTTTGTTATTTGCCCCATCAACTTTAGTCAGACTTCTTAAATCTAATATGACTGGATTTGGTCATTCTGTTAGCCATTTTCTGCTCTTTTGGCATTTTATGAACAAACTAAAACTATCACAGCGCCTCCCAAGTATAATTGTACTGGTTGTAAATAATGCTAAGTAGAGATGCTTGAGCTTGGCCTTCTTTATTAAAACAACAGATTTCACTGCCAGAGTTATGCACCCTGATTACTCCTTCACTTTGTATGTTATTGAGGGTTTCTGAATTTGCAATTAGCCCAGTGACTGATCTTGATTACCAGGGGAGTGGAATTAGGCTTACAATAAAGCAAAACCTGCCCTCTTGTGTTTTATTAGAAAATTGCACAATGTAGTAAAGTTCTTAAAGCTATTTTCCTCTACCATGGTTGATGGTCTACCCCGAGTGGAAAAAAAGGCTGGAAGATTTGCCATGAATTCAGAAATCAGAACAGACAAAGCACAATATTTAGAAAGAAACAGTTTCCTACATAGGCTCTCACGATTCCCCGTTTAATCTATTTTGAAATGTTAAATGTTTACCAGTAAGCCAGAAAAGTTTAGAGGAACATTTCAGGCCACTGGGCAAAAATGCTTTTAGGCTTGGCAAACACACACAGAATATAATTTAGTTAAATATTATTTATATGATCACATTGCAGCTGGAAACTGGGGAAACTTATTTTTTCTATTAAAAACCGTCATCAACAAGAAAAATTTGGGGAACGTTTTTTAAAACAAATGTTGGATCAATGTATTAAAACTATATATAAATATTTGAACTCAGGTGTGGGTTGAGCAGTGTCTGAAGATGTCCTTTAGTGTGGAAAATTCGCTTTTCAAAACTGGGAGCCCATGGTGGCTTTATGTTAGGTGATTGATAAACTCAAGTGATAAAGAAAACATGGCCTCTTTCTAGTTTTTATAAACCTTTCCCCTCTAGGGAAATACACAGGTAAAGACTAAAGAGAAACACGTGCACATGTAATTTATTTGCTTATTCTGGCTAGTTTTGTTTGTCAGAAAATTGGGGCTTCGATTTTCCAGCTATGTCTACCTGCTCTTCTTTTCTGGTGGTTCTCTCTGGAAGAAGATTACAGACCTGGTGATAGTCATTGTTTTTATGGAGAGAAAGGAAAGGGAAAAACATAAGTGAAGAAACTGAAGAGTCTGATTTGAATCACATCAAATGCTGACAGAAGATGCAGTCTTTCCTGGAGAAGAACCATTAGCTTACTCCCTACTGATACACTATATAGCATACTTTGCTGAAGACCTATTTTCCAATGCGGCAAATGTATTATTATTTTAAATTATT